>NC_000002.12:97112551-97439618 GCF_000001405.40 Homo sapiens
TACTTGATTTATATTTGTCTCATGAGGTGAAGAACTGGGAGGAATCTTAGAGATCACGTATTTCAACTTCCTCACGGAGTGGCATGCAGGCAGCAGCCTTGGGAACCCCGATTGCCCCTCCTCACACCTGCCCATCACAGGACTCGGGCGACAGGGTGGTGAAGTCAGGCTGTGGCCCCAGCGGCGCCACGAGGCCGAAAACAGGCGCTCAGCCTCATCCCCGTGGCTGCAGAGTGCCAAGCGTCAGGTCCTGCGCTCTGGGCGCGGGTCAGGAGCAGCTGGCAAGGGCAGCGCAGCCTGTGGGGCCCTTGGGCGCGGCCGGCCGCAGCTCCGGGAAGCCACGTCAGCCCACGGGCGCTGCAGCTGCAGCCGCCACCAGCACATGGAGCAGGGGTCCCCGAGGATTGGGAATCCCCGACCAGGCCTGCGCCTCCAGCCGCGCGGACCCCGGGGCCAGCCTGGCCGCGGCAAGTCAGGCAGTCTGCGGCAGGAGCGCCGGGCATGGGCTTCCGCCGGGGGTGCAGGAGGCGCGCACCCTCCGGCCGGATGGGGGCGCACTCAGGGCCCAGGAGGCCATCCCACGGGAGCCCCGCCAGCCCCCGCCGGAGCCCGAGCTGCAGTGCCGCCTACAAGTGGTGCGCTGGCTGCAGCTGTGGCAACCCCGGATCCCGTCCTCCCGCCTCGCACCCATCAGCGCGGACCCCGGGGGCGACGCAGTGGCGAAGTGGGGCTGTGGGCCCAGCGGTGGCACCAGGCGGAGAAGCACCACTCAACCCCATCCCTGGGCTGCAGAGGGCCCAGCGCGGGGGACTCCGAGCGTCGGGAGCCTGTGGAAGAGAAGAGCGCGCGGGCGACAGTTAAACAGGCCCTGGGGCAGGGCGCGCCTCGCGCTCCAGGGAGCCCCGCCCTCCCGCGGCACCTCCGCAGCAACCGCCGCCTGCACTGGGCGCGCGAGAGCTGCTAGGGCGGTTTCTCTGCCTCGGGCCTGTTGGGCAGGGCCGGCTAAGGTGCGCGTGCTCGCTGGTTCTAACCCTTCTGTTGGGCGTTTCTGCTGAGAGGCGGGAGGCGCTGAGAGTCTGTGCGGAGGTCCGTGGACAGACTGCTTTGCTCGTTGTTGCTCTTCGGAGGCGGCGATCCCCGAAGGCGAGCTGAAATACGGCTGCAGGCTACAATTTGCAGCCGACGATTATGGAAGACGGCAAGCGGGAGAGGTGGCCCACCCTCATGGAGCGCTTGTGCTCGGATGGCTTCGCATTTCCCCAATACCCCATTAAACCGTATCATCTGAAGAGGATCCACAGAGCTGTCTTACATGGTAATCTAGAGAAACTGAAGTACCTTCTGCTCACGTATTATGACGCCAATAAGAGAGACAGGAAGGAAAGGTAATGGGGGCCGGGAGCCGGGGCTGCGGGAGGAGGCCTGTGGATGTGGAGAAGTACCCCTTTCCAGGCTGAGGGCTGCGGGGCGGATGGTCCGGGGCTCGGGGTTTGGACGGGGGCTAGGGGGTGCCCGGCTGGGGTGGGAGTGAGTGGAGCGGGGCCTGGGGAGTGGCGGTATATGGGGTGGCGGGGTGTGGAGTGAGTTGGGGGATGGGAGTGGGGAGTAGGGGGTGCATGGGGTGGGGGCGTGAATGGGCTGAGGTGGACGGAATGAAGGCTTGGGGGGTAGGGGCGTGGACGGTGTGGGGTGGGGAGATGGGGTGAGGGTTCAATGGGATAGAGGACTGGAGGTGGGGGTGAGGGGTGGGGGTGAATGGGGTGGGGGAAAGGGGTGCAGAGGTGAGGGGGGCGAGTCCTGTCACCAAAGGGGCTGGACTTTCTTTCCTGGCAGGCTCAGCCGCACCTGGGATGTGGAAACCTTGGCGGGGGCGAGCACCCAGGTCATTTTCACAAGCAGCAAAACAAAAACAAAACTTCAGCTGGTTTCCAATCACTCACCATGCTGCTTCTTTATAAATCATTTTAAAGTGATTTCACTAATAAAATTCAGCATGTACAGCGTTTTATTTTTAACGTGCACATTTTAAAGCATAATGTTACATACATTATGGAAAGGTGCATAATGAGAGAAATCATTTCCATAATATATCAACTTCCTGGCTAAAAATTCTTTGGATAAAAATCCAATATTTATTTGATATCAATGGACACCTATGTCAATTTGGTTTTCACTGAGGGACCTTAGAGGGAAACTTTGAAGTGGGAAGATGGTCTGTGTTCTTGAATAGAAAGACACATTTTTCTAAAGTTCTGAGCTCTTTCTGTGTTTATAAATTTTACATAATCCAAATAAAGTTATCAAAGTGTTAACATTTTTGAATTACTCATGCTGTCTTTTACTATTGTGACGACATCAAGAAAACTTTTGAAATGGAGTCAAAAAAGACTTGCCTTTCTAGATATGAAAATGTGCTGTTAATTTCCACAAGTTATTTACTAACAGCTGAAACAACAAATCAGTGAATGGAACAGGTTAGAAAATCCAGGAACACACCAATATGTGTAAGAATTTATTAGGTTGGTGCAAAAGCAATTGCGGTTTTTGCCGCAATTACAAGTAATGGCGAAAGCCGCAATTGCCTTTGCACCAATCTAATAGAATTGGATAATGGTGACATTTCATATTAGTAGGAAAAGATGAATTACTCATAAATGAAGTGCCTGCTAACTATTTGGAGAAATCTGGCTAGATTTTTATGTCACAGAAATAAATTCGTTATGGAATGTAGATTAAAAATTTTAAATGCACAAAATAAGAAAGATAACAGAAAAAAACACAAATGCCTACTTATATTGATGCATGTTTATATTCCTACAAATATCACAAGCACACATTCTGAAGGTCGATTTAGCAAAATAAAAAAAATCCAGTTTATAAGAAAAAATTAACAAAAGACAATATGTGTATATACATATTAGATAAAAAAGTGATTTTCATTTTACAGAGAATTCTTCAAATAAACAAGAACTCTCATTTAAAATAGAGCAAAGCATTTATTTTTCAGATGTTCAAGCAACCTATGCACATGGGAAAAAATATTTAGTGTTCCTGGGAGGAGAAGGTATTTAAGTTAAAAAAGGAATGAAATACTATTTTCTATCACAAGTTTGTGAGGGTAAAGGGTAGCAGTACATATACTGCTGTTGAAAGTTTACATTTCTGATGACTTTTCAAATAGACAATTTTTTGGTAAGTATCACACTGTAAAAATGTATGTGCCCTTCACCCATCAATTCCATTATACTAAAATATCTCTAGGAAATAGAGATACATGCAATTTGTTTTTCTCAGCACTGCTTAAAATAGCAATGTATTTGGAAAACCCCTTATAATGGATTTTATAAATTTTATAAATTTATCAATAAATTTCAGTGCATCCATAGGATGGGACAATATGGGACCTTTGCAGATGTCAGTAGATACAGATGTATGTTGAGGTGTGAAGATGTACTCTGAAAAAAAGTTGGTTTGATTATACATACACACAAACAATCTATGGTGTTTGTAAGCCAAATATGTGTACAAAATGTAACATTTCTTCTTTTCTGGCAGGTGTATTGTGATATTTTCTCTTATCTGTGATGTATAAATGATCAGTATGTTTAAAACTTCTAGTAAATGTTTTTTATTAATGAAATTATCCTTGGAAAAAGAAGAAATATAAATCTTGCAAAGAAAAAATAATTCTCAGTTTCTATTTTATTTTATTATTTATGTCTTTGTTTGTTTGTTTATTTTTGAGATGGAGTCTCACCCTGTTGCCCAGCCTGGAGTGCAGTGGCATGATCTCGGCTCACTGCAATCTGCCTCTCAGGTTCAAGTGATTCTCCCACCTCAGCCTCCTGAGTAGCTGGGATTACAGGTGTGCGCCTCCATGCCCAGCTAATTTTTGTATATTTTAGTAAAGACGGGGTTCACCATGTTGGCCAGGCTGGTCTCAGACTCCTGACCTCAGGTGATCCCCGTGCCTCGGCCTCCCAAAGTTCTGGGATTACAGGTGTGAGCCACTGTGCCTGGCCTTATTTTTATTTTTTTGTTTATTGGTATCTTCTGTGAACTTTTAGCCTCTTCAGAGGCAGAGGGAATATTTTTATTTGTGCTTGATTATTTTATTATGCATAGATTTTAGTACATAAATAGGTTTTTATTATAGTTTTATTACATATAAGGAAACAATTTTAAATTAATTATTTTAGTTTATCAGTGTCCTCATGAAAATGAAAATGAGCAAATATAAGTGATTATCACTATTCCAAAAGCACTGCTTTAATTTATAGTTTTTTTCATAATAAACTTCCCAACTGTATGTATGCATTCTTTCAATCCAGTTATTCATCAAGCATAACCTGAATACCTATTATGTAGCAGACAGATTCCACCATCTCTCAGGACTCTTCCACCCTTAACAACTTCATGTTTACCTGCCCAGCCTGAGCAAGCTGAGATTTAAAATGGAAGCGTTAGGACTTAATCCCAGTTGGATCTTTTATTCCTTTTTTTTTTTTTTTTAAACAAAAGCAATTCTGAAGTTAGAAAATAGTGAAAGATAACCTTTAACTGCCATTTCAGAAACTTATGACACTCTCAAATACTACTATTAATCGTTGCAAATACCTAATTTACATAACATTCTGTAAGTATTGAAAAAAATGGGCCATACCTATTCATTTGAATCCTGAGTTTTCTTTGGATTATTTTTTTTTTTAAATTGAAGTGAGAATTACTTTGTTTTAAAAATTTGTTTTTTTATTTTTGCCTTCTTTTTCCACAGTACTTTATTTAGGTGCCAATTATATGAGTAGAACTGCCTGTTCTATGTACTGTATCCCACTTAATGTAAGGCATCACGGATTGGGTGATGCCACATTACTTTATATATCAATAAGATAATGTTTAAAATGTTGCCAGTTATAAATGTAATAAACAATTAATTGTAAACAGTATTCCAATGTCAGGAGATGTTAATATATAAGAGAATAGTAGCTTATATAAGAGAATGGTGAGAAAATGAGCATCTGAGAATGACTGAAATACAATGATACATCTAATCTTTAATAGATACCTCAATGTAGATATGATTGTATCATTTTACTTAATTAAAATGTCTTTGTAGGTAGTAATATCTAAAAATTATTGAGCTGTTATTTGTGTTAGAAAGTGTTCTAAATGCTGTGCATAGATTCTTATGTAAGCATCACAGCAGTGTTCTGTGGGCTAGCTACTATTCTCTTATATATTTTATTGATAAGGAAATTGAAGCAAAGAAAGGCTAAATAACAGCTAAGTGACAGAGCTTACAGTAAATTTTAAGCCCCAATTAAACTGAATCCAAAAGCCAAGGCTTTTCTATTAAATAGCCTGCTCTTTCATTAATGTGGTGAGTAATAAGCGCTAACAAATGTTGTACTTTCTTCACAAGAAAATTACATATTTGTTTTGAAGACAGAGAAATGACATGCTAATTAATGCTTACAGTTACATGTTTTAAAAAGTCCTGTCACTCTCACAGGACCGCCCTACATTTGGCCTGTGCCACTGGCCAACCGGAAATGGTACATCTCCTGGTGTCCAGAAGATGTGAGCTTAACCTCTGCGACCGTGAAGACAGGACACCTCTGATCAAGGTATATAGTAGCTGACTCTTTGAGCATGAGATGGATTTGGTTGAAGTACATAGGATAAAATGAATTTATCTCATTGGAATACCACCATATAACTAGTAGGAAATCCTACGGAGTGTTTATTTTGATTTTTCAGTATTTGCATGTTTCTCGGTCTAATACTGACAGGCTGTACAACTGAGGCAGGAGGCTTGTGCAACTCTTCTGCTGCAAAATGGCGCCAATCCAAATATTACGGATTTCTTTGGAAGGACTGCTCTGCACTACGCTGTGTATAATGAAGATACATCCATGATAGAAAAACTTCTTTCACATGGTACAAATATTGAAGAATGCAGCAAGGTATAGGTCAACCAATGTTATTTTCAAACTATCTGAAATGCATTTATTTTAACATTGACACATGTAAGGGTCAATTTTTCATATTTGGAAGCTCAAACATTCCTTGAATGAAAATATTTTGAAATGCCTTAACTGTCTAAGATTTTACTTTAAATATTGGAACTTTTAAAGAAGCATTATAGGGAACAGCCTTTTTTCATGCACTTATGGTAAATAACTATAAAAACAAATGAATTACAATAAATTTATAATTCATGACAACTGAATTTGGGAAAGGTAATAGTTAAGTGTTTTTCCACTAAATTACTTTTTTTCTAATCAGTGTGAAGTGACACAGGAAAGTAAAATTGTCCCTTATAAATAGGCTTTATTTTAAATGTCAAAGAAAATTAAAGAATTTCACAATAAATGTACATGTTGTTGCTGTTGAAAGTGTTGTATGTGAAGGTGATTTCATTTGAAAGTGATTCCTCTGTGGAAAGGCTTAAGAGGGAAAAATGAAGAAAAGGAGAGCAATCAGAAATGCACAAGCTAATTTGGAAATTAGGTAATGAGGGAAAATACTGTGGAGAGGGTTTTTGTGTGTTTTGTTGTTTGTTTTCAATTTATATGTTTAGACAAAGATCGCTTCAGTTTTGGGGATGATTATTCTTACTTTGGGAAAGAGTTTGTGAGTTGTGAAATTGCCCAGGGATCAATTTTGGTAAGACTCTGAGGAAACCAGGTTGGCAGTGAATAGTGGTGATGAAGCGGCACACAGTTCAGCAGAGAGAAGAACACATAATTAATGGACATTATTCAATTCTGGCAGAAACAGCCACTCAGATAAGCATCTAAACTCTACTCTCAAGTCCAGAATGTCTTGATGGGCAGGTGGGAGATACGGAGCTTATAAATAGTAAAATCAAGTTGGATTTTGAGCTTACTAGTCTCTTCCCTACCCCTACCCAGGAAAAGTAAATGAAGTCTTCAGTGAATGGCTCTATCTTTTGCTCTTTCCTCTTTTCGGCCAAATCCCAAACGATAAAGGGAATTTGCCACGTGGGTGAGAAATGAGACTGAAGTGATTATCAACTGTGCTGGTTCGCAGTTAGAATTGTGCATGGCAGTAACCTGGGGAAATTAAAAGCAAATCTCTAAGTCTAGGATATCCCCTGAAGATTTTAATATGGTAAATCTAATATTTACTATTAAATATTACTGGGCATGTATGTTTTAAAATATTTCCTTGAAGCTGGGCATGGTGGTGCCTCTAGCCAGAGCAACAGATTAAGACACTGCCTCTAACAGCAACAACACAACAACAACAACAACAATAAAACATTTCTTGGGACACTGATACGCTGCTGGTTAAGAACCACTGAATAGATAAGTGTAATATAAATTCCCATATCTCAAACACACAAAAAATCTCTAGAAGAGCTGGAGATAGGTGCTGCTTCCTTTAAATTTCTCCTTTCCAATAATATTGGCCTGACTTTTACCTGTCTCTACCTCTGTGGTTGGGAAGTGGAAAGGACTATTATTTGCAGTATCTATCAGCATAAGAATAACACCTTTTCTTTGCCACCATCACTTATTCACTGCCATTCATAGGGTCATTAGAAATTTGCTATTGTGGACTCTTTTAATAAGTAGAGACTGACTCTTTCAGGACTCTGAGTCTCTTTGTTATCATTCTGGTGATTAGGTCAATACATCATTATTAAAAGCGGGGTTCTCTCAATTACAATAGCAAAAAATTCTAAACCTTTTTTTAAAGCTGAAGCTCTATTATGGACTGCCTCAGTATGTCAGTTAAGTACATAGAACTGTGGCATAATCAGGATAGCAGTTTTAAACACTGAAAACCATGAAGTTAGTAAGAATACAAAGAATACATATAGGTCATTATTAGAGCTTTAATTGATAAGCCATTGTATTTTTATTTCTGATTTATATTTTCCCTAAAATAAAAAAATTAGGTTACAATATAGAAACTAGAATTATAATTTAATATTATTTTAATAATTTAGTTGCAGCAGTCTTATGAACTAATTATCCATTTGGTGAACAATCTGGGAAAATTAAACATAAATTATAAATGAATGAATGTTGTAAAAGTGCTCAAAGTGGGTATTATGACTCTTAGTAACAATTTTTATTGTATTCTTGGGCCTATTTTGGAAAAAAAAATCTGAAACTAAAGAAAGGAAGTATTTTACATGAAAATACTTGTGTTACATACAATTGCTTGGAGACATATCCATAGCAAATATAAAAATACAAGGTATATAGTCCAAATGTGTCCCATACATGTGTTTAGTTTGTGTCTACAAATTGTCTCAACATGGAAGGTTTAGGAGACTCGTGCACAGATCTGGATTCCAGGCTTCTCTTCAAGAATCCAATCTGGTGTCCCTTGAGCCTATCTCAGGTTTTGGATGCTGTGCAGAGGTTGCCCCTTTCTATGAGGCATGTGGTCTCCATTTTGCTACTGTGCCTACCTAGGTACTTCACTTCCTCAGGTCATCTCCCTTGCCTCTGTAGGGATGACTTTACAAGCCCTGTTTTATAATATATTTTAGTAAATATTTCAAGGTTTTTAAGACATTTTATATTTATTTAAATGTAGAGTCTATATTTTATATAAATCCTTTGGTAATCGGGTTGAACTTTTGAATTTAGATGGTGGTGTTTTATAAACTATTTTTCTTTATACATACCATAAATAATCATCTTCCCATTAGAATGCATGTAAGCTTTTTAAGGTGAATCATGGTATGGTTGCATAGGTTATGCATATTGCAGACAACATTATATTTTTCTCTTCAGCATTGCCTCCTAAAAATGCAAGTAATTGGCCGAGCGCAGTGGCTCACGCCTGTAATCCTAGCACTTTGGGAGGCAGAGGCAGGTAGATCACGAGGTCAGAAGATTGAGACCATCCTGGCTAACACGGTGAAACCCCCTCTCTACTACAAATACAAAAAATTAGCTGGGTGTGGTGGCACACTCCTGTAGTCCCAGCTACTCGGGAGGCTGAGGCAGGAGAATTTCTCGTGCTTGAATCCGGGAGGCGGAGGTTGCAGTGAGCCAAGATGGCACCACTGCACTCCAGCCTGGGCGACAGAGCGAGACTCCATCCCAAATAAATAAATAAATAAAAGATGCAAATAATTTAGTGGCTTTCATTATGCTATAAATAATTCATATAGGTCATTATTAGAGCTTTAATTGATAAGCCATTGTATTTTTATTTCTGATTGATATTTTACCTAAAATAAAAAAAGTAAGAATTAATTGGAAACTAGAATACAAATAGATTTTTAAAGGAGTTATGTACCAGGGTCCTAAGATTATAATTACATAAATATTTGCATCAGGGTCCTAAGATTGTAATTGAGAATAACATTTCATACAGAGCTTTCTGACAGCTAAGATAAAAATATTACTAGAGAAAACCCATGGACTATTTAATAATAAGCAGTGAAAGTTCACTCGAAGCCTATCTCTATTAATTCAGAGCCCGGCTCTCCGAATTAAAAAGAGATAGGCTTCAAATGAACTGTCAATCGTGTCAGAATCTCAGATGACAATGTCAGGTGCTCAGGTGCTCAGGAGCTCCTGACATTGTCACCTGAGATTCTTACACCATCGATAGAAGAGAATGAGGCAAGTGTGTATCACCCAGAGGAAACCTCTACCTTTACTGGTAAGCTCTCACAACTGTATCCCTGAAACTCTCATTTCTCAAATGTTAACATTCTCCAAAATAAGTATTTACAAATAGGGATTAGGTGAAGTTCAAAAGATTTCTCAAATACTAGACACATAATGCAGTTTTGTAACATTTTTCAAACATGGGTGATCATGGAGTCTCTCTTTTGGGGTATAATGTTCAAATTCTGGTAAAGTAAATATCCTTTGGAATATATTAATAGTTTAAGAAACACCGCTCTATAGATAATAATTTAGATCATTAATAAAAATACCTGAAACATTTATTACTGTGTCTTAGAGTTTGAGGACATAGAGAAAAAAATACAGCTGCTGCCCTCAAGAAGCTCTTGGTTCAGGTGGGAAACAATTAAATCCTTGAAACATGCCATGCTAAATGCTGGGACAGAAGCAAAGATTCTTGGAACTGGGAAATGTTTGAAGTGAGTTTTGGAGATGACCAGAGTTCTTGTGGTGAGGCAGAGGAGGTTGTTTCCAGGGGAAGGAGCAGAACATAGAAAAGCACCGAGGAGGGAAAAGAAAGGGACTACCTCTTATGACCTTTCAATTGTATATATTGAAGCTCACAGGATCTTACTTACATAAGGTTTTCAGTTCAGTTGATAAATATGTAATTTTGTGATTATAAATTGTTGCTGTTATTTTACAGTGTGAATATCAGCCACTGTTATTTGCTGTGAGTCGAAGAAAAGTGAAAATGGTGGAATTTTTATTAAAGAAAAAAGCAAATGTAAATGCCATTGATTATCTTGGCAGGTACAGACCTTAGTTCTTATTGTGTCGTTTTTAAACCTGAGTGTCATTTTAGTGTGGTAGCAGTCCCTCAAGTCACAAATATTACATTAATAAGAAGACTAACTTGTAATTATTGGGATATAGTGAGAAATAACACAGATCATCACTTAGGTAGGAAAACAATTATTTGGACTGAGTAACATAAAGAACAGTGTATAGCAGGATTCGTCTCTCTCTATAGACATTATACACATAAAAGGCTTCTATATATAGAAAGCTCTGTATATTGATAGATGTTTGTTATTTGTAATATGATGTGGTGTTATTTACAATGTAATAATGTGATGCTTTTGATTGTATGATCTTACATTAGCTAAAGGGGTTTCATGTTAGTTTTTCATTTCTACTGTGTTTTGATGTTGTTTTTAATTGATATGGGGAGGGGGAGAAAAGATAGCTTTAAATGGATAAAACTTTAATGAAGACAAGCTTTAGGTTCACACAGGACTGGGTTTAATCCCTAGCTTTCCCACTTGCTAGATGTGTGACCTTGGTAACATTACTTATTGCCAAGTATGTTTTCTTCTGTGAAAAGGAGGGTAATAATATATCCTTCAAGGGTGGTTGTGTGTAAGTAACATTATATATATATATATATATATATAATGTTAGAATGTCCAGCTAACAGAGCAAGGTGCTGATGTTTTGGAAACAATGGCTGAGCATATAAGTATGTGCATATATTATATATACACACATATGTATGTAAGAATATAATGTAAGTAACATCATATATAATATATAATATATACAATATATACTTTATAGATAATATATAATACACTATATATTATATATTTTATAGATAATATATAATATACAATGTATATTATATATTTTATAGATTATATATACTAATTTTATATATATGTGATATTACTTATACACAACCATCCTTGAAGGATATATTATTATCCTCCATATTTATATATATATATATATAGTGTTTAATTAAATGCCTATCACACGCTTATCAGCATCATTAACTGAAGCTATGACTACTACTATTAGCATTCCTATTAATATTATTGTTTTAAGCCTGCAGATAGCTCTTATCTGACCCTTCAGCTGATTTTGCATTATAATGTATAGTATCATACTAGGGAAGAAATGAATAATTTTTCACTTAAATTTGCCTACTGTAGATAGGTGGCCTGAGCATAGTTTCTTGCCCATCAAAGGACTTTAAGTTAGCAACTTTATGTCATACCACCCACAGTAGGACAAGAGGCTTCCTTTTTGTTCCTTGCTTTTAACCTTTGTGGTAACTTGCAAAGATAAACCCTTGAGCACCCAAGATGCTTGTTTCTTAGTACATGTAATTGGGTTAATTCTACATGGACAGGCAACATATTAAGTTGATAAAGTATATAAACTTAGCTTTTAAAATGTCATTAAAGTTTTTAATTACCTCTCTGTTATTTTAGATCAGCCCTCATACATGCTGTTACTCTTGGAGAAAAAGATATAGTCATTCTTCTTCTGCAGCACAATATTGATGTGCTTTCTCGAGATGCGTTTCGAAAGATTGCAGGAGATTATGCCATTGAGGCTAAGAATAGAGTGTAAGTCTTTACATAAAAAGGCTAGTGAACACTAAATTGAAGTTTAAAATAATTGTAACAATTGCATCTTATATATCAGGTGAGATTTCATAGTTTGGTTCAAGTAGTTTTCAAGTGACAAATTTTCAAGTTTTTAAGTTTTCGAGAGTTGTGCAACTTCATCAGCCAGAAATCAAGCAAAAGAAATCAAGAAAAAGGCTAGATAAGTAGCAGTAGGTGCAAGATTCTTGATATTGAAACTTTCAGGACTTTTCTCCTTAGGGATTCCAATGTTGTCCATTTTATTTCTAGTATAACCCCTATGCATAGGGTAAAGTAGTTTCACATCTTTGATTTTTCTAATTAGTTATTTGGGTCTCAAAATGTCCAGTTTATCAAAAAACCTTGAGCTGTGTACTGGGGACCATCTACTATAGCCTGATCATGGAATTTTTCAAGAACCTAAGGGGTTCCCTAAGTCCAAGGAAGACAATCAGTGTCTACAAGTCAGAAGGAGAAGGGGAAAGGACATTCTAATCATTGCTTTGTTTTCATTGATTCTGTTGCTGCTTTCTTACCATTGAAAGTACTCTTGCAGTCTGGTAGTGATTAACCTTTGCTACCAGCATGCCCTTTCTGTTTGACATCCCTCAATCTTCATGTTGATCCATAAAAAGGCTTCAAAGTTACAACTGGTTTTTTTTAGTTCAGTTGCACATACTTATATGCTCAGCCATTGTTTCCAAAACAGCAGAACCTTGCTCTGTTAGCTGGATATTCTAACTTTATCAACACACATACGGAGCAAATTGACACTTTCACCCACACTCAAAACCTTATGTAAAGCCCACATTTTAACCTGGGCTTCTAGACCTTCATGGTGAGTTATTTTTTGAGTCCCTTTTTTTTCTCTTTAAAGCAAATATTAGTTGGGATAGTTCTAAACTGTCAGAGATATTCAAATAATGTTGTAGAAAGAGATCACAGTGTTCTTCTTTATTGCTACCAGATCTGTACCCTGAGACTTTTTATATAAACAGCGTAAGAGCTTTTCTCAGGTAGTGGAAGCTTCTATGCCATCCTTCCTTAGAGTAGTAGGTATCAACTTGTGGTTGGCCCCTCAAGTGATCTGTTATCTATAATAATGAAGATCTCTCAAGCTGCTTGCATCAGTATCTCAAGTTTATAAAATATTTTCGGATTCTATTTCACAGGAAGCCATTCATCGGAATTATCTGAGTCTCAAGTTTGTTAGTTAGATTTAACAGAGCTAACCCTCATCTATGACTTATCAGCAGTTATATGTAAAAGTAAGGCTTTGTGCTTGCTTTGGCAGCACAAATACTAAAATTGGAACAATACGGAGAAAATTAGCATGGTGAAGCATTTCATATTTTGCAGTCACGGGAAGGTCATTTGACTGTTTGCTGGCTAGCTAAGTCATAGTTTGAATCAAAACAAAATGGGTGGCCCCTTATATTAGAATTGTGATTTTTCACTACAAAAACATTTGTGTAAGGTGATCTATAAACTGAGAATGGAGATAAGTAACACATGGGGTGTTGTGTAAATATTTTGTTAGTATGTATCTTGGAAATGAGAAAATGTCAACTTGCATCTACTTCATGGAACTTAAAAAAAATGAAAGTAGGGTTTTGTCTTCCATGTCAGTTGGAGATAACATCACTGATGGAGATGAACCATCATTCTAGCAAACATCTGCTCATTCAGTTAGAGTCTGTAGAGAAGTAATAGTGGTAGCCCAAGCCAGATCTTGACATCTGTTAGTTTTCTGCCCTTGGAATTGATGAGCTCAATAATAGTTAACAATCGTGTTACCTATTTTAATGAAATAATGTATTCATAAGTTATTTATGAATTATGAAATAGTTGAGATAACCTGAATTATAAGCCACAAATAATAGAACAATAAGCAAAATTAGGACTTAACATTTTTCTTAAACTGAAGCATTTGAATATTAGAACCTATGAAAAAATACACATTGGGTTTGATTTGGGATTTCAAAATAGTTTCAGCAATAAATTTCAAGAACAAACTCCACTGCTTTACTATTTCTCTGTGAATGTTAAAAATGCTGCTTCATTAAACCTATATAACAACCTAGTGAAAGAAGATAGTAAAATCTAGAAGAAGACATTGTGCCTAAGAGAAGCAACTTGTTTAAGAGCAAATACCTGTTGGCTATAGAGCCAGGACCTTCCAGTAAGAGCCAGGAAGGTGACTTTCCATTATGTCAAGCTGATGTGAGATAGTTTGCTGAGCTATACTGCCTTCACTTCATGAGTACTTCACCTGTTTTTATTATTTAATTAGAAAGGTACTAAGAAGTTTGTAGAGCTTACAAAAGAGAAGTGTATAGGATAATTAACATCCTGATATTGTTCAAGATACTCTAATAATTTAGTATATTTGGTAAATGTTTTTGATAATAGTATTAAAATATTAATTTCATTTATTTTTATGCATAGCATTTTTGATCTAATTTATGAATACGAAAGAAAGAGATATGAAGATCTTCCTATAAATAGCAATCCAGGTAAGATTTCTGATAGTGAATTACTCTTGATGGTACTACCATAGATAAAAAAGAATAAAGATGTTTTGATTACAAAAAAGCAGTTTAAAAAAATCACTGTTTAAATTGCACACATTTAAAAAATACTTAGTAGTCTAGATTTTATAATTATTTAAAAAGTTAATTGTAGGTAATTTATAATGTCAGTATTGTTTGAAAAAAATTATTATTTAATTATGGTTCCTAATATTCTAGATGACCTTTTTGTGTAAATAAGAAAACAAATTTTTAAGTTATTATGTTGTATGTTTTTTTATAGTCACATAATAATGAATTAGACTTTTTATATAATTAGAACTTCTATTTAATTTGTAAAATAAATTCTTTGCAATTACTAAATGAATCAATAATTACAGTTGGCCCTTGAACAACATGGGATTTAGTGCTGCCAATCCCCATGCTGTTGAAAATACGTATTTGGTATGTTGTATATATTATATATTGTATTCTGAGTACAAGAAAGTAAGCTAGAGAAAGAAAGCTTTTGCAGTAGTTACAGCTGTAGTTTCCTTGTAGTTCGATGCTTGAACTACTCTCAATCTAGTGTAAGGTGTTCACCCACCCATGGTAAAATAAAGTAAATTTACTCCATTTACTCATTTTAAAATGTTGGTCTTTTTCTTGCCCGCATGCCTTCTTCATTTGTTTTACTTAATTTTTTATTTGTAAAAAAACAATAATAGTTGATAGGGACTTTTTTTTCCTGTGAAAACCATCAGTGAAGAGGCCATGTTGATCTAGGAAATATAAAAGTATTTATTTGGTGGCAGTAGAAATATAAAGCAGAAGCAGAAAATAGGTACAGTTAGTTAATATGATTTAGTGAACATTGAATGTAAAACATTAGTGAGGAGAGAGAAATCTTGGATCATTCATAGGTTTCCGGGTTGTGTACTGGCCTTTATACTGCACACAAGAAAGGAGTAGGACGTGTTCACTGAATGGAGAAGTACAGCTGGTCAACAGGGAAGAATAACTTCCCTTTCCTACAAATCTGAGGTTGGAGATGCAGACGTAGAATGATGTTATTATAATTATTAGGCAAAGTCATCGATCTCAATGAGCTGTCCATGATGCAGATGTAGAATGAGAAGCTATCCTGTGACAAAACCCTGGGAATGTCAACATTCCCTCCCAACCCCCAGGAAAAAAAGAGTTGGTAAAGGAGAATGAGCAGTGGCTAGAGAAAACTAGGAGAGGAGTCAGAGGAAGTGATGTTGCAAAAATAAAAAAAGTGAGAATTTTAAGGAGGGAGTATGAATTCTAACAAGTAAGATTACTCAAAAGCCAATTAGATTTAACTTTTAAAAGCTCTTTGGCGGTACCCTTTTCAAAAGAACCATTTTTGAGGTGTAATGTGGGCTATTGATGTGATTGGTATGTCTGTTGTCCAAATATGGGGAACAAATCTACCAAGATCCTGTGTAACCCTTTTGTAACTGCAGAAGCTACGTGCACAGGGTCAGGGAAAATGGTCTTGACTTCTGAGTACATGTGCCCACACTTTTACAGAATTGTCAAAACCTAAGGGTAATGTGTGAGAAAAACTGTGGTCTTCTTATCTGCTCCTTGTGGAAATACTTAGTTTGTACTGAAATCCCTGATAAGTTCTTCTGGATGCATTCTGAAACAAAAGTCTGGCAGTAGTAACTGGAACCAGCTTGTCCAAAGCACATACATCCCAACTCCCTCCAACATGGAATCATAACACAGCCGCATTTCGAGAGTTTCAAGTTTCAATCAGAAGTAGTCTACAGACATGTGCATGTGTCTTTATAGCAGCATGATTTATAATCCTTTGGGTATATACCCAGTAATGGGATGGCTGGGTCAAATGGTATTTCTAGTTCTAGATCCCTGAGGAATCACCACACTGACTTCCACAATGGTTGAACTAGTTTACAGTCCCACCAACAGTGTAAAAGTGTTCCTATTTCTCCACATCCTCTCCAGCACCTGTTGTTTCCTGACTTTTTAATGATCGCCATTCTAACTCTGGTGTGAGATGGTATCTCATTGTGGTTTTGATTTGCATTCCTCTGATGGCCAGTGGTGATGAGCATTTTTTCATGTTTTTTGGCTGAATAAATGTCTTCTTTAGAGAAGTGTCTGTTCATATCCTTCGCCCACTTTTTGATGGGGTTGTTTGTTTTTTTCTTGTAAATTTGTTTGAGTTCTTTGTAGATTCTGGATATTAGCCCTTTGTCAGATGAGTAGGTTGCAAAAATTTTCTCCCATTCTGTAGGTTGTCTGTTCACTCTGATGGTAATTTCTTTTGCTGTGCAGAAGCTCTTTAGTTTAATTAGATCCCATTTGTCAATTTTGGCTTCTGTTGCCATTGCTTTTGGTGTTTTAGACGTGAAGTCCTTGCCCATGCCTATGTCCTGAATGGTATTGCCTAGGTTTTCTTGTAGGGTTTTTATGGTTTTAGGTCTAACGTTTAAGTCTTTAATCCATCTTGAATTAATTTTTGTATAAGGTGTAAGGAAGGGATCCAGTTTCAGCTTTCTACATATGGCTAGCCAGTTTTCCCAGCACCATTTATTAAATAGGGAATCCTTTCCCCATTTCTTCTTTTTGTCAGGTTTGTCAAAGATCAATAGTTGTAGACATGCGGCATTATTTTTGAGGGCTCTGTTCTGTTCCATTGGTCTGTATCTCTGTTTTGGTACCAGTACCATGCTGTTTTGGTTACTGTAGCCTTGTAGTATAGTTTGAAGTCAGGTAGCGTGATGCCTCCAGCTTTATTCTTTTGGCTTAGGATTGACTTGGCAATGCGGGCTCTTTTTTCGTTCCATATGAACTTTAAAATAGTTTTTTCCAGTTCTGTGAAGAAAGTCATTGTTAGCTTGATGGGGATGGCATTGGATCTATAAATTACCTTGGGCAGTACAGCCATTTTGACAGTATTGATACTTCCTACCTATGAGCCTGGAATGTTCTTCCATTTGTTTGTATCCTCTTTTATTTCATTGAGCAGTGGTTTGTAGCTATTCACAATAGCAAAGACATGGAACCAACCCAAATGTCCAACACTGATAGACTGGATTAAGAAAATGTGGCACATATACACCATGGGATACTATGCAGCCATAAGAAATGATGAGTTCCTGTCCTTTGTAGGGACATGGATGAAGCTGGAAAACATCACTCTCAGCAAACTATGGCAAGGACAAAAAACCAAACACTGCATGTTCTCACTCATAGGTGGGAATTGAACAATGAGAACACATGGACACAGGAAGGGGAACATCACACACCGGGGACTGTTGTGGGGTGGGGGGAGGGGGGAGGGATAACATTAGGAGATCTACCTAATGCTAAATGATGAGTTAATGGGTGCAGCACACCAACATGGCACATGTATACATATGTAACAAACCTGCACGTTGTGCACATGTACCCTAAAAGTATGAAAAAAAAAAAGAAGTAGCCTACATACGAGCAGTTTGGAGAAGCTGATGTCTTTTATAATAATGTCATGGAGAAAAATATAAGGTGATATGCTAAGTATACCAAGTCTCTGTGTTCTGGGACACTTTGTTTTAGTGCAATTCCCTTTTCATGACCTCTTGTAATATCTCTGCTTTTACTGTTTTCTTTTTTAATTTCACCCCTAAAGAAAATATTATTAGAACACATTTCTAACACAGGTATTTTTGACAACTATATATGATTTTCTTTTAAGAGAATTAGCTACCTGTTCTAAAGTATATCTGGTATTCTATTAATCTTTAATGCTAAACTTCTTTATATCTTTAGCACAGTGACAGTGTAAGTGATGCTGCTCCTTTAAGATTTTAAGTTTCTTTTAAATTTTCAAACTTTATATGTCTTTTAAATTTTCAAATTAAGTTAAGACACTTAAGGTGTATTTAAAATTTTCAAACTTGACATAGTTTTAATGTAAAACACTTTTCTGGTATTATATTTCTTCAAATATTGGTAATCTGTTACTTAGCTGGAATATTTGGTCAGTTGGATTACCACACCTTTAACCATTTATATATAAGTTTCTTGATTTTTTTTTTTTTGAGATTGAGTCTTTTGCTGTTTCCCAGGCTGGAGTACAATAGTGTGATCATAGCTCACTGCAGCCTCAAACTTCTGGGTTCAGGTGGTCCTCCTACCTCAGCCTCCTAAGTCGGTGAGACTGCTACAAGCATATGCCACCACACCAAGCTAACTTTTTTATTTTTTATTTTTTAGAGACAAGGGTCTCTCTCTCTTACCCAGGCCAGTCTCAAACTTTTGGCTTCAAGTGATCCTCCTGCCTCAGCCTCCCAAAGTGCTGGAATTATAGTCACGAGCCATCGTGCTGGTCTATAACTTCCTTTATTCCCCAAAATGAGTTTAAAGTCCTATTGGCCCTTAATAAGAAAAACCCACTGTTTGGGAGCCGAAGTGGATAACTCATCCTACATTTTAAATGCAGTTTTTGACTTTTTGACCTGTTCTATGAAGAACTGCCCTTAACAGATGATTTTTAGTTTTAATAGATATTTTTAGTTTTATAAGAACTTAAGAAAAAAGATTAGAAACAAATTAAATGAGCTCTATGATCGATAGTACAGTGTTATAGCCAATGGCTACATATATTTCTATAATTATCACAATGACCTGAATGATGCAAATTATTTTATGTATGTTTTTATTAATAGATTTTTTTTTTTGAGGCTGAGTCTCGCTCTGTTGCCCAGGCTGGAGTGCAGTGGCACGATCTCGGCTCACTGCAAACTCTGCCTCCTGGGTTCAAGCGCTTCTCCTGCTTCAGCCTCCCAAGTAGCTGGGACTACAGGCCTGCACCACCACGCCCAGCTAATTTTTATATTTTTAGTAGAGTCGGGGTTTCACCGTGTTAGCCAGGATGGTCTGCATCTCCTGACCTTGTGATCTGCCCGCCCCAGCCTCCCAAAGTGTTTGGATTACAGGTGTGAGCCACCGCCCCCAGCCTACTAATACATTTTAGAGACAGGGTCTCACTCTGTTTCCCAGGCTGGAGTGCAATGGTTGTTCACAGGCACAATCTCCACTGCAGCCTCAAACTTTTGATCTCAAGCAATCTTCCTGCCTCAGCCGTTGGAGTAGTTGGGACTACAGGTGTGTGTCATTGCACCTGGCCTGATCCCCAATTATTATAAAAGAAACCTTGGTGAGTTGAAGACAATTGGCTGTGATCTTTTTGTTTCTCTTCTAGAAGCTTTCATACTATGGGATATATTTTTAATCATCCATATTCTCAAATTTTTATTCTGGTTAAAATAGGATTGCTGCTTGTTTTTCATTATTTTTTGGCATAATTATTTCTATTCCTTTATGGATTTATTCATGCGGAAATACAGGAATCTCAAAGGCAACCGTTAAGGAGAACAGATTAGGGAAAGGTGTTTTATAAACAGCCTTCTGATCGTAGTCACAGGTCACATCACCTTAAAGAAAACTAATTTCATATAATGCCATTATGTCAGAGTTTCCCAAGACCACCTCTGTGTTTGGCGATTCACTTGGAAGGACTCAGCAAACAGTGCTACTCTGGGCTTTGATTTGTTACAGTGAAAGAATACATAGTAAAATTGACTCAGGGCAAAGGGGCATGTGGCAAGTCTTGGGGAAGCCAGGCACAAGCTTCCGGGAGCCCTCTCCTGTGGAGTTACCAGGATGTGCTGAATTCCTGTAGCTTCGAATTTTGACAGCACATGGGCAATATTGTCTACCAGTATGAGTCTGACTAGAGACTTACACAGTATCCAAGGTTCTTATGGAAGCTAGTTACATAGGCATTCTGTCTCACACATATACAAAAATTCCACACTTCCAGAAGAAAAGCAGCTGTTCAGAGTCAACCACATTGTTTATGCAAACAGTTTAGGTACAGTGAGCTACTTTTCTCAGGAAATGGTGACAAACCTTTAAAATACAAATTTCCAAACACCAGCGAAGGGCCAGTTTTGCATGTAGGCCTTTCTAAGAATGACAGTCTTATGACTGTTATATGCATTATTTTCTTCACAGCAGTTACAGCCCCAACTTAATTTTAGGTGTCTTAAAAATTCTATTTGATAGTGAATAACATGGTAATATAACATAGCATGGTGCTTATTTCATTTGCGTCAGTTGCAACTTAATATGAAATACTAAGTTTCTGTGCTGTTAGATTTTGGAATTTTGGTGAATATTTAACAGGTCTCTATACAGAAGTTACTATGGCAATATTAGATAATTATAATCTGTTCTTATTCGATTAACCTTTCAGTAAAATGGTTAGATAAAATAAGTAATGATTTCTCATTTAAAATTAAAATAAAAAATTTGTTTCATTTTAATTATATAGATGGTTCAGTTTTGTTTTATATTTTGTTAAATTTCTGTTTATAATTATGAAATTTAAAAAATCAATCATTTATCAATTATTTTCTTGCCTGTAAATACAGTTAAGTTATTTGCTTTATGTACTTTTATATACTATAATTCTGGAGAGAATATTCATATTGTGTTTCAAATTGAGTACATATTGCCATAATATATGTTAATATAGCAATATATTAGTAATAGAAGATTCAGTGAAAATCTTTTTAAAAAATTAATAACTTTATTTTAAGAGCAGTTTTATATTCTCAGCAATATTGAAAAGAACCTAAAGAGATTTTTCATATACGCCATCCCCCCTCACGTGCATAGCTCCCCCCATTTTCAATATCTCCCACCTGAGTGGTACATTTGTTACAACTGAGAAGCTTACATTGTTGCATCATAATAATCACCCAAAGTCCATAGTTTATATTTAAGTTCCCTCTTGGTATTGTACCTTCTATAAAGCTGGACAAATGTATAATAAATGTACCCGCCATTAGAATACTTTTGCTGCCCTGAAATTTGTCTCTTTTTTTATTCCTCCCTCACAACTAACCCCTGTCAACTACTAATATTTTTGCTGTCCCCATAGTTTTGATATGTCCAGCATAGTCATATATTAAGGATAACATAGTGGATATCTTTTTCAATATTACAGAACATAATTTCCAAGATAGTTGAATGTATTCAATTAAGCTATCCATTGTGCTTTTTTGCTTTTAGTTTATTAATGTAGGATTTAATGGCATATGCTTTACATGTTGAAAAAGCATAATTTATATAGACATTTGCCACATAATGGGGAGGGTTGAGGAAAATGACTTCATGCTGTGTACTACACAGCACTAACTGGATCATCCTTCTCTGTGAGATGGGTCCAGATAGACTAGCAGTGGAAAGGGACAATCTCAAGACGTTGTACTTTATAAAACGAGTCAGAAAGTCTTTCCTATTTACCTTGCAGTTGGAAATAAGACCAGCTAGTAAATACTGTAGGCATACAAATATGTTTCTTATTCACCTTCTTTCTTTGAGGGATCACTTTGAAGACAGTCTATATTATTATAACATGACTCACTTATAACTAGGTTCTCCATCATGAAAAATGCCAAGAGAGTCATACTATTTTTGTTTACATAAAGTGACAAAGATTTGTTGTTGTTGTTGTTGTTTTTCCCACTAGGTAGTGAGACAACTGTTGGCACATCTTGGTAGCTCCAGTGAGTTTATGGTTCCTTTATATATATTTTATATATTAGAAAGTACTCCCTGGCAACTTGCCATACCATTCCCAGTATTTCTTTGTAAGCTTCTCTCTGACAAGGAAACAAGACTCAGATTGGATAAACTTTTAAGGGAGTGATATTTTCTCTGTGTGTGTTTTTTTGAAGGAGCTAAAAAAGAAAGCTGAATTTAAGGATTGTTTGTGCCCTACATAGGGTGAATGAATAGCTAGAACTAAGCAAGCTTACCGCATCTTCCCTAGGAGAGGATTAGTGAGAGTAAGGACACTGATCTCTCTTAGGCTCTTCTGCACTGGCAGCTGAAAAGTCTTTGCAGGGATCCTTGACCCTGCTCTGTATCCTGTGTTTTGCCATAGAATAGAGTACAGTTTTCATAGATCTAGATTTTTTGAATTAGAGTGCTTTATCCTAAATAGTTTAAACTGAAGAGGTGGAGAAACTGTTGTGTTTCAACAAAATAAGTACAGTAATTTCCTCTTACACATGGGGGATACATTTCAAGACCCTTAGTGAATGCCTGAAAACATGAATAGTGCTGAACTCTATGTGTACAATAATTTTTAAAAATACATATATATCTATAATAAAATTTAATGCATAAATTAGGCACAATAAGAGATTAATAATATCTAATGGTAAAGTAGATCAATTGTAACAATATACTGTAGTAAAAGTTATGTGAATGTGAGCTCACAAAATATCATGTACTATAGTCACCCTACTTTCTGCACTGATGTGAGATGATAAAATGGCTATGTGATAAGTGAGGCAAATGCAGTAGGCATTGCCATGTAGTCTTAGGCTACTATTGACCTTCTATTTGACTATATGTCAGAAAGAAGATCATCTGCTTCACGTGATCCTGGATCCGTGAACCATGATGATATTGTTGGTTGGATGTTAGGTACAGATTATGTCAATGACTAGTGAGTAGATATCATATATAATGTGTATGCACTTGACAAAGGGACGATTCACATCTTGGGCAGACTGGGATGTAATGGCTCAAATTTTGTCATACTACTCAGAATCTTAGGCAATTTAAACCTTATGATGTGTATACATCTGGAATTTTATTTATGGACCATGGTTGACCATGGGTAACTGAATCTGCAGTCAGTAAAACCACCAATGTCATATTATGAAATATATATTTGGTCTTCAACCCCATTTTCTGTCATACAACTCCTAAAATCCTCAGAATTTCCAAGATGATATCATCTGTATGCTAATGATTGACTTATGGCAGGCAGCCTCCAGATGGCTTCAGGGTGGGGCTCATCATCATAGTGATCAGGGTGTGATTAGAGGGTTGGGACTTCCAGCCCCACCCCTCACCTCCTGGGATGTGAGAGGGGCTGAATGTTCAATTAATCAGTCATGCCTATGTAATGAAGCTTTCATAAAATCCCAAAAGGATTGGATTTGGAGAGCATCCAGGTAGCTGTATTCAGCTACCTGGATGCTCTCCAATACATGAAGGCATATGGAGAATACATGGATGTTCCCAGAGGGTGAGTGCCCTGGGAGGACATGGAAGCATGTTACTTTCCCCCCGTATCTTGCACTATGCATCTCTTTATCTGTATCCTTTAATATTCTTTATAAGAAACTGGTAAATGTGTTTCCATGAGTTCTCTGAGCCACTCTAGTAAATTAATCAAACCAAAGAGGGGGTCCTGGGAAACCCAACTTGAAGTCCAACTGGAAGTTGATTAGAAGTTCTGGAGGCCCAGACTTGTAACTGCTGTGGGGGAATAGCCTTGTGGTACTGAGCCCTCAAAATGTGGGATCTGACACAATCCCCAAGTAGGTAGTGCCAGAATTACAGGGCACCCATAGGAATTGATTGTTTGCTTGTTGCTGGGGAAAAATACATATTTGGTCACAGAAATCTTCTGTGCTGATGATTGTTGTTGCGGTGTGAGAGAAGAGGAACATCATGTTGAATATGTGTTTTCTACACATACAGCAGATAAGGGGGACTGCTGTTCTAGCTGCACCTGGTTCATTTGTCCAGAAATCATGTTCTTTGACAATGCCTGCTCATTATATTGATTCTACTAATGATGCCATTTTCTGTCAGTGTGATAGGATTCTGTTAGAATTATGACTATTTTATACTGCAATTCACATGTAAGGTAACAAATTTTGATAATCTTCTTTGCATTTGATAAGTATATGCTAAGCACATAAGAAAGGAAAAAGGGTTCTTAATTCATTAGTTGCCTACAAATAGTATAAATAATAATTTTAGTGTAGCCTCCAAGTATGTTTCTAAAGAACTGCTTTGTAACAAATCATGAGAGTCTCTGTAATAAAGCATCAAAGTCTTATACTTTTTTTCCTACAAGGTCTAAGGCATGTACAAAAGTTCATAATTTTTTTTTTCTTTTGAGATGAAGTCTCACTTTGTCACCCAGGCTGGAGTGGAATGGCACAATCTTGGCTCACTGCAACCTCTGCCTCCTGGGTTCAAGCGATTCTCCTGTCTCAGCCTCCCGAGTAGCTGGGATTACATACGTGTGCCACCACACTCAGCTACTTTTTTTTTGTATTTTTGTTGAGATGGGATTTCACCATGTTTGGCCAGGCTGGTCTCAAACTTTTGGCCTCATGTGATCCACCCACCTTGGCCTCCCAAAATGCTGAGATCACAGACATGAGCCACTGTGCCCAGCCTGCATGATTTTTTTTTTAATAAAGAGTCTTGCTATGTTGCCCAGTCTGTTCTCAAACTCCTGGGCTTCTCAAGTGATACTTCTGCCTCAGCCTTCTGAGTAGCTGAGATTACAGGAACAAGCCACTGTACATATATATATATACACACACACACACACCGAGTATATGCCCAGTAATGGGATTACTGGCTCAAATGGTATTTCCGGTTCTAGATCCTTGAGGAATCACCACACTGTCTTCCACAATGGTTGAACTAATTGACACTTCCACCAACAGTGTAAAAGCATTCCTATTTCTCCACATCTGCTCCAGCATCTGTTGTTTCCTGACCTTTTAACGATTGCCATTCTAAATGGCGCGAGATGGTATCTCATTGTGGTTTTGATTTGCATTTCTCTAATGATCAGTGATGATGAGCTTTTTTTCAGATGTTTGTTGGCTGCATAAATGTATTCTTTTGAGAAGTGTCTGTTCATATCCTTTGTCCACTTTTTGATGAGATCGTTTGTTTTCTTGTAAATTTATTTAAGTTCCTTGTAGATTCTAGATATTAGGCCTTTTTCAGATGGACAGATTGCAAACATTCCCTCCCATTCTGTAGGTTGCCTGTTCACTCTGATCATAGTATTGGAAGTTCTGGCCAGGGTAATCAGGCAAGAGAAAGAAATAAACGGTATTCAAATAGGAAGAAAGGAAGTCAAATTGTCTCTGTTTGCAGATGACATGATTGTATATTTAGAAAAACAAATTGTCTCAGCCCCAAATCTCCTTCAGCTGATAAGCAACTTCCTCATGGTCTCAGGATACAAAGTCAATGTGCAAAATTCACAAGCATTCCTATACACCAGTAATAGAGCACTAAATCATGAGTGAACTCCCATACACAATTGCTACAAAGAGAATAAAATAGCAAGGAATACAACTCACAAGGGATTTGAAGGACCTCTTTAAGGAGAACTACAAACCACCACTCAAGGAAATAAGAGACACAAACAAATGGAAAAACATTCCATGCTCATAGTTAGGAAGAATCAATATCTTGAAAATGGCCATACTGCCCAAAGTAATTTGTAGGTTCAGTGCTATACCCATCAAACTATCATTGACTTTCTTCACAGAATTAGAAAAAACTACTTTAAATTTCATATGGAACCAAAAAAAGAGCCCATATAGCCAAGACAATCCTAAGCAAAAAGAACAAATTTTGAGGCATCATGCTACCTGACTTCAAAATATACTACAAGGCTACAGTAATGAAAACAGCATGGTACTGGTACCAAAAGAGATATATAGACCAATGAAACAGAACAGAGGCCTCAGAAATAATGCCATACATCTACACCATCTGATCTTTGACAAACCTGACAAAAGGAATGGGGAAAGGATTCCCTATTTAATAAATGGTGTTGGGAAAACTGGCTAGCCTTATGCAGGAAACTGAAACTGGACCCCTTCCTTACACTTTATACAAAAATTAACTCGATTCATTAAAGACTTAAAAGTAAGTTCTCAATGTATAAAAACCCTGGATGAAAACCTAGGCAGTACCATTCAGGACATAGGCATGGGCAAATACTTCATGACTAAAACACCAAAAGCAATGTCAACAAAAGCCAAAATTGACAAATGGGATCTAACTAAACTAAAGAACTTGTGTGCAGTTTTATTTGGGAGTGTGTGTGGGGTACCTCTGAGTTTCAAAAATGAAGAAAGTAAGTAGTCATGCTTTCCTGACTCTTTGGTAGACATAGCCTTTAAGACAGTCATTCTGAGCTGTTATGGTCTTAGGGTTCCCTATACTACTAAAACTTATTGATGACATGTAACCAAGAACTTGAATTAAATTTTTTTTTAAAAAAAGAAAAAGAAATCACCCAAATGCACATTAAAAACCTCTTACAACATATGTGCATATTCCTAGATAACATGTAGAACTTGATTTTGTGTATTAAAACCTTGTAGAAAAGTTCAGACAGTGCACAAAATGACTGCAACTTGGTCTTTGTAAAATCAGTGATATATATTTCAGATCTATCCATGTTGACCCAGTGAGGTATTTGATTTATTGTATGATCTAATGATATGCCATGTGATGACTGCAGCATATTTAATTATGCTCTCTTCGTGTTGATACCATATGGACATAAATATGGTGACATACCAGCATGGATATGCTTATGTGGTTGCTTTTATTGATTTGTACTATATTAGAAATGAAACAGAAGTATGGGAAATCCTAGCAAGCATAGCTGTATCTCTCCCATGGCTGTGTTGATTGCAACTGTTTCCCCCTTAAAGCATGTATTTTTGACATGTCATGACCCTGAGAAAATCCAGTGTGTGCTTTTCAGAGAATGACAGTAAGGAGAGGAAATGGCCGATGGTCAAAGTGTTACTTGTCCTCTTGGCTCCCCCTCATGAATGTTAAACTCTAATCTACTCAGGTCACAATTTAGAACCCCTTTGTTGATCCCTATAGAGTGTTCCTGGATGTCAAATGACAAATAGGCCCTTGAAGAAAAAACACCCTGTAAAGCTGTATTGCTCTGGTTTTTGTGTGTGAATGTGTGTGTGTGTTTGTGTGTGTGTGTATTTTTTTCTCTTCTGAAAACTGTAAATAGAATAATTTTCATTACAAATGAAAATATTTCTGTTCCATATTTATTTCCTGTCTCATGGCACTCTGCTCTTCTTGGATCTAGTAAGGATCTCAGCGTGTCTTATTTGTACCTGCAAAAAATTACACCATTCTTCATTTTTCATGTCAATTACTGACATGTTTTCAAGTCTTCACAAGTTATTTCTGAAGATGTTGGTGCATTGAGGAGAGGCAGTGTCATTGGAGTTAAAGAAGTTTTTAAATAGGTTATGTTCAATAACATTTCAGAACCCATTTCTCTGGAAGGCATAGACATAGTGGTTTTATGTGTAGTTAAACATAAAATAGCTCCACAAAGTCTTACGTATGTGAAAGTGTTCATATCCTGGAAGATTCTAATTTACTACTCAGTGCTGTCTGCTGGAGAGGAAAATAGGTAAGATAGGCTGCTGAGCCTATGATAATAACTCATAATATGATGGGAAAGCATAGAGACAAAATAAGAGACGATAGATACTCAAACCAATGTGAGTGAAGAACAGCTGTGAAAGAGTGTCTATGGGAGAGAGGAAGCCATGGGGCTGCTTTTGTGAAGAAGGAATTTGTACACGTTAGTCAAGTGTCTGATACATTTAACATTTTAATAAAGCAAAACCTTATCTTCACATGTGTCAGAATGGGATTGTACGAATGTCACATACAGTAGTGGTGAGAATAATGAAGAAATGAATGTGGAGGGCAAAGAATGAAGTCCACCAATATGGTTATTAGATTTATGAATGAAAAAGAGTGTATGTCAAATTAGGCAAACAAAGAAAGCAGCTAGTTAGGTAATTTGCAGGTTTCTGATGAGGAGACTTGTGGGGAGTCACTTAATGGAAAGTGGAAGTTAGAAGGATGAGGGTGACCCACAGGGCTTCATTTCTCCTCCCTAGAAGTTTTGCACATCAATGATATGTTCTTCGTTCACATCAGTTAGCATATTGGGATGCAGCTTAATCTAGAAAAAGTGTTTTTTTTTTCTTTAGGAAAGCTGTGTTGGCTGAGGTAGTTATTTCATAAAAGGACCTGAGAGACCCCTATGGTATATTATATCAAACTAGCTTTAGAAACAAAGTAATAAAATAATGTATATCTTGAGTACTAAAAAAAACTACCAATATTCTTGGCAATCATGACATATATATATATATTTACATATATATATATTTGGTTGGTTATTAATAAGAAAAGAAGTCTCTTGTGATTTAGAGATTTTGTTTACCTTATTTACATGGGAATCTGATTATGCATGATTTCTTTGACATGTATGTTTTTGCAAAAGTGGAAAAAGAGATGGCAAAAGAGCTGAACTGCTGAATCCGGGAAATGTAGGAATATTAGGAGCCTTCATGAGTACAAAGAAAATGATTTTTTAAATTATGACTCTAAGTATAACTGAACTCACTTCAGATGCATTTAGAATATTTGCATAAAAGATGATTTGATTTTGGCTGCTCCAGAAACTACTGGCAGAAGGAAAGAGTACTAGAATTCAGATAAACCACAGTGACTCGTTACTTCTCTTTGTTACTATTGGGAATCAGAGACATAGATTTTGTTGATATTAGTTATTCAAATGAAATAAACATGAATGTGCATACATTGGCTTTGTTTTTCAAGGAGCTAACTTTTGGATGCAATAGCAATTTAATGAAAATTCTTCAGAGAATAACATGATACTTCAAACCAGACTATTTTAGAAACAAAAATAATGTTGAATTCATTAATTGATTAATAAAATGGTTATTTTCAATGAATATTGGAGTCATTTCCAAATGTGCAAGCTTATTAATATCTAATGCTTGTAGCAGTTTTATTTTGTAGAAGTATGTCAATATTGACAAATGATGATACTTTTTATTGAGGTTTATATATTATACCTTATTGCCGTGAGTGGATGAAAAAACTTTCAGAAGGCTGAACTAGAGAACACAAGAAACTTGGGCAATTATTACACCACATGGTTCTGAGAAATAATGAATACTGTCTACTAGGATTCACCAAACATATATCCAAGCTGATCAATTTAGGACACTTCCACTGAGGAGATGTGAAGTGTACATTCAGCTGAAGTGTCATCGTAATTGTGTACCTTCTCAGTTATCGGGCAAGTTAAAGAGCATGATGAATGGTTGTAGTATAATGGTGTATTTCCTTCTCATCTCTTGCACTAAAGACATGTGACAGCATGTACCACCTGCTTTGACATTGATTCCCAGGTGCATGAGTTGCTTCTCTGTTTTTAGACCACATTTGTTTTTATCCCTCCATATATCCACAATGATACTGACACTGTTTCATTTTAGTTTTAGACATATGAAAAATCATATCACATTTGAAATTGTAAGTGTATTTTTCATGAAGCCTGTGTTGGTGTTTTCTTCAGTGTATTTCTGTCATGTTCCAGTCCCAAGACACAAAGTATAAAACATAAAAACCTAAACTAATAGGGGCAGGAGGATACAGCTTGATGGTAACAGTGCATGAATGTATGGATAATTTTATCATATTTACATATGATTGATTATGTATCCCTTTTGCTTTTCAGTGTCTTCTCAGAAACAACCAGCCTTGAAGGTAATTACACATTCATTTCTGTTTTGAACTATTAACTATATAGTCTGTGAAATATACTTTATGTATTGATTATTTTGTTTCAAATCCCACTCAGGCTACAAGTGGCAAGGAAGATTCTATTTCAAATATAGCCACAGAAATAAAGGATGGACAAAAATCTGGGACAGGTATTTTGGAATACACATTTAATGTCATGTTCACTCAGGATAGAAGAGAACTTCTGTTCACTGAATAAATCGCAGGGAGCTCATTGAATCTGCACATTCTGATTCAGCAGGCCTGAGATTCTGCTTTTGTGATAAGTTCTCGGGTGACGCCGATGCTACTGGTCCTTGGCCATGATCTCAGTATTAAGATTATGTTCTTCCCCACAGTGAAATTGGCAAGAATGATTGGAGAGCAGTGCAAGATATAACAGGCAAAGGGACAGCATATTCTTACTTTAATTCTACAGCATAGTTCCATCATAAAGGGAAGGAGAAAGAGATTAAGTAATAAAAATTATAGGTGTCAGATCAGATTGTTAAAACCACATGGAAGAAGTGATTGGAATAAACCATAAACAATGTAGAAAGAGAACTAAGGAGACCTCTGATGTGGTAATTATTTTACTCAAGGAAGAGGGATTGAGGCAAGAAGGAGGGAAAAGAAGATGTTATTTATGTAATTTTGGGGTTTCTGCTGCAGAAACCTGATGGGACTCACTTCAGATGCATTTGGAATATTTGCATAGAAGAAGATTAGATTTTGGCTGCTCCAGGAACTACTGGAAGCAGGATAGATTGCTAGAATTGTGATAACCCACAGTGACTCATTACCCCTCTTTGTTACTATTGGGCATCAGAGATATATGTTTTGTTGGTATTAGCTATTCAAATAGGCTAATCATGAATATGCATATATTTGCTTTGTTTTTAAAGGAACTAACTTTTGGATAAAATAGCAATTTAATGAAAATAGTTTAGAGAATAACATGATCCTTCAAACCAGACTATTTTAGAAACAAAAATAATGTTGAATTCATTAATTGACTCCTAAAGTGGTTATTTTCAATGAATATCAGAGCAATTTCCAAATGGAAAAGCTTATTCATATCTAATGATTTCAGTAACTTTATTTTGTATAAGTATGCCAAATTTGATGGTTTATTATACTTTTTGATGAGGTTTGTATATTATACTTTCTTGCCATGAGTGGGTGAAGAAACTTTCTGAAGGCTAAACTAGAGGATCCAAGAAATGTAGGCACATTATGACACCACAGGGGTGTGAGAAATAAGGAATATTATATGCTAGGATTCACCAAACATATATTTAAGCTGATCAATTCGGAACACTTCCACAGAGCACTTGGGAAGTGTACATTCAACTAAAGTGCCATTGTCCTTGTGTACCTGCTCAATTGTCAGGCAAGTTTAAGAGCATGATAAATATTTGTAGTATAATGGTATAAATCCCTCTGATGTGTTACATGAAAAACATGCAGGAGCATTAATCACCTGCTTCGACATTGATTCCCAAGTGTATGAGTCACTGCTCTGATTTTAGATCACATTTGTCCTCATCACTCGGCATATCCACATTGATATAGACACTGTTTTATTGTAGTAATAGACATGTGAAGAATAATATCACATATGAAATTGGAAGTGTTTGTTGCGTGAAGACTATACTTCTGTTTTCTACAGTGTAATTCTGTCATGTTCCTGTCCCAATACACAAAGTAGAAAACATCAAAGCCTATGCTAATTCAGGCAGGAGGATACAGCTTGATGGTAACACTGCATGAAAGTATGGATAACTTTATCATATTTACATATGAGTGATTATGTATCCCTTTTGGTTTTCAGTGTCTTCTCAGAAACAACCGGCCTTGAAGGTATTATACTCTCATTCATATTTTGAATAATTAACTGTATAGTCTATGGAATATACTGTAGGTATTGATTATTTTGTTTGAAATCCCACTCAGGATACAAGTGACAAGGATGATTCTGTTTCGAACACAGCCACAGAAATAAAAGATGAACAAAAATCTGGGACAGGTAATTTTGCAATACACATTTAATGCCATGTACAGTCAAGATAGAGAACTTCCCTTCCCCAAATAAATCAGCAGGGGGCTCATTGAAGCTGCGCATTCTGATTCAGCGGGCCTGAGATTCTGCATTTGTAATAAGTTCTGGAGTGATGGTGATTCTGCTGATTTTTGGCCATGATCTGAGTAGTAAGATTTTAGACTTCCCTACATTGAAATTGGGAAGAAGAACAATTGGAGAGCAGTTCAAGATACAAGAGTCTGAGGGGACAGCATAATTTTGCTTTAATTCTACAGCATGTCTCCATGAAGAGGGGAAGGAGAACAAGATGAAGTACTAGAAATTATAGGCGCCTGATCACATTGCTAAAACCAGAGGGAAGAAATGATCGTAATAAGCCATAAACACTATAGAATGAGAAGTAACAAGACCACTGATGTAGTAATTATTTTCCTCAGGGAAGAGGGATTGTGAGTCAGGAAGAAGGGAAAAGAAGTTATTTGTTTAATTTTAGGGTTTCTGCTGAGGAAACCTGAGGGAACTCACTTCAGATGTGTTTAGAATGTTTGCATAAAGGAAAATTTGATTTTGGCTGCTCCAGGAACTACTGGAAGCAGGATAGAGTGCTAGAATTGTGATGAACCACAGTCACCTGTTTCCCCTCTTTGTTATTATTGGGCATCAGAGATATATGTTTTGTTGTTATCAGTGAGTCAAATGAGATAAATGTAAATATGCATACATTGGCTTTGTTGTTCAGAGAGCTAACTTTTGGACAAAATAGCAATTTAATGAAAACAGTTTAGTGAATAACATGATCCTTCAAACCAGACTATTTTAGAACCAAAAATAATATTAAATTCTTTAATTGACACCTAAAATATTTATTTTTAATTAATATTGGAGTGATTTCCAAATGGAAAACCTTATTCAGATCTAATGCTTGTAGCAACTTTATTTTGTGTAAGTATATCAAATTTGATAATTTTTTATACATTTTGATTAGGTTTGTATATAATACCTTGTTCCCATTGGTGACTGACAAAAGTTTCTGAAGGTTAAACCAGAAAATACAAAAGTGTAGGCTCATTATTATACCACATGGGTATGAAAAATAATGAATAGCATATAATAGGATTCACCAAACATATATCCAAGCTGACCAATTCAGAACACTTCCACTGAGGAGCTTTGAAGTGCACGTTCATCTAAAGTGTAATTGTCATTGTGTACCTGCTGGATTGTCCGGCAAGTCAAAGAGCATGATGAATATTTGTAGTATAATTGTTTAAATCCTTCTGATGTCTTGTATGAAAGATATGCGTGAACCTGGCTCACTTCAACTTTAACCTTCTGGGTTCAAGTGATTCTCCTGTCTCAGTCTCCTGAGTAGCTGAATTTACAGATGTGCACCACCAACCTGGTAATTTTTGTGTTTTTACTAGAGTCCGGCTTTTGCCATGTTGGCCAGGTTGGTCTTGAACTCCTGACCTCAAGTTATCCACCCACCTCAGCCTCACAAAGTGCTGGGATTACAGGTGTGACCCACCGAGCCCTGCCTACATGATTTTTTTTTTTTTAACTTTTTAAAAATAAAGATAGCGTGTTTCTGTGCTGCCCAAGCTGGTCTGAAATGCCTGGGCTTCTCAAGTGATATTTCTGCCTCAGCCTTTTGAGTAGCTGAGATTATAGGAACAAGTCACTGTGCTCTTTTATGTTTTTAATATTTTATAGGTTCCTATTGTTGATTTAAAATGCATTTTACTTTTTGTTTAATAGTGCTTCCTGCTGTTGAACAGTGTTTAAACAGGTATGATTTTACAGATTTTTTAAAGTGATATGTTAACTTAGTTAATAGAGAGAATAGAAACTAGTATCCATTTAGTGTTCTCCTCTGTGCTAGACACCATATTACATGCTTAATATTTATCATGTCATGTCATCTCCACACAGCTTTACAAATTATTTGTGCTGTTATTGCTTTTTTACTAATTAGGCAACTCTGCTTTAAAGAGGTTGAAATATTGGCTCATGATTCCACAGTTAACAGGTAGCCAACCGATGATTTGACCATCATCCTGCCTGGCTCTCTAATCACTTCATTTGCCCCTAAGCATAGATGGATACAGACCTATGCAGCAATGCGATCACGGTACTGGTGTAACTCAGATCAATTCAGAAAGTCACATTTTGTTATATATTAACTCTCTTTAGAGTATTTCTTAGAAGCCTAGATACTCCAAAACTTTGTCCAAATATTTTGGAAATGGCAGTGGTAACCATATTACTTTTTTTTAAACCATCAAAATTTTAAAGGCAGATATCAGTTACCTGTGGCCACAAGACCGTAAGTTTTTTGTAAGCAAGACTAGGCCAGTCCTAGAAAAATATTATTTTACTGTGCATGGAGAATACCTAAATATAGACCATGTTATGACAACTATATTTAGCATATATTAAAATGATATTTCTAATTCATGTCTCTACTTACTCCCTACCCAGTTAGGTTTTCTCTTTAAGTGAGCACCCTGCCTAGTTTGCTGAAGCTTTTTCTTATTTTGTGGATTCTTCTTTTTTCCTTCTATGACATTTTAGTATTTTCTTGATTTCTTTTCACTTTCTCTACCACTTTTCTTAGGGTTTAAGATCTTCTTTTATAGTTTTCATGTATGGCAGCTAAATATTCCCCATTTTCCTATAGACACAATCAGAGGTGCATAAAATTTCAGAATGTTAAGAAATCCTAGAGACTAAACAAAGTATCCTCTAGTGCTTGAATCCTTGCTTAACATCCTGATCAAGTGGTTGTTCAGGTGGAGAACCTGAAACTCAAAGAGAGAAAATTATTTGGATACAGTAAATCAGAGAAATGAGAATTGCACTCAGGTTTCTTAGTTCAAAACGCAGTCTTCTTTTACATCATTCTGTCATTGAGTGATTTTAGTTTTAGAAAGAGGGAGTGGCTCTAGTGAACACAGTGGAAGAGGATGAGAATTGAATGAGCTGTTGAACCTAATGAAAGTGAATAAGAATGGAATTTGCAGGGGGCAGCCAAATTTGAAGAGAAACAAACTCTTAGTTTGATAGAAATGAGGATTTTAGGGAAAAATCTGAATATTTGGTTTAATGCAAGTTTGATAAAGATAAGGGAAATGATAACACAGGATGTTGGGAGCTATCAAGAAAGGCATATTAGAATATGGCGTTCAAGGAGTTCTGAAGAGTTTGCTGCCTTTTTGTTTGTTTAACTGGAGGAACTAACAAACTTCAAGGTTTTATTGAAAAATGTTAAAAGAATTTGAGCCACTGGAAAGAGTCTCCAGAGGAGATAGGAATGTGGTATCATCTTCTTCCATCCCAGCTTACAGAGGGCTTAGAATCCCTCAAGAACCAGGGAGCTGGAGATTGCTTAAGTACATAGATCTGTGATCCAGGGTGGATGTCTCTTTTTTTCTGACTCTTTTCTCAATTCTCTCATGTACATGTAGGGTGGGACAAATGTAGGATTGGCCGGCAAACCAGCAATGAAGCTTCATTTGGGTAGTTGGTAACATGCGTATGCTTGGGGTGGATGACTGAGACTAACTTACTTTCCAGAAGCAGAGGAATAGAGAGCTCCTACTCTCAATTATGTTAGCCCATCTTTTGAGAAATCTGGGCTTTCCTAGGCTGAAGATGTAGATTGGAGATTGCCACAGATCCCTGCAGAAGAGGGATCCAGAAGTGGGAGCCCATAGGAAGGAAGATATTTAGATAGGGATGAATGAAATGGAGCTATAAGTACTTAGGAGGGAGACTTTTCCAGCAGTCTCTCTCTTGGGTATCTGAGTGTCTATGAAGGTTCTTAAGCTTGCTGGTTTTTGTGGATCTGAATAAGGCAGAATCTATATAATGACGATAATTGGATTTTAAAATTTTTAATGTTTTAATCTTCTGTGAAGAATATTCCCAATAACAATCTAACAACATATACATTTGTACTTTGACTTTTGTACACTCAGCTTTCAAACATTTGCAGTGTTTCAGGGGGCTCCCTGTAGTGTTCTAGGGTGAAAAGAATCAATGGGCCCTCTTTAAGTAGCTTACATGCTGAAGATCCAAGACTCCCATTTTCCAGTGACACAGATTAGTCTTTGAATCAGAAATAGATAATGGAGAAGAGACCGTGCCTTTTCTACCTTGTTTTAGGTTATCAGGTTTACTGCAGTTCAGTAACAAAAGTTGTGTCAGATATCAACTGGATTTTCAGTTTAGTCTTTAGGGTAGATAATTTATAAGGACAAATTATTGTCTGGCTGTGCCATTATAATGCCTGTCACTATTTGTTATGGGTTTAAGGGTGAGTCTGCATTGGATATTTCATAGGTTGGGAGAAGTGGCAGCAGAAATAGGTAACTGAAATGTTTTCTAAAATGGAAGCCATATCTTAATTATACCAAGAAATATTATTTAACATGCAGATAACTGAGTTTCCTCAGACTTTGTTTTACCATTTTTTTGGAGTGGACATACGTGTATAGACTGACGGTTTTTGTTTTCTTTTAAGAAATGAATGAGCTCATTTTTGTAATATCTTTTTGCTCTGTAGGAGTCTCTACAGACCTGATGCTGTTGCACAGCCTGTGACAGAGAATGAGTTTTCTTTGGAATCTGAGGTAGAGTACTCTCTTGTGAAATTAATTTTCTCCCTCTGAATCTCATTTTTTATATTATTTTCTTCTAAAACTTAGCAGTTGTCTACCTATCATTGTTTTATGTTACTATTAAAACTTTTATTAGAGATAACCATTTTAAAGAAATGGGAGGGGTTAATTTTAATTTTTTTTACTTTGGCAAATAAGAAATAGTTGATAAATACTTTGAGAGGTGTGATCTGAAAAAAAATTGCTGGAAAATACACAGTGACAGAAAAATGATGTTCGGGAATGCTTTCCCACAGTAGAGGATATACAAATTTTGGTCTAGGCTTATTTGAGTGTTTTTACTTTGAGTTGTATATCATATGAGTATGACTAATAATACCTCTGTTTAAATGAATCTTTAATACATCAGATGACTTATCAAAGAAATCATGGAATCACTCTGTTACACATAGCATATAGTTTCTTTTTATTTCTTGTGCACATATTTTGATATCATACTGTATTTTTGCAGAGCTATTTCTTTATTTTTATTCCTGGCTCTGTAATTAGACTAAAATAATATTAGAAATTGTGGAAATTTAACTAGACATGGTATCATGTGCCTGTAGTCCCACCTATTCAAGAGATCAAGTCAGGAGAATTTCTTGAGCCCAGGATTTTAAGACCAAGCTTGACAATATAACAAGTGCTTATCTCTAATTTTAAAAAGTTGTGGAATATTAGAAATTCAAATTCTGTTCTCAAATCTGTATTAGAGAGGGTTTACACTGTGTTTTCCAAGCCTTTTTTATTTAGAGTATACTTTAAACTCTTTATTTAATTGAAAAATATGCATTTTGTTTAAATAACCTGTTTGATAAACAGAGACTCTTCATATTTTATGGTCAGACTTTAATTTCACAATGTTTTTGAATTGTAATTAAAAAGAATCCACTCAGGGTCTTTGTATGGCATTCTAAATTTCAAATTTCAGAGGCTTTTGTGCTTAGTTATTGAAAAAATAATTGTAAAGCTCCTGCATTACTATGAGGCACTTGAAACTAGAAAACCTATTTGTATGTGTCCTGGAATACACAGAATAAGGTCTTGCATGTAAGAAACACTTTAATAGTTTTTAATGTGAATCAACAAACAGGTAAATGGGCTTTCTCATGATGGAATGTTACAGGTAACCTAATATGCATGACATATCTAATAATTAAATCTATTAAATGTCTTGAATGTTTTGAATTTATCTTTTTTTCTAATGTTGAGAATGTATAAGTTGAGGTGAGTTATGTTGAGAAAATATGTCATATAGAAGAAAATAAAATTTAGAAAAGATGAAAAGGAAATAGGAGAGGTGGATACAGCCTAATATCTTCCAACTGGAAGCTTAGATTAGGATTTTAGATTAAATTTTCTTAAATTTTTAAAGCCCCAATCATGTTCTATTAAATACCTTTTTTTTGGGACATACATTACTCTTTCAAATTCTGAATAAAAATTCTTTCTCCAGGTGTTAAGTTGCTGGAATTTTATTGTTTTTTTTTTTTTCTTTCCCCCTCTCTCTCTCTGTAGTAAGAATGTGTCAGTTTTCAGATCAATCATCATGGTTAACTCTTGGGATGTGTTATTTTATAGTAAACAAATGAAACTCTTTATTACATAAGTATTTACACAAAACAAATTGTCGAGTAAATGCTAACCAGTATTATTAGGCATATATTATGAACACAAGCTTTTCTTTTAAGCGCATATTTGATTGACTGGTCATGTCTCTTTTTTTGTTTGTTGCTCCCTCCTTTCCCTTTGTTTAAAAATGATTTACCTCAGTCTAACTTTCTCCTTGCAGACCACATGTCTTTAGTGTCTATTCTTTCATTTCACTTCTGTTTCTATTGTCAGGATACTTAGTTACAGCTTTCTATTTAGTAGCTATGTGTGGCCTTCATTCGTGAATCATTGCTCCATAAGGTGGATGATTGCTTTTTTCTGTCTTTTTTGGAAGGAGCTGAAGTTGTACTATAATTTGTTTTTAGCTTTTGACACGCTGAATAGAAGCAACTTGTGCTGTTTCTGATGCCAACCCATTTAAAGATAGTACTACTAAAAACTACATTCTCACATTTTTTCCCACAGAAAGTAATTCGCACAAACATACATCATGCATACCTATTTTGAAAAATAATGTGATTAATTTACTTTTTTTATTATTAGTTTTATTCAGCAATACTCTAAATTACATATGAGTACATTTTTGTCCTAGTTTGTTGTGGTTAATAAAAGAAACTAATGGATATCATAGTATTTGTATAATAATCAACATGGGTTGAAAGGAGTAACATTTTGAAGATATCTGTATCACCAATCATAACCATCACCCCATGTGAATCTGTAGATTAGTAAATGGCAGACTTGAGGTTTGAATCTACATATGAGTGATTTCAACGTCCATACTTTTCCTGTTAGATCATGTAGTAATGGTGGGTATTATCCTATTTTAACTTGCTCCATGTTATTCTTAAACCTATTGTGTTTTTCTTCTAGATTATTTCAAAACTATACATCCCAAAGAGAAAGATTATTTCTCCACGATCTATAAAAGATGGTAAGTTATTTGAAGGCTGCCTATTGTAGTATTTACTGATTCTTCATTTGTTTTTTTTTTTTCTTTGTGAAACACAGTCTTACTAGTCTGCAGCACAGGCTGGAGTGCAGTGGTGCGATCTTGGCTCACTGCAGTTTCCATCTCCTGGGTTCAAGTGATTCTCCTGCCTTAGCCTCCCGAGTAGCTGGGATTACAGGCGTGCACCACCACACCTGGCTAATTTTTGTATTTTTAGTGGATTTGGAGTTTCACCATGTTGTCCAGGCTGGTCTCAAACTTTTGACCTCAAGTGATTCCCCTGCCTAGGCCTCCCAAGCTGCTAGGATTACAGGCATGACCCACCACACCAGGCCTTGTTGATTATTATTATTATGTTTATAAGGATAGAGTCTTGCTATGTTACCCAGGCTGGTCTCAAACTCCTTGGCTTCTCAAGTGATACTTCTGCCTCAGCCTTCTGAGTAGCTGGGATTATAGGAACAAGCCACTGTGCTCTTTTATGTTTTTAGTATTCTATAGTGTTCTATTGTTGATTTAAAATGCATTTTACTTTTTCTTTAATAGTGCTTCCTCCTGTTGAAGAGGCTGTTGACAGGTATGATTTCAGAGATTTTTTAAAGTGATATGTTAACTAAGTGAATAGAGAGAAGAGAAACTAGTATTTGTTTAGTATTCTACTCTGTGCTGGACACCATATTACATGCTTAACATTTATCATGTCACACAACTTTAGAAACTATTTGTGCTGTTATTGCTTTTTTACTAATTAGGCAACTCTGCTTTAAAGAGGTTGAAATATTGGCTCATGATTCCACAGTTAACAGGTAGCCAACCCAACATTAGACCATCATGCTGCCTGGCTCTCAAATCACTTCATTTGCCCCTAAGCATAGATGGATAGAGGCCTATGCAGCAATGGGGCCATGGTACTTATTTACATCAGATCAATTCAGAAAGTCACATTTTGTTATATATTAACTGTCTTTAGAGTGTTATTTAGAAGCCTGGCTACTCCAAAAGTTTTTCCAAATATTTTGAAATGGCAGTGGTAACCATATTACTTTTTTTTTTAACCATCAAATTTTAAAGGCAGTTATCAGTTATCTGTGGCCACAGGACCCTAAGTTTTTCATAAGCAAGACCAGGCCAGTCCTAGAAAAATATTATCTTACTGTGCTTGGAGAATATCTAAATATAGTCCATGTTATGTTAACTATATTTAGCATATATTAAAAGGATATTTCTAATTCATTTCTCCACTTACTCCCTACCCAGTTAGGTTTTCTCTTTAAGTGAGTACCCTGCCTAGTTTGCTGAAGCTTTTTCTTATTTTCTGGATTCTTTTTTTTCCTTCTGTGACATTTTAATAATATTTTCTTGATTTCTTTTTACTTTCTTTTCTGCTTTTCTAAGGGTTTATGATCTTCTATTATAGTTTTCATTTAAGACAGCTAAGTAGTCCCCATTTTCCTATAGACAAAATCAGAGGTGCATAGAATTTCAGAATGTTAAGAAATCCTAGAGACTAAACAAAATATCTTCTATACTTGAATCCTTGCTCAACATCCTGATCAAGTGGTTGTTCAGGTGGAGAACCTGAAATTCAAAGAAAGAAAATTATTTGGATACAGTAAATCAGAGAAATGAGAATTGCACTCAGGTTTCTTAGTTCAAAACGCAGTCTTCTTTTACATCATTCTGTCATTGAGTGATTTTAGTTTTAGAAAGCAGGAGTGGCTCTAGTGAACACAGTGGAAGAGGATGAGAATTGAATGAGCTGTTGAACCCAATGAAAGTGGATAAGAATGGAATTTGCAGGGGACAGCCAAATTTGAAGATGTAGATTGGAGATTGCCATGGATCCCTGCTGAAGAGGGATCCAGAAGGGGGAGCCCATAGGAAGGAAGATATTTAGATAGTGATGAATGAAATGAAGCTCTAAGTACTCAGGAGGGAGACTTTTCCACTAGTCCCTCTCTTGGATATCTGAGTGTCTATGAAGGTTCTTAAGCTTGCTGGTTTTTGTGGACCTGAATAAGGCAGGATCTATATAATGACAATAATTGGATTTTATAATTTTTAATGTTTTAATCTTCTGTGAAGAATATTCCCAAAGTACATTTGTACTTTGACTTTTGTACACTCAGCTTTCAAACATTTGCAGTGTTTCAGGGGGTTCCCTGTAGTGTTCTAGGGTGAAGAGAATCAATGGGCCCTCTTTAAGTAGCTTACATGCTGAAGATCTAAGACTCCCATTTTCCAGTGACACAGATTAGTCTTTGAATCAGAAATAGATAATGGAGAAGAGACCGTGCCTTTTCTACCTTGTTTTAGGTTATCAGGTTTACTGCAGTTCAGTAACAAAAGTTGTGTCAGATATCAATTGGATTTTCAGTTTAGTCTTTAGGGTAGATAATTTATAAGGACAAATTATTGTCTGGCTGTGCCATTATAATGCCTGTCACTATTTGTTATGGGTTTAAGGGTGAGTCTGCATTGGATATTTCATAGGTTGGGAGAAGTGGCAGCAGAAATAGGTAACTGAAATGTTTTCTAAAATGGAAGCCATATCTTAATTATACCAAGAAATATTATTTAATATGCAGATAACTGAGTTTCCTCAGACTTTGTTTTACCATTTTTTTTGGAGGGGACCTGCATGTATAGACTGACGGTTTTTGTTTTCTTTTAAGAAATGAACGTGCTCATTTTTGTAATATCTTTTTGCTCTGTAGGTGTCTCTACCTACTGGACCGTTTTGCACAGCCTGTGACAAAGGATAAGTTTGCTTTGGAATCTGAGGTAGAGTACTCTCTTGTGAAATTAATTTTCTCATTCTGAATCTCATTTTTTGTATTATTTTCTTCTAGCAAATAATAGGTAGCAATTGTCTACCTATCATTGTTTTATGTTAGTATTAAAACTTTTATTAGAGATAACCATTTTAAAGAAATAGGGGGGGTTAATTTTAATTTTTTTTTACTTTGCAAATAAGAAATAGTTGATAAATACTTTGAGAGGTGTGATCTGAAAAAAAAATTGCTGGAAAATACATAGTGACAGGAAAATATGGTTTTGGAACACTTTCCCACAACAGAGGAGATACAAATTTTGGTCTAGGCTTATCTGAGTAAGTGTTTTTAATCTGAGTTGTATATCATATGAGTATGACTAATAATACCTCTGTTTAAATGAATCTTTGTTACATCAGATGACTTATTATGGGAATCATGGAATCACCCTGTTACACATAGCATATAGTTTCTTTTCATTTCTTGTACACCTATTTTAACATCATACAGTATTTTTGCAGAGAGCTACTTCTTTATTTTTATTCTTGGTTCTATATATTTAGGCTAAAATAATATTACAAATTGTGGAAATTTAACTAGACATGGTATCATGTGCCTGTAGTCCCACCTACTCAAGAGTTCAAGCCAGGAGAATTTCTTAATCCCAGGAGTTTAAGACCAAGCTTGGCAATACAGCAAGAGCTTATCTCTAATTTAAAAAATTGTGGAATATTAGAAATTTAAATTCTGTTCTCAGATCTACAGTAGAGAGGGTTTACAGTGTGTTTTCCAAGTCTTTTTTATTAAGAGTATACTTTAAACTCTTTATCTAATTGAAGAATATGCATTTTGTTTAAAATAACAACCTGTTTGATAAGCAGAGACTCTTCATATTTCTATGATCAGACTTTAATTTCTCATGGTTTCTGCGTTGTAATTAAAAAAAATCCACTCAGGGTCTTTGTATCTCATTCTAAATTTCAAATTTCAGAGGCTTTTGTGCTTAGTTATTGAAAAAATAATTGTAAAACTCCTGCATTACTATGAGCCACTTGAAGCTAGAAAACCTATTTGTATGTATCTTAAGCACCCAGAATAATGTCTTGCATGTAAGAAATATTTTATTAGTTTTTAATGTGAATCAACAAACAGGGAAATGGGCTTTTTTTTAATGGACTGTTACAGGTAACATAATATGCCTAAGATATCTAATAATTAAATCTATTAAATGTCTTGAATGTTCTGAATTTATCTTTTGTTCTAATGTTGAGAATCTATAAGTTGAGGTGAGTTATCCTGAGAAAATATGTTATAGAAGAAAATGAAAATTGGAAAAGATGGAAAGGAAATAGGAAAGGCGGATACAGCGTGTTTTCTAATATCTTCCAACTGGAAGCTTAGATTAGGATTTTAGATTAAATTTTCTTAAATTTTTAAAGCCCCAACCATGTTCTATTAAATACATATTTTTCAGGACATACATTACTCTTTTTTTTTTATTATTATACTTTAAGTTTTAGGGTACATGTGCACATTGTGCAGGTTAGTTACATATGTATACATGTGCCATGCTGGTGCGCTGCACCCACTAACTCGTCATCTAGCATCAGGTATATCTCCCAATGCTCTCCCTCCCCCCTACCCCCACCCCACAACAGTCCCCAGAGTGTGATATTCCCCTTCCTGTGTCCATGTGATCTCATTGTTCAATTCCCACCTATGAGTGAGAATATGCGGTGTTTGGTTTTTTGTTCTTGCGATAGTTTACTGAGAATGATGATTTCCAATTTCACCCATGTCCCTACAAAGGACATGAACTCATCATTTTTTATGGCTGCATAGTATTCCATGGTGTATATGTGCCACATTTTCTTAATCCAGTCTATCATTGTTGGACATTTGGGTTGGTTCCAAGTCTTTGCTATTGTGAATAGTGCCGCAATAAACATACGTGTGCATGTGTCTTTATAGCAGCATGATTTATAGTCCTTTGGGTATATACCCAGTAATGGGATGGCTGGGTCAAATGGTATTTCTAGTTCTAGATCCCTGAGGAATCGCCACACTGACTTCCACAATGGTTGAACTAGTTTACAGTCCCACCAACAGTGTAAAAGTGTTCCTATTTCTCCACATCCTCTCCAGCACCTGTTGTTTCCTGACTTTTTAATGATCACCATTCTAACAGGTGTGAGATGGTATCTCATGGTGGTCTTGATTTGCATTTCTCTGATGGCCAGTGATGGTGAGCGTTTTTTTCATGTGTTTTTTGGCTGCATAAATGTCTTCTTTTGAGAAGTGTCTGTTCAAGGACATACATTACTCTTTCGAATTCTGAATAAAAATCCTTTCTCCAGGTGTTAAGTTGCTGGAATTTTATTGGTTTTTGTTTTTTTTTCCTCTCTCTCTCTCTCTCTCTGTTTGTAGTAAGAATGTTTCAGCTTTCAGGTGAATGATCATGGTTAATTCTTGGGATGTGTTATTTTATAGTAAACAAATTAAACTTTTTATTACATAAGTATTTACACAAAACAAATTGTCGAATAAATGCTAACCAGTATTATTAGGCATATATTATGAACACAAGCTTTTCTTTTAAGCTCATATTTGATTGACTGGTCATGTCTCTTTTTTTGTTTGTTGCTCCCTCCTTCCCCTTTGTTTAAAAATAACTTACCTCAGTCTAATATTTTCCTTGCAGACCGCATGTCTTTAGTGTCTATTCTTTCATTTCACCTCTGTTTCTGTTGTCAGGATACTTAGTTACAACTTTCTATTTAGTAACTATGTGTGGCCTTCATTCATGAATCATTGCTCCATAAGGTGGATGGTTGCTTTGTTCTGTCTTTTTTGGAAGGAGCGGAGGTTATACAATAATTTGTTTTTAGCTTTTGACACACAGAATAGAAGCAACTTACACTGTTTAAAGATAGTACTACTAAAAACTACATTCTCACATTTTTTCCCGCAGAAAGTAATTCACACAAATATATATCATGCCTAAGTATTTTGAAAAATAAAGTGATTAATTGACTTTTTATTATTAGTTTTGTTCAGTCATACTCTAAATTACAGATGAGTAAATTTTTTTCCCAGTTTGTTGTGGTTAATAAAAGAAACTAATGGATATCATAGTATTTGTATAATAACTCAACTGGGGTTGAAAGGAGTAACATTTTGAGAATATCTGTATCACCAATCATAATCATCATCCCATGTGAATATGTAGATAAGTAAATGGCAGACTTGAGGTTTGAATCTACATATGAGTGACTTCAAAGTCCATCCTTTTTGTGTTAGATCATGTAGTAATGGTGGCAATTATCATTATTTTAACTTGCTGCATGTTATTCTTAAACCTATTGTGTCTTCTAGAATATTTCAGAACCATACTTTACGAACAGAAGGACTATTTCTCAACAATCTGCAGAAAATTGTAAGCTATTTGAAACCTGACTATTATATTATCTACTGAATCTTTTTTTTTCTTTCTTTTTCTTTCTTATTTTTTGTAGACAGAGTGTTACTCACTGTTGCCCAGGCTGGAGTGCAGTGGCATGATCTTGGCTCACTGCAACTTCTACCTCCTGGGTTCAAGTGATTCTCCTGCCTCAGCCTCCTGAGTAGCTGGGATTACAGGTGTGCACCACCACACCTGGCTATTTTTGTATTTTTGGTAGAGATGGAGTTTCACCATGTTGGCCAGGCTGGTCTTGAACACCTGACCTCATATGATCTGCCTGCATTGGCCCCCCAAACTGCTGGGATTAAAGCTGTGAGCCCCCACACCCGGTTCTTATTTCTTGATTCTTAATTACATGCATTTCATCTACTCTTGACTTTGTTTTTACTGTAGTAGATGCTGCATGTGGCATTGACAAAACAGAAAATGGAAACATGTTTGAAGACCAAAATGTTGATAAGGTAAATGAAGATGTGGTTAAAAGCCAACATAGAATAATCAGAGTCCAGTCCTGTTCACCAACTCACTCTTATCTGTTAATGATCTTTAGTTTTACAATGGTAAATTGTTTTATTTGGAAAATATTTTTCCCGTGCTTTATTCACTTGCCATCTCCCTGTCTTTATAACGATGACAAGGATCCTATAAAGGAATGGAAGTTCTCAAGGTAATAATAGAAAAGAAGTGTGACAACAAGGGAAATGTATGCATGGGACTAGGATTCCTAAAAGGTCATGGGAGTAAATGATTCTTAGGTTTGCCATTAGGGAAGGAAAGAAGTAGAAAGCAACCTGAAAGAACAGCTCCACAAATACAAAGGTGAGGAGGGGAAAGAAGTAAGAATACAGAGTTGAATAAGAGTGTCAAGATGACAAAGATTAGTATAAAACACCTCAAAAACAGTGAATTTAAATGACAGTAGAATGTCTCCATATCAAATTATAGAATTATTTTAAATATAGATTAAGAAAAGAAAGCCAAGTAATTGAAAAATTCTCAGATTCTTCTGAGTGACTTACGGGTGATTTTAATAAAGGATTGGAAGAAAATTTATGGGTGACTGTATTTAACATTCTGTTTTACATTTAAAAATAGCCAGGAGAGAATAACTTCAATATTTCTAGTTTAAATAAAACATACATATTTAAGGTAATGTGTATCTCTGTTACCCTCATTAGATTATATAGATGGATCAAATCATCACACGTACACTGAAAATATATGCATCTATTTATTAATTTAAAAATTCTAAATGGAAAGAAAATTTCATCCTCACTTTTTTAAATTTCAGTAAAGTGATGTCTTATATTTTATCTAGTGAATGCTGTGTTCATAGATAATGCAAAATAAAATGTGTTTTAGGCTATATCAGATTTTGAATGAATCATTACTTTTTGACTCTTGTTAAAAGTTTTTTAAAGTAATATTTGGTATACTCCTAAGTTGCTTAACTAATTTATTTCACTTTTCCATAATCTTGGAGCTGTTTTAGCCTTTTTTGATAATAAGAGGGAAAATAAATAAGTAATTAAATAATAAAAAATAATAAAAATTAATTAATACATAAATTAATAAAAATTAAAATTTCTGGTTAATTTTTTTTTTTGAGACGGAGTCTCGCTCTGTCGCCCAGGCTGGAGGGCAGTGGGCGATCTCGGCTCACTGCAAGCTCCACCTCCCGGGTTCACGCCATTCTCCTGCCTCAGCCTCGCGAGTAGCTGGGACTATAGGCGCCCGCCATCACGCCCGGCTAATTTTTTTAATATTTTTAGTAGAGACGGGGTTTCACTGTGTTAGCCAGGATGGTCTCGATCTCCTGACCTCGTGATCTGCCCGCCTCGGCCTCCCTAAGTGCTGGGATTACAGGCGTGAGCCACCACGCCTAGCCATTTCTGGTTAATTTTATAGGAGGTTTCTAATTTATATTCATTGAATGAGAAAAAATATATTTTTAACCTGGAACCCTCTTAAAGAAATAAATTATTACTTATTTCTGGAGCTAGTCTGACTTACCTTGTGCTGATAACATCTGTACTTAAGAACATACATGTGATGAATGCAGTCAACACTCATGATTGTTTTCTAAACAAAGTACCTATTTTTATAGAATCGTAAGGAAAGAAATATTGCCAACAGAGTACACAGAATTATCTCTGGAATATTACTTTTTACTTTTAAAATTATCTCCTACAGTTGGGACATTTTGTGTTATTCTCTGGAAGCATTATTAACTTTAGTATTTATAGTTGTTATACCTTGCACATAAATTTATTCAGCTCTAAAGCTCAGGAATCCTTTTGACTTGATGTTTCAAATAAATTTCTTCTCTCTTCATGTGAGTATTGGGTCCTGACTGACAGGCATAGTGTATTTGAAGACATGTAAATCTTCAGCTTGCATGGTGACATGATTATTTTACTTGATCCTTTCTCTGATTTTTAACTATTATCTTTATGGCATAAGTAGGCAATTAGAGCTATTAGTATATCATTTACAGGAGAATCAGAAAACCATATGAACTTTAAAATAGGTTTTACATTTCTCTCTTATATTTTAGTAGTACTTAAAATGCCTTATAATTCCATAATAGAATAAACATTCATACAAGTTAAAAACTTTTAAGATGATTTTTTAAAAATGAGCTTTCTTAGGATAACTTGAATTATTCCTTTAGATAACTGTTTTCATTAAGTTCAAAAGTGCAGATGACCATAATATTCCAGAAATAAATGTCTGCATACATTAAGAAAATATATTTTATATCTTTTAATCCAGTATAGAAATATATAATTGAAATTTTGAATCCCATATTTTGTTTTCTTTTTATTTTCAAAACTTCAGGGTTCTTCATAGGTTTAAATTATCGAATCCTACCAGTTTAGTATATTTTACAAATGTTGACCTTCTCAACAACATATGGTTTTTTTGAGTAAGGTCATCTATTTCTACTCCAAATGTATTTACCCAGATCAGTCTTCTAAGTCCCCTTTGTGCCTCAAATTTGACAGGTCTCAAACTGCCTTCCAGATTCTTTCCTGACTCTTTGTAATCTACTCTGTCATCTGGCTTCCCAATTTTAGTAAATAACACCAAGAAAGTAGCAATGAAACATTGAAGCAGAAAAACTGCACTCCAGGTTTCCCTCACATTGCCAATCCAGTGACTCACCAAATTTTGTATTTTCTACCTTTAAAATACCTTTAAAATACCTTTAACCATTTCTCATATCTTATTACTGTAATACACTGTCTGCCCTATACTTTTGGAATGTTCGTTTTTGTTTCTCTCTTCTCCCCATGTTTATCTGTATATGTCTTTCAGGGTGACCTTTCTTAAACATGTTTACTTTGATCTAACTCATCTGCTTATGGCTGGACCCTCATTACACGAAAGAAACATTTACATTCTAGCATAACACTTATTTTGCGGTTTGGCCTGTTTCTCCCATTTTATCTCTCCACTCCACTTTCTCTGTCTGTGCCCAAGTTTTACCACGTTATTGTGGTAGTTCTTATTGGCTATGCTGTTTCATTTTTTTGCACATGCTGCCCTCACTAGAAACACTTCACACTCTTAGTCTTCACTTGTCTATTTTAAAAATAGGACCCTAAATTTGCAGTGTCTCAGAAGCTTCCCAAGTAGAAATAAGTGTTATTGCCTTTGTGCTGTCACTGTATTTTATTGACTTGAGTTGTAGAAATAATGAATTGTGTCTTTCTGCTTTTGTTTTTATAAGTTTCTTTTTTCACTTGATAAATAAATAAAATTAGTATTTTATTCATATTATCAGATTTTCCAGTATAGACCTTATGAATTTATAGACACAGAAAATGTTTCTTGAATTACTGACTGATTGAGTAGTAAATATAACATTTTCTGAAGATTTCTTTTTTTTTTTTAATAGGAAGGAAAAGCACTACCAGCAACTGGACAAAAAGCAAATGGTATTGGTATTATAAAAAGTGCTCCATGAGAGCAATGAAATAATGATAATGTTATTTTTTGTGTACAAAGAAACAAAGGTGGTGAGGTAGTGAATATAGCTGAATAATTTTCTATGCTTTAATATAATTTTTGAAAATAAATATAACTAATTTAAATATAATTTAAAATAAATTTAAAATTAAATTAATTGTTAAATTACATTAAATTATAAGCCTAATTTTAATTAAATTATAAATATAATTTATTAATTTTTAATAGTAAATATAATTTAATTTAAACATACTTTTTCTTAAAACTTTGGTGAACACTTAAACTTGTAGATCAAAATATAATGTTCATTGTTGAGAAATGGACATTAGTATATTTACAAAAAAATGTGAGGTGGGATGGTGTAAATTAAGAAAGCAGCTGGCTAGGTAATTTGGAGGTTTCTGATGAGGAAACTTGAGGGAACTCACTTTATGTAGACTCAGTATATTCCCACTCAAAGAGAAGATTAAATTATTGCTGCTTTGGAGCTTACTGGAAGCAGAGGGTAGAAAAACGACAGGAAACCACAGGAACTCATTTCTTCTCTCTATAGGGGTTACACATCAATGATATGCGCTTCATTCATGTTTGTTAGTGAACTGGGATGCACTTGGATATCAAAACATTGGCAGTTTTCTTTAAAAACAGTGCTGTTTTTGATGAAATAGCCATTGTATAAATGTACCTCAGAGGCTGCTATGCTATAGCATATCAAACTGACTTTAGAAAAAAACAAACGAGAAATTTCTTTCTTGAGTACTAAAAGTGTAACTGTCAATAATCATGGCAAATATTTTGATAGGTAAAAGTTGATTAAGCCGGGCACGGTGGCTCACGGCTGTAATCCCAGCACTTTGGGAGGCTGAGGCGGGAGGATCATGAGGTCAGGAGATGGAGACCATCCTGGCTAACATGGTGAAACCCCATCTCTACTAAAAATACAAAAAGTTAGCCAGGCGTGGTGGCATGTGCCTGTAGTCCCAGCTACTAGGGAGCCTGAGGCAGGAGAATCACTTGAACCCAGGCGGCGGAGGTTGCTGTGAGCCGAGATTGTGCCACTGCACTCCAGCCTAGGCAACAGAGCAAGACTCCATGTCAAAAATAAAAAAAAGAAAGTTGATTGTTATGAAAAAAAAGTCAATGGTGATTCAGAGATTTTTGGTTACATTTTGTAAATGAAAATCTGAGTACTCATTAGTTATTTGATGTGTAATGCATACTTTTTTTTTTGCATAAGTGAATGAAAAGATGGCAAGAGAACTAAAGTTGAGAATCCAGAAGTTGAAAATATCAGAAGCCTTCATGACTGTGGATGACATGAGTATTTTTAGAAACGATTTTTCTCCAAGTAGATATCTAAAGTAATGATTGAGAGCATTTCCTGCCAGCAGAAGCGAATGATACATTTTCTTTTCTTTTTTTTTGAGACGGAGTCTCACTCTGTCACCCAGGCTTGAGTGCAGTGGCGGGATCTCGGCTCACTGCGAACTCCGCCTCCCGGGTTCACGCCATTCTCCTGCTTCAGCCTCCTGAGTAGCTGGTACTACAGGCGCCTGCCACCACACCCGGCTAATTTTACGCATTTTTAGTAGAGACGGGGTTTCACCGTGTTAGCCAGGATGGTCTCCATCTCCTGACTTTGTGATCTGCCCGCCTCGGCCTCCCAAAGTGCTGGGATTACAGGCGTGAGCCACCGCGCCCGGCCGCGAATGATACATTTTCATGCACTCTCATTGCAACTTCATAGTTTCTAACATTTATTCTTCTGGGGTCCGCTTTGGTTCTCTCATTTGACGTCATCTTTTTTGGCTTCATCCAGCTGATTCACATTGGTAGAAATACTTTTCTATGTTACTTGTAGTCATGTGAAACCTAATCTCACCCTTGCAATCTGGACTGCATGTTTTATAGAATCTATATTGTGATTTTTCATGTGTATATTCCTGTCATGTTTGTTTGCTAACCAAAACAAGAGCAAAGCAACCCAAAGCCTAATGGGTAACAATTTCAAGGGCAAGCACGAAGATTTCAGCTGGATACAAACACTGCATGATTGATGGTAGGCTGTGTCATATTTACCTGTAGTCAATTATGTGTTCCTTTTGCTTTGTAGTGTCTCCTGAGCAACCGCCTTTATTCACGGTAAACATATTTTCTTTAATTATTAACAAAATGCTCTGTGATATATACATGATATGTTAATCATTATGTTGTCAAACCCATTCAGCATACGGTGAAAGACAGAGATCACATTTCAACTAGATTCTTAGGAGGTATGGATTCACTAACTTCCAGTGAAGGTAAATTTGCCGCTACAAATTTCGTTCTAGAAAATGTAGATGAAAATATTGAAAATGCTCATAGTTTTTTGATTCCCACTTTTTATCCAAGTGAGATGGAAGGATTTGATGTAAATATGCTGATGTTCTTGTTAATATCTTTGTTTATAAAATGATTTTTAAGGCATAAGGCGGACATTTTACACGGTGAGCTCTAGCCCAAATGCTTTTCCTTTAAAGTTGTCATCAGCTAAAGATCCCAGTTTTGAATTCCTGTGCATGTTAGGGATTTGAGGAGGTGTATTTTGACACTAAATATTTTCAGTGCTTCAAAATTGATTGCAATACTCTTCTGTCTTCTTCATCTAGAGAAAAGCTATACCTGCTGACTTTACAATTGTTTTAGAACTTCAACGCCTTTATTTCAGCGTTGTTACATTGAGAATCTTAATCACATCTTCTGATTACCGGATTGAGTTTCTGCATGTGTGTGTGTGTGTATCTCTGATTAAAAATGAATAAAATGATTAATCATTCTTTTGTAACTCTTTGGTAGATACAGTGTTTTAAAACAATGATTCTGAGCTGTTTTGGCCTTAGAATATTTTCTTCTACTACTATTTATTGCCTACAGGTAACCAACAGCCTGAATTAACGTTTTTACTTTTAAGTCACTGCAATGCACATTAAAAATACTTTACAAGATACTTGCACTTTCATAGGTAATATGTGGAATCTGTTTCCAAGTATCAAGTCTTCTATACGATTTCACACAGTGTACATAATAGCTGCAACTCGGCTTTTGTAATCAGTGGAATATATTTCAGATCTGTCCAGGTTGACACAGTTTGGTCATCTTTGATTTGTTTTATGACTGCACCACATATTTGATTTGTTTTATGACTGCACCACAATTAATTAAAATCTCTTCATGCTGATACAAAATGAACATAAATATGATGACATACCAACATAGATTTGCTTATGTGGTTGCCTTTATTGATTTGTACTATAAAGAAATTAAATAGAAGTATTTCAGATACCCCGAGTATAGCTGTATACACTGCCATAGCTGAAAAACTCCAGTGTATGCTTTTCAGAGAATGACATTGGAAAGAAGAAATGGCCAAAGTATCATTTGGTACCTTGGCTTCCTTACATAGATGATGAACTCCAGGAATGATCAAATCACAGTTTAGAACCCCTTTGTTGGGCCCTATAAAGGGTTTCCAGGTGTCAAATGATAGTCTCCAGATAAAGAAATGCTCTATAATGCCTCACCGCTGTGTTTTCCTGTATTTTGTGCTTTTCTGAAAACTTTAAATACATGAATTTTTGGTAGAAATGAAAATCTTTCTGTTTTATATATTTGTTTCTGTCCATGGCACTCTGATCTCTTTGAATCTGGTAAGGATCTAGCCTTGTCTTATTTATACCAGCAAGCAGTGTTGTCACTTAATGCTCTCATTTTTCATGTAAATGACTGACATTTTCCCAAGTCTTCACAAGTGATTTCTGAAGATGTTGCTGCATTGAGCAGAGACTATGTCATTGTAATTGCAGAAGTTTTAAAATTAAATATGTTTAATAAAATTTTAGAGTTCTGTTTATCTGGAACACATAACACATAATGGTGTAATGTGTATTTAACCATAAATTAGCTTCACAAAAAGTTTGTGTACATAAAAGTGTTTATATCCAAAGAAATTCTTATTTACTGCTCAGTAATCTCTTGTGTAGAAGAAAATATGTAACATAGTTTGCTGAGTCTTTGATAATAACCCTCATGTAAAATAAAGCCGTAAAGATAAAATGAGAGTTGATACTCGATGAAACTGATGTGAGTGAATAGAAACTATGAAACTGTGTCTATGGGAGAGAGGAGGACATGGGGCTGCTGTTGTGAAGAAGGAATTTGTACAAGTTAGTCCATTTTCTGTAACTTTTATATTCTAATAAAGGAAAACCATATCTTCATATTTATAAAAATGAGATTTTACTGGTTTGATCACAGGGGTGGTGAGAATAATGAAGAACAAAATGTGGAAGGCAAAGAATGAAGACCAGATAGTGAGATTAGATTTATCAACAAAAAAGAGTACAAGTGGGGTGGGATGGTGTAAATAAAGATAGCAGCTGGCTAGGTGTTTGGGGGTTTCTGATGAGGAAACCTGAGAACACTGACTTTATGTGGACCTGGTATATTCGCACTCGAACAGAATATTGGATTATTGTTGCTTCAGAGATTAATGGAAGCAGAGGTGGAAGAATGAGAGTAAACCACAGGGACTCAATTCTTCTCTCTGTAGGGGTCACACAGCAACAATAGGACAGGTGCTTCATGTTAGCAAAATGTGATGCACTGCATGTCAAACTGACTGTGGAAGCAAAACAATCAAGAAATATATTTCTTAAGTATTATTTATTTATTTATTTTATTATTATACTTTAAGTTTTAGGGTACATGTGCACAATGTGCGGGTTTGTTAAAATGTAACTGTCGATAATCATGGCAAATATTTTGATTAACATGAAAAAAGCCTCTGATGTTTCAAATATTTTGGTTAGATTTGTTTTATGGGAATCTAATTACACATTAGGTATTTGGAGTGTAATGTATACTTTTTTGCATAAGTGAATGAAGAGATGGCAGGAGGGCTAAAGTTGAGAATCCAGGAAATGGAAAAACACCAGAAGCGTGCATGACTGTGGACAACATGAGTATTTTTGTTAACTATGCTTCTGTATGTAGATATCTGAACTAATGAACTGAGAATACATCCTGCAAGCAGAAGTGAATGATAGATTTTAATGAAATTGATAGTTTTTAAGTTAGAGGACAAAATGAAGAACAGGAGAACTATTGTAGTATTATAGTATAAATGGTTCTTGGGTGATTTTCTTCAGGGTACACCATAGTATTCTACCATGGGCTTTGACATTTATCCTTCTGGGGTCCTATTTGGTCCTTTCTTTTGACATCACATTTTTTGGCTTCAGTTAAGAGGATCACATTGGTAGAAGTACTTTCCTGTGTTAGTTGTAGTCATGTGAAACCTAATCTCTCTCTTGAAATCTGGACTACATGTTTTATGAAAACTTAATTATGTGTCCCTTTTGCTTTGTAGAATCTTCTGAGCGACCTCCTTTATCCACGGTAAACAAATATATTTTCATTTTTAATTAACAAAATGCTTTGTGATATATACATGACATATTAATCATTATGTTGTAAAACCCATTCAGCTTACTCTGAAAGAGGCAGATCCCAGTTCAAAAGCAGCCATGAGAAGGAAGGATTCACCACCTCCAGGAAAAGGTAAATTTGCCAATACAAATTTCATCTGGAAAGAAGGACATGAATATACTGGAAATGTTCATAGCCTTCTGATTCTTACTTCTTTTACCCCAATAAGATAGAAGGATTTGATCTAAATGATGCTGATGCTGTTGTTAGTGTCTATGCTTATAAAATGATATTTAGAAGAACAAGGAAAAGAAATTTTAAAAATGTGAGCTCTAGCTCAGATGCTTTTCCTTTTAGGTTGTGATAAAGATCCCAATGTGGAATTTGTGTGCATGTTAGGGGTTCAAGGAGATGAATTTTGAAACTATAAATATTTTTCAGTGCTTCAATTTCTGGTTGCAATACTGTCCTTTACCTAGAGAAAAGCTATACCAGCTGACATTACAATTGTGTTAGAACTTCATCTTCTTTATGTCGGTGTTGTCACACTGAGAACCTTCGAGTCTTCACCCAATCACATGCTCTGATTACCAGCTTGAATTTCTGCATGTGTATGTGTGTGTGCGCTTTTGTTTGTGAGTTTGGGTGTGTGTGATACCTCTGATTCTGGAAAATGAATAAAGTCATTAATCATTTTTTCGTGACTCTTTGGTAGATACAGGGTTTTAAAGCAATGACTCTGAGCTGTTTTAGCCTTAGAGTCTTTGATACTACTACAATTCATTGCCTACAGGTAACCAACAACCTGAATTAATGTTGGTTTGTTTGCTTTGTATTATACCTTAAGTTCTGGGATACATGTGAAGAACATGCAGGTTTTTTACATAGGCATACATGTGCCATGGTGGTTTACTGTGCCCATCAACCCATCAGCTACATTAGGTATTTCTAATAATACTGTCCCTCCCCTAGGACCCCATCTCCCTGACAGGCCCCGGTGTGTGATGTTCCCCTCCCTGTGTCCATGTGTTCTCATTGTTCAACTCCCACTTATGAGTGAGAAAATGTGGCATTTGGTTTTCTTTTCCTGTGTTAGTTTGCTGAGAATAATGGTTTCAGGCTTCATCCATGTCTTTGCAAAGGACATGAACTCATCCTTTTTTATGGCTGCATAGTATTCCATGATGTGTATATGCCACATTTTCTTTATCCAGTCTATCACTGATGGGCATTCGGGTTGGTTCCAAGTCTTTGCTATTGTGAATAGTGCTGCAATAGACATACATGTGCATGTGTCTTTATAGTAGAATGATTTTTAATCTTTGGGGTATGTATTCAGTAATGGGATTGCTGGGTCAAATGGTGTTTCTTGTTCTAGATCCTTGAGGAATCACCACACTGTCTTCCACAGTGGTTGAAATAATTGACACTCCCACCAACAATATAAAAGCGTTCCTATTTCTCCACATCCTCTCCAGCATCTGTTGTTTCCTGAGTTTTTAATGATCACCATTCTAACTGGCATAAGATGGTATCTCATTGTGGTTTTGATTTGCATTTCTCTAATGATCAGTGATCATGAGCCTTTTTTTCATGTGTTTACTGGCTGAATAAATGTCTTCTTTTGAGCATATCCTTCACCCACTTTTTGATGAGGTTGTTTGTTCTTTTCTCATAAATTTGTTTAAGTTCCTTTTAGATTCTGGATATTAGCCTTTTGTCAGATGGAGAGATTGCGAACATTTTCTCCTGTTCTGTAGGTTGCTTGTTCACTCTGATCATAGTATTGGAAGTTCTGGCCAGGGCAATCAGACAAGAGGAAAAAATAAAGGGTATTCAAATAGGAAGAAAGGAAGTCAAATTGTCTCTGCAGATAACATGATTGTATATTTAGGAAACCAAATTGTCTCAGCCCCAAATCTCCTTCAGCTGATAAGCAACATCAGCAAAGTCTCAGGATACAAAATCAGTGTGCAAAAATCACAAGCATTCCTATACACCGATAAAAGACAAATAGCAAAATCGTGAGTGAACGCCCATTCACAATTGCTACAAAGAGAATAAAATACCTAGGAATACAACTCACAAGGGATGAGAAAGACCTCTTCAGGGAGAACTACAAACCACTGCTCAAGGATATAAGAGAGGACACAAACAAATGGAAGAACATTCCATGCTCATGGATAGGAAGAATCAATATCATGAAAATGGCCATACTGCCCAAAGTAATTTATAGGTTCAATGCTATAGACTACCATTGACTTTCTTCACAGAATTAGAAAAAACTACTGGAAATTTCATATGGAACAAAAAAAGGGCCCATATAGCCAAGACAATTGTAAGTAAAAAGAACAGAGCTGGAGGCATCACGCTACCTGACTTCAAACTACACTACAAGGCTATAGTAATGAAAACAGCATGGTACAGCTACCAAAACAGTGATATAGACCAATGGAATAGAACAGAGGCCTCAGAAGCAACACCATACATCTACAACCGTATGATCTTTGACAAACCTGACAAAAAGCAATCAGTGGGGAAAAGATTACCTATTTAATAAATGATGTTGGGAAAACTGGCTAGCCTTATGCAGGAAACTGAAACTGGACCCCTTCCTTACACCTTATACAAAAATTAACGGAGGCATCACACTACCTGACTTCAAACTATACTACAAGGCTACAGTAACCAAAACAGCATGGTACTGGTACCAAAACAGAGCTATAGATCAATGGAACAGAACAGAGCCCTCAGAAATAACGCTGCATATCTACAACTATCTGATCTTTGACAAACCTGACAAAAACAAGAAATGGGGAAAGGATTCCCTATTTAATAAATGGTGCTGGGAAAACTTTCTACATAGCCATATGTAGAAAGCTGAAACTGGATCCCTTCCTTACACCTCATACAAAAATCAATTCAAGATGGATTAAAGATTTAAACCTAAAACCATAAAAGCCCTAGAAGAAAACCTAGCCATTACCATTCAGGACATAGGCATGGGCAAGGACTTCATGTCCAAAACACCAAAAGCAATGGCAACAAAAGACAAAATTGACAAATGGGATCTAATTAAACTAAAGAGCTTCTGCACAGCAAAAGAAACTACCATCAGAGTGAACAGGCAATACAAAATGGGAGAAAATTTTTGCAACCTACTCATCTGACAAAGGGCTAATATCCAGAATCTACAATGAACTCAAACAAATTTACAAGAAAAAAACAAACAACCCCATCAAAAAGTGGGCGAAGGACATGAACAGACACTTCTCAAAAGAAGACATTTATGCAGCCAAAAAACACATGAAAAAATGCTCATCATCACTGGCCATCAGAGAAATGCAAATCAAAACCACTGTGAGATACCATCTCACACCAGTTAGAATGGCAGTCATTAAAAAGTCAGGAAACAACAGGTGCTGGAGAGGATGTGGAGAAATAGGAACACTTTTACACTGTTGGTGGGACTGTAAACTAGTTCAACCATTGTGGAAGTCAGTGTGGCGATTCCTCAGGGATCTAGAACTAGAAATACCATTTGACCCAGCCATCCCATTACTGGGTATATACCCAAAGGACTATAAATCATGCTGCTATAAAGACACATGCACACGTATGTTTATTGCGGCACTATTCACAATAGCAAAGACTTGGAACCAACCCAAATGTCCAACAATGATAGATTGGATTAAGAAAATGTGGCACATATACACCATGGAATACTATGCAGCCATAAAAAATGATGAGTTCATGTCCTTTGAAGGGACATGGATGAAATTGGAAATCATCATTCTCAGTAAACTATCGCAAGAACAAAAAACCAAACACCGCATATTCTCACTCATAGGTGGGAATTGAACAATGAGATCACATGGACACAGGAAGGGGAATATCACACTCTGGGGACTGTGGTGGGGTGGGGGGAGGGGGGAGGGATAGCATTGGGAGATATACCTAATGCTAGATGACGAGTTAGTGGGTGCAGCGCACCAGCATGGCACATGTATACATATGTAACTAACCTGCACAATGTGCACATGTACCCTAAAACTTAAAGTATAATTAAAAAAAAAAAGTGTTCTGTAAAAAAAAAAACAAAAACAAAAAAAACAAAAATTAACTCAAGATAAATTAAAGACTTAAACGTTTAAGTGAGACCTAAAACCATAATAACCCTAGAAGAAAATCTAGGCAATACCATTCAGGACATTGGCATGGGCAAAGACTTCATGACTAAAACACCAAAAGCAATGGCAACAAAAGCCAGAATTGACAAATGGGATCTAATTAAACTAAGGAACTTGTGCAGTTTTATTTGGGAGTGTGCATGAGGTACCTCTGAGTTTCAAAAATGAAGAAAGTAAGTGGTCATGCTTTCCTGACTCTTTGGTAGACACAGCCTTTTAAGACGGTGATTCTGAGCTGTTACGGTTTTGGGTTTCCTATAATACTGAAGCTTACTGCTGACATGTAATCAAGAGCTTGAATTAATTTAAAAAAATCACCCAAATGCACATTAAAAACCTCTTACAACACATGTGCACATTCATAGATAACATGTAGGACTTGATTTTGTATATTAAAAACTTGTAGAAAAGTTCAGGCAGTGCACTTAATGAATGCAACTTGGTCTTTGTAAAATCAGTGATATATATTTCAGATCTATCCACATTGACCCAGTGAGGTATTTCTTGATTTATTGTATGATCTCATGATATGCCATGTGATGACTACAGCATATTATGCTCTCTTCATGCCGATACCATATAGACTTAAATATGATGACATACCAACATGGATATGCTTATGTGGTTGCTTTTATTGATTTGTACTATATTAGAAATGAAACAGAAGTATTGGAAATCCTAGCAAGCATAGCTGTATCTCTCCCATGGCTGTGTTGATTGCACCTGTTTCCCCCTTAAAGCATGTCTTTTTGACATGTCCTGACTCTGAGAAAATCCAGTGTGTGCTTTTCAGAGACTAACAGTAAGGAGTGGAAATGGCCAATGGTCAAAGTGTTACTTGTCCTCTTGGCTCCCCTTCATGAATGTTAAACTCTAAACTACTCAGATCACAATTTAGAACCCCTTTGTTGATCCCTATAGAGTGTTCCCAGATGTCAAATGGCAAATAGGACTTTGATGAAGAAACACCCCGTAAAGCCATATTGCTCTGGTTTTTGTGTGTGAATGTGTGTGTGTGTGTGTGTGTGTGTGTATGTGTGTGTATTTTTTTCTCTTCTGAAAACTGTAAATAGAGGAATTTTCATTACAAATGAAAATGTTTCTGTTCCATATTTATTTCCTGTCTAATGTACTTTGCTCTTCTTGGATCTAGTAAGGATCTCAGCTTGTCTTTTTTATACCTGCAAAAAATTATGTCAGTGCTTCATTTTTCATGTCAATTACTGACATGTTTTCAAGTCTTCACAAGTTATTTCTGAAGATTTTGGTGCATCAAGGAGAGACTGTCATTGTAGTTAAAGAAGTTTCTAAATAGGTTATATTGAATAAAATTTCAGAGCTTGTTTCTCTGGAAAGCATAGACATAGTGGTGTTATGGGTAGTTAAACATAAAATAGCTCCACAAAGTGTTGTGTACATAAAAGTGTTCATATCCTGGAAAATTCTAGTTTATTGCTCAGTACTGTCTGCTGGAGAGGAAAACAGGTAGGATAGGCTGCTGAGCCTATGATAATAACTCATAATATGAGGTGAAAGCATAGAGACAAAATGAGAGATGATAGATACTCAAACCGATGTGAGTGAAGAACAGCTGTGAAAGAGTGTCTATGGGAGAGAGGAGGCCATGGGGCTGCTTTTGTGAAGAAGGAATTTGTACACGTTAGTCAAGTGTCTGACACATTTAACATTTTAATAAAGCAAAACCTTATCCTCACATGTGTCAGAATGGGATTGTACAGATGTCACATACAGTGGTGGTGAAAATAATGAAGAAACGAATGTGGAGGTCAAAGAATCAAGTCCACCAATATGGATGTTAGATTTATGAACAAAAAAGAGTGTATGTCAAATTGGGCAGGTGTAAACAAAGAAAGCAGCTAGTGAGGTAATTTGGAGGTTTCTGATGAGGAGACTTGTGGGAAGTCGCTTAATGGAAAGCAGAAGCAGAAGTTAGAAGGATGAGGGTAACCCACAGGGTCTCATTTCTTCTCCCTAGAAGTTTTGCACATCAGTGATACATGCTTTGTTCACATCAGATTTTTGTTTTTTGGTTTTTTTTTGAAAGCTGTGTTTGCTGAGGTAGTTATTTTGTAAAAGAACCTGAGAGACCCCGATGGTATATCATGTGAAACTAGATTTAAAAAAAAAAGGAATCAAAGAATGTATTTTAAGAGTACTAAACAGATAACTGCCAATAATCATGACAATCATGACATATGTATATATATGTATTATGTCATATTGGTTGGTTATTTATAAGAAAAGAAGTCTCTAGTGATTTAGAAACTTTGTTTAGTTTATTTTCATAGGAATCTGATTACACATTATTTCATTGATGTGTATGTTTTTGCAAAAGTGGACGAAGAGACAGTGAGAAAGTCGAACTGCTGAATCCAGGAAATGTAAAAACATCAGGAGTCTTCATGAGTATAAATAAAATGATTTTTAAAATTATAACTCTTAGATTAAGTGAACTCACTTCAGATGCATTTAGAATATTTGCATAAGGGATGATTTGATTTTTGGCTGCTCCAGGAACTACTGGAAGCAGGAAAGAGTGATAGAATTGGGATAAACCACAGTGACTCATTGCTCCTCTTTGTTACCATTGGGCACCAGAGGTATATGTTTTGTTGACATTGGTTATTCAAATGAGATAAACGTGAATATGCATACATTGGCTTTGTTTTTCAAGGAGCTATTGGATAAAATAGCAACTTAGATATATAATCATGTCATCTGCAAACAGGGACAATTTGACTTCCTCTTTTCCTAATTGAATACCCTTTATTTCCTTCTCCTGCCTAATTGCCCTGGCCAGAACTTCCAACACTATGTTGAATAGGAGTGGTGAGAAAGGGCATCCCTGTCTTGTGCCAGTTTTCAAAGGGAATGCTTCCAGTTTTTGCCCATTCAGTATGATATTGACTGTGGGTTTGTCATAGATAGCTCTTATTATTTTGAAATATGTCCCATCAATACTGAATTTATTGAGAGTTTTTAGCATGAAGGGTTGTTGAATTTTGTCAAAGGCTTTTTCTGCATCTATTGAGATAATCATGTGGTTTTTGTCTTTGGCTCTGTTTATATGCTGGATTACATTTATTGATTTGCATATATTGAACCAGCCTTGCATCCCAGGGATGAAGCCCACTTGATCATGGTGGATAAGCTTTTTGATGTGCTGCTGGATTCGTTTTGCCAGTATTTTATTGAGGATTTTTGCATCAATGTTCATCAAGGATATTGGTCTAAAATTCTCTTTTTTTGTTGTGTCTCTGCCTGGCTTTGGTATCAGAATGATACTGGCTTCATAAAATGAGTTAGGGAGGATTCCCTCTTTTTCTATTGATTGGAATAGTTTCAGAAGGAATGGTACCAGTTCCTCCTTGTACCTCTGGTAGAATTCGGCTGTGAATCCATCTGGTCCTGGACTCTTTTTGGTTGGTAAGCTATTGATTATTGCCACAATTTCAGATCCTGTTATTGGTCTATTCAGAGATTCAACTTCTTCCTGGTTTAGTCTTGGGAGAGTGTATGTGTCTAGGAATTTATCCATTTCTTCTAGATTTTCTAGTTTATTTGCGTAGAGGTGTTTGTAGTATTCTCTGATGGTAGTTTATTTCTGTGGGATCGGTGGTGATATCCCCTTTATCATTTTTTATTGCGTCTATTTGAATCTTCTCTCTTTTTTTCTTTATTAGTCTTGCTAGTGGTCTCTCAATTTTGTTGATCCTTTCAAAAAACCAGCTCCTGGATTCATTAATTTTTTGAAGGGGTTTTTGTGTCTCTATTTCCTTCAGTTCTGCTCTGATTTCAGTTATTTCTTGCCTTCTGCTAGCTTTTGAATGTGTTTGCTCTTGCTTTTCTAGTTCTTTTAATTGTGATGTTAGGGTGTCAATTTTGGATCTTTCCTGCTTTCTCTTGTGGGCACTTAGTGCTATAAATTTCCCTCTACACACTGCTTTGAATGTGTCCCAGAGATTCTGGTATGTTGTGTCTTTGTTCTCATTGGTTTCAAAGAACATCTTTATTTCTGCCTTCATTTTGTTATGTACCCAGTAGTCATTCAGGAGCAGGTTGTTCAGTTTCCATGTAGTTGAGCGGTTTTGAGTGAGATTCTTAATCCTGAATTCTAGTTTGATTGCACTGTGGTCTGAGAGATAGTTTGTTATAATTTCTGTTCTTTTACATTTTCTGAGGAGAGCTTTACTTCCAAGTATGTGGTCAATTTTGGAATAGGTGTGGTGTGGTGCTGAAAAAATGTATATTCTGTTGATTTGGGGTGGAGAGTTCTGTAGATGTCTATTAGGTCCACTTGGTGCAGAGCTGAGTTCAATTCCTGGGTATCCTTGTTGACTTTCTCTCTTGTTGATCTGTCCAATGTTGACAGTGGGGTGTTAAAGTCTCCCATTATTAATGTGTGGGAGTCTAAGTCTCTTTGTAGGTCACTCAGGACTTGCTTTATGAATCTGGGTGCTCCTGTATTGGGTGCATATATATTTAGGATAGTTAGCTCTTCTTGTTGAATTGATCCCTTTACCATTATGTAATGGCCTTCTTTGTCTCTTTTGATCTTTGTTGGTTAAAAGTCTGTTTTATCAGAGACTAGGATTGCAACCCCTGCCTTTTTTTTGTTTTCCATTTGCTTGGTAGATCTTCCTCCATCCTTTTATTTTGAGTCTATGTGTGTCTCTGCACGTGAGATGGGTTTCCTGAATACAGCACACTGATGGATCTTGACTCTTTATCCAATTTGCCAGTCTGTGTCTTTTAATTGGAGCATTTAGTCCATTTACATTTAAAGTTAATATTGTTATGTGTGAATTTGATCCTGTCATTACGATGTTAGCTGGTTATTTTGCTCGTTAGTTGATGCAGTTTCTTCCTAGTCTTGATGGTTTTTACATTTTGGCATGATTTTGCAGAGTCTGGTACCGGTTGTTCCTTTCGATTTTTAGCGCTTCCTTCAGGAGCTCTTTTAGGGCAGGCCTGGTGGTGACAAAATCTCTCAGCATTTGCTTGTCTGTAAAGTATTTTATTTCTCCTTCACTTATGAAGCTTAGTTTGGCTGGATATGAAAATTGTATATCTAGAAAACCCTATTGTCTCAGCCCAAAATCTCCTTAAGCTGATAAGCAACTTCAGCAAAGTCTCAGGATACAAAATCAATGTGCAAAAATCACAAGCATTCTTATACACCAACAACAGACAAACAGAGAGCCAAATCATGAGTGAACTCCCATTCACAATTGCTTCAAAGAGAATAAAATACCTAGGAATCCAACTTACAAGGGATGTGAAGGAACTCTTCAAGGAGAACTACAAACCACTGCTCAAGGAAATAAAAGAGGATACAAACAAATGGAAGAACATTCCATGCTCATGCATAGGAAGAATCAATATCGTGAAAATGGCCATACTGCCCAAGGTAATTTACAGATTCAATGCCATCCCCATCAAGCTACCAATGCCTTTCTTCACAGAATTGGAAAAAACTACTTTAAAGTTCATATAGAACCAAAAAAGAGCCCACATCGCCAAGTCAATCCTAAGCCAAAAGAACAAAGCTGGAGGCATCACACTACCTGACTTCAAACTATACTACAAGGCTACAGTAACCAAAACAGCATGGTACTGGTACCAAAACAGAGCTATAGATCAATGGAACAGAACGGAGACCTCAGAAATAATGCTGCATATCTACAGCTACCTGATCTTTGACAAACCTGAGAAAAACAAGCAATGGGGAAAGGATTCCCTATTTAAAAATGGTGCTGGGAAAACTGGCTAGCCATATGTAGAAAGCTGAAACTGTATCCCTTCCTTACACCTTATACAAAAATCAATTCAAGATGGATTAAAGACTTAAACGTTAGACCTAAAACCATAAAAACCCTAGAAGAAAACCTAGCCATTACCATTCAGGACATAGGCATGGGCAAGGACTTCATGTCTAAAACACCAAAAGCAATGGCAACAAAAGACAAAATTGACAGATGGGATCTAATTAAACTAAAGAGCTTCTGCACTGCAAAAGAAACTACCATCAGAGTGAACAGGCAACCTACAAAATGGGAGAAAATTTTTGCAACCTACTCATCTGACAAAGGGCTAATATCCAGAATCTACAATGAACTCAAACAAATTTACAAGAAAAAAACAAACAACCCCATCAAAAAGTGGGCAAAGGACATGAACAGACACTTCTCAAAAGAAGACATTTATGCAGCCAAAAAACACATGAAAAAATGCTCATCATCACTGGCCATCAGAGAAATGCAAATCAAAACCACAATGAGATACCATCTCACACCAGTTAGAATGGCCATCATTAAAAAGTCAGGAAACAACAGGTGCTGGAGAGGATGTGGAGAAATAGGAACACTTTTACACTGTTGGTGGGACTGTAAACTAGTTCAACCATTGTGGAAGTCAGTGTGGAGATTCCTCAGTGATCTAGAAGTGGAAATACCATTTGACCCAGCCATCCCATTAATGGGTATATACCCAAAGGACTATAAATCACGCTGCTATAAAGACACATGCACACGCATGCTTATTACGGCATTATTCACAATAGCAAAGACTTGGAACCAACCCAAATGTCCAACAATGATAGACTGGATTAAGAAAATGTGGCACATATACACCATGGAATACTATGCAGCCATAAAAAATGATGAGTTCATGTCCTTTGAAGGGACATGGATGAAATTGGAAATCATCATTCTCAGTAAACTATCGCAAAAACAAAAAACCAAACACCGCATATTCTCACTCATAGGTGGGAATTGAACAATGAGATCACATGGACACAGGAAGGGGAATATCACACTCTGGGGACTTTTGTGGGGTGGGGGGAGGGGAGAGGGATAGCATTGGGAGATATACCTAATGCTAGATGATGAGATAGTGGGTGCAGCGCACCAGCATGGCACATGTATACATATGTAACTAACCTGCACAATGTGCGCATGTACCCTAAAACTTAAAGTATAATAAAAAAAAGCAACTTAATAAAAATTCTCTAGAGAATAACATGATACTTTAACCAGACTATTTTAGAAGTGAAAATAATGTTGAATTCATTACTTGACTCCCAAATGGTTATTTTCAGGGAATATTGGAGTGATTTCCAGATGTAAAAGCTTATTCATATCTAATGCTTGTAGAAACTTTATTTTGTATAAGTATGTCAAATTTGGTAATTTATTACACTTTTTGATGAAGTTTATATATTATACCTTGTTGCAATGAGTGGATGAAGGAACTTTTAGAAGTCTAAACTAGAAGATACAAGAGATGTAGGCACATTATTACATCATATGGGTGTGAGAAATAATGAATATTACATACTAGAATTCACCAAACATATATCCAAGCTGATTAAGTTAGGACACTTCCACTGAAGAGATTTCAACTAAAGTGTCATTATAATTGTGTACCTTCTCACTGATCAATCAAGTTAAAGAGCATGATGAATGTTTGCAGTAAAATGTTCCAAATCATTCTGATATCTTGCATGAAAGACATGCGGATGCGTGTATCACCTGCTTTGACGTTGATTCCCAGGAGTATGAGTTGGACTCTGATTTTAGATCACATTTGTCCTCATCACTCAGCATATCCACATTGATATTGACATGGTTTTATTTTAGTTTTAGACATATGGAGAAAGTCATATCACATATGAAATTGTCAGTGTATATTTCTTGAAGCCTGTATTCCTATTTTCTTCAGTGTATTTCCTTCATGTTTAGTCCCAAGAAACAAAGTATAAAATATCAAAGCCTACAGTAATACAGGCAGGAGTACAAAACTTGATGCTAACATGCTATCCATGCATTTATGTATGGATAACATTATCATATTTACATATGATTGATTATGTATCCCTTTTGCTTTTCAGTGTCTTCTCAGAAACAACCAGCTGAGAAGGTAATTAAAGTCTCATTTATATGTTGAACTATTAACTGTATAGTCTATGAAACCTACTTTACATATTGATTATTTTGCTTCAAATCCCATTCAGGCTACAAGTGACGACAAAGATTCTGTTTCAAATATAGCCACAGAAATAAAGGAGGGACCAATATCTGGGACAGGTAATTTTGCAAAACACATCTAATGTCATGTTCAATCAAGATGGAAGAGAACTTCCCTTACCCAAATAAATCAGTGGGGAGTCCATCTAAGCTGCACGTTCTGATTCAGTACACCTGAGATTCTTCATTTGTAGTGAGTTCTCAGGTGACCCTGATGCTGCTGGTCCTTGGTCATGATCTGAGTAGTAAGATTGTAGACTTCCCTACATTGAAATTGGGAAGAAAAACCATTGGAGAGAAGTTCAACACATACCAGGCTAAGGGAGCAGCATAATTTTGCTTTAATTTTACAGCATGTTTCCATCAAGAGGGAAAAGAGAACGAGATGAAGTAATAGATATTATAGGCATCGTATCATATTGTTATCAACAGAGGGAAAAGTGATCCTAATAACTCCATAAACACTGTAGAACGAGAGCTAAGAAGACCACTGATGTAGCAATTATTTTCCTCAAGGAAGAGGGATTGTGAGGCAGGAAGGAGGAAAAAGAAGGTATTTATGTAATTTTGGGGTTTCTGCTGAGGAAACCTGAGTGAACTCATTTCAGATGCATTTGGAATATTTGCATAAAAGAAGATTTGATTTTGGCTGCTCCAAGAACTACTGGAAGCAGGAAACAGTGCTAGAATCGGGATAAACCACAGTGACTCATTACTCCTCTTTGCTACTATTAGGCATCAGGGACACATGTTTTGTTGACTTTACTTATAAAAATGAGATAAACTTGCATATGAATACATTGGCTTCCTTGTTCAAGGAGCTAACTCTTGGATAAAATAGGTATTTAATGAAACTTCCTTAGAGACTAACATGATACTCCCAACAAGGCTATTTTAGAAACAAAAATGATGTTGAATTCTAATTAACTCCTAAAGTGGTGATTTTCAATGAATATTGGAGTGATTTCTGAATGTAAAACTTATTAATATCTAATGCTTGTAGCAGTTTTACTTTGTAGAAGTATGTTAACATTGGTAATTGATATTTTTATTGAGGCTAATATATTATCGTTTGTTGCCATGAGCGGATGAAGAAACTTTCAGAAGGCTAAACTAGTGGATACAAGAATCTTAGGCAAATTATTACACCACATGGGTGTGAGAAATAATGAATATTATCTACTAGATTTTAGGAAACATATCCAAGGTGATCAATTTAGGACACTTCCACTGAAGAGATGTGAAGAGAACATTTAACTGAATTGTCATCGTAATTGTGTACCTCCTAGTTATTGGGCAAGTTAAAGGGCATGATGAATGTTTGAAGTATAATGGTGTAAATCCTTCTGATTTCTTGCAAGAAAGACATGAGGGATCATATACCACCTGCTTTGACATTGATTCTCAGGTGTGTGAGTTACTCCTCTGATTTGTCCTCATCACTCGGCATATCCACATTGATATTGACACGGTTTTATTTTAGTTTTAGATGTATCACGAATCATACCATGTTTGAAATTGTAAGGGTATATTTTGTGAAGCCTGTATTCCTTTTTTTTCAGTGTATTTCTGTCATGTTCCAGTCTCCAGACAAAAAGTAGAAAACATCAAAGCCTACACTAGTACAGGCAGGAAGATACAGCTTGATGCTAACACTGCATGAATGTATGGATAAATTTATCATATGTACATGTGAGTGATTATGTTTCCCTTTTGCTTTTCAGTGTCTTCTCAGAAACAACCAGCTGAGAAGGTAATTAAAGTCTCATTTATATGTTGAACTATTAACTGTATAGTCTATGAAACCTACTTTACATATTGATTATTTTGTTTCAAATCCCATTCAGGCTACAAGTGACGAGAAAGATTCTGTTTCAAATATAGCCACAGAAATAAAGAAGGGACAACAATCTGGGACAGGTAATTTTGCAAAACACATTTAATGTCATGTTCAGTCAAGATAGAAAAGTACTTCTCTTCCCCGAATAAATCAGCAGGGGATTCATTGAAGCTGCACATTCTGATTCAGCAGGCCTGAGATTCTTCAGTTCTCAGGTGACACTGATGCTGCTGGTCTTCGACATGATCTTTGCAATAAGATTATAGACTTCCCCACATTGAAATTGGGAAGAAGAAACGTTGGAGAGCCATTAAAGACATAAGGAGTCAGGGGACAGCATAATTTTGCATTAATTCTACAGCATGTTTTCACCAAGGGAGGAAGGAGAAAGAGATGAAGTATAGATTTTACAGACATCACATCGTATTGCTAAAAACAGATGGGGAAATCATGGTAATAACCCATAAACACTGTAGAACGAGAGCTAAGGAGACCACTGATGTAGCAATGACTTTCCTCAAGGAAGAGGATTGTCAGGCAGGAAGGAGGGAAAATAAGTTATTTATGTAATTTTGGGGTTTCTTCTGAGGAAACCTGAGTTCAGTTGCATATTTGAACATTTTTGTAAAAGAAGCTTTGATTTTGGCTGCTTTAGGAAACAGTGGAAGCAGGAAGGAGTACTAGAACTGGGATAAACCACAGTGACTCATTACTCCTCTTTGTTACTGTTGGGCATCAGAGATATACGTTTTGTTGATATTAGTTATTCAAATGAGATAAACATGAATATGCATATATTGGCTTTGCTTTTCAATTAGCTAACTTTTGGATAAAAATAACAATTTAATGAAAATGCTTTAGAGAATAACATGATATTTTATACCAGACTATTTTAGAAAAAAAAATTAATGGTGAATTCATTAATTGACTTTTAAAATTCTTATTTTCAATGAATATTGGAGGGATTTCCAAATGTCAAAGGTTATTCATATCTAATGCTTGTAGCAACTTTATTTTGTATAAGTATGTCAAATTTGATCATTTATTATACTTTTTGATAAGGTTTATGTATTATATTTGTTGCCATGAGTGGATGAAGAACCTTTCTGTAGCCTAAACTAGAGGACACAACAAATGTAGGCACATTATTACACCACATGGGTTTGAGAAATAAAGAATATTATATTCAGGATTATCCCAACCTATATCCAAGCTGTTGAGGCTGGGCCACTTCCACCGAGGACTCGTGAAGTGTACATTCTACTAAAGTGTCATTGTCATTGTGTACCTCCTCAATTACCAGGCAAGTTAAAAGAGCGTGATGAATACTTGCAGTATAATGGTATAAATCCTTCTGATGTCTTGCATGAAAAACATGCAGTAGCATTTAGTACCTTCTTTGACATTGATTCCTGGGTGTATGAGTTGCTCCTCTGATTTTAGATCACATTTCTTTTCATCATTCGGCATATCCACATTGATATTGACACTTTTTATTTCAGTAATACACACATGATGCATAATACCTCTTTGTAATTTCTGACTGTATATTTTCTGGAAGCGTGTATTCCTGTTTTCTTCAGTGTATTTCCTCATGTTCCCGTCCCAAAGACACAAACTGTAAAACATCAAATCCTACACTAGTGCAGGCAGGAGGATACAGCTTGATGCTAACACTGCATGAATGTATGGATGACTTTGTCATATTTACATATGATGGATTATATATTTCTTTTACTTTTCAGTGTCTCCTCAGAAACAATCGGCCTGGAAGGTAGTTACTCTTTCATTTATATTTTGAATTATTTATTTTATAGCCTATGAAATATGTATTATATATTGACTATTTTGTTTCTCTTTCCATTCAGGTTATATTTAAAAAGAAAGTTTCTCTTTTGAATATTGCCACAAGAATAATGGGTGGTGGGAAATCTGGAACAGGTAATTTGGCAATACACATTTAATGTCATGTGCACTCAAGACAGAAGAGAACGTCCCACCCCTGAATAGATCAGTGGGGTGTCATTGAAAATGCACTTTCTGATTCAGCAGGCCTGAGATTATGCATTTCTAGTAAGTTGTCAGGTGGTGCTGATGCTGCTGGTCCTTGGCCATGATCTTAGTAACAAGCTTGTAGAGTTCCCTACATTGAATTTGGATAGAAGAACCATTGGAAAACAGTTCAAGACATAAGAGGATCGGAGGACAGCATAATTTTTCTCTTATTTCAGAGCATGTTTCTATGGAGAGGGGAAGGAGAAAGAGAAGAAGTAACAGAAATTATAGATGTCAGATGGTACTGCTAAAACCAGAGGGAGGAAGTTGTCATAATAACCCGTAGACACTGGAGAATGAGAAACAAAGTGACCACTGATGTAGTAATTATTTTCATCAAGAAAGAGGGATTGCAAGGCAAGAAAGAGGGGAAGGAAGAAGTTATTTATGTAATTTTGGGGTTTCTGCTGAGGAAACCTGAGTGAACTCACTTCAGATGCATTTAGAATGTTTGCATACCAGAAGATTTGATTTCTGACTGCTCCGATGACTACTGGAATCAGGAAGGAGTGCTAGAGTTGGGATAAACCACAGTGCCTCATTCCTGTTTATTAGTATCAGGCATCAGACATATATTTTTTTTTAGTTATTCAAATGAGTTAAAATTTAATACGATTATATTAGCTTTTTTCCAAAGTGCTGGCTTTTTCATTAAAATAGCTATTTAGTGAAAATTCTTTATAATACAATGATATTCCAGAGTAGACTAATTTTGCAGACAAAAATAATACTAAATGTATTAATTGAATCCTAAAATGGTTATTTTCAGTGAATATTGGACTGATATCCAAATGTAAAAGCTTATTAATATCTAATGCCAGGAGCCATTGCATTTTGTATAAATATGTGTAATTTATTGTACTTTTTGATGAGGTTTATATATTATACCTTCCTGCCATTAGTGGATGAAGAAAATTACTGAAGGCTAAACTAGAGGATACAAGAAATGTAGGCAGATTATTCCACCACATGTGTATGATAAATAATGAATACTATCTACTAGGATTCACCAACCATATATCCAAGCTGATCAATTTAGATCCCTTCCACTTAAGAGACGTGAAGTGTACATTCATCTGAAGTGTCATTGTAATTGTGTACCTTCTCAGTTATCAGGCAAGTTAGAGCATGATGAATGTTTGTAGTATAGTAGTGTAAATCCTTTTGATACCTTGCATGAAAGACATGGAGGATGATGTAGCACCTGCTTTGACATTGATTCTCAGGTGTATGAGTTGCTCCTCTGATTTTAGATCACTTTTGTCCTCATCATTCAGCATATTCACATTGATAGTAACACTGTTTCATTTTAGTTTTAGACATATGAAAAATCATACCATGATTGACATTGTAAGGGTTTATTTTGTGAAACCTGTATTTCTTTTTTTTCAGTGTATTTCTGGTCATGTTCCAGTCCCCAGACACAAAAATCAAAGCCTATACTAATACAGGCAGGAGCATACAGCTTGATGCTAACACTTCATGAATGTATAGATAACTTTATCATATTTACATATGAGTGATTATGTATCCCTTTTGCTTTTCAGTGTCTTCTCAGAAACAACCAGCCTCAAAGGTAATTAAACTCTCATTTATATTTTGTATTAGTAACTGTATAGTCCATGAAACATACTTTCTTTATTGATAATTTGCTTCAAATTACTTTCAGGCTACAAGTGACAAGACAGATTCTGCTTTGAATATAGCTACAGAAATAAAGGATGGACTACAGTGTGGGACAGGTAATTTTGCAAAACACATTTAATGTCATGTTCAGTCCAGATAGAAAAGAACTTCTCTTCCCTGAATAAATCAGCGGGGGGCTCGTCAAAGCTGCACATTCTGATTCAGCAGGCCCGAGATTCTTCATTTGTAATAAGTTCTCGGGTGATGCTGATGCTGCTGGTCTTGGACCTGATCTTCGCAGTAAGATTATAGACTTCCCCACATTGAAATTGGGAAGAAGAAACATTGGAGAGCAGATCAAGACATAAGGGGTTCAGGGGACAGCATAATTTTGCTTTAATTCTACAGCATGTTTTCACCAAGGGTGGAAGGAGAATGAGTTGAAGTATAGATTTTACAGACGTCACATCTTATTGCTAAAAACAGATGGAAAAGTGATCGTAATAACCAGTAAAAATTGTAGAATGAGAACTAACGAGACCACTGATGTAGCAATTATTTTCCTCAAGGAAGAGGGTTGTGAGGCAGGAAGGAGGGAAAAGATGAAGTTATTTATGCAATTTTGGGGTTTCTGCTGAGGAAACCTGAGTGAACTCACTTCGGATGCATTTAGCATATTTACACAAAAAAGATTTGATTTTGGCAGCTCCAGGAACTACTGGATGAAGCAAAGAAAGCTAGAATTGGGATAAACCACATTGACTAATTACTTCTGTTTGCTACTATTAGGCATAAGACATATATCTTTTGTTGATTTTTGTTATAAAAATTAGATAAACTTGAATATCAGTACATTGGCTTCTTTCATCAAAGAGCTATCTCACGGATAAAATAGCTATTTAATGAATATTATTTAGAGAATAGTATGATCCTCCTAACAAGACAATTTTAAAAACAAATATAATGTTGAGTTCATCAACTGACTCTTAAAATGGTCATTTTCAATGAATATTGGAGTGATTTCCAAATATAAAAGCTTATTAATATCCAATGCTTTTAGCAGTTTTATTTAGTAGAAGTATGTCAAAATTGATAATTGATGATGCTTTTTATTGAGGTTTATATATTATACTTTGTGGCCATGAGTGGATGAAGAAATGTCCAGGAAGGCTAAACTAGAGAATACAGGAAACTTAGGCAAATTGTTGCACCACATGGATATGAGAAATAATGAATATTATTTACTCGGATTAAGGAAACATATATCCAAGCTGATCAATTTAGGACACTTCACTGAAGAGACAGAGACATAATGTGTACATTCAACTGAAGTGTCACTGTAATTGTGTACCTTCTCAGTTACTGGGCAAGTTAATGAACATGATGAATGTTTGCAGTATAATGGCGTAAATCATTTGGATATCTTGCATAAAAGACATGTGGGTGCATGTGCCACCTGCTTTGACATTTTCCCAGGTGATTGAGTTTCCCCTCTGATTTTTGATCACATTTGTCGTGATCACTTGGCATACCCTTTTTGATATTGACACTGATTTATTTTTCTTTTAGATATACGAGAAATCATATTATGTTTGAAATAGTTAGGAATATATCGTGGCACATCTATTTCTGTTTTCTTTAGTATATTTGTGTCATGCTCCTGGCTTAAGACATAAAGTAGAAAACATCAAAGCCTACACTAATACAGGCAGGCGGATACAGCTTGATGCTAACACCGCATGAATGTATGGAAAATGTATCATATTTACATATGAGTGATTATGTATCCCTTTTGCTTTTCAGTGTCTTCTCAGAAACAACCAGCCTTGAAGGTAATTAAACTCTCATTTATATTGTGAACTAGTAAATCTATAGTCTATGAAATATACTTCATTGATTTATTTATTTATTATTTTCTTTCAAATTCCATTCAGGCTACAACTGACGAGGAAGACTCTGTTTCGAATATAGCCACAGAAATAAAGGATGGAGAAAAATCTGGGACAGGTAATTTTGCAAAACACATTCAATGTCATGTTCAATCCAGATAGAAAAGAACTTCTCTACCCCTAATAAATCAGCGGAGGGCGGGTGGGGGGGCTCGCCGAAGCTGCACATTCTGATCCAGCAGGTCTGAGAGTCTTCATTTGTAATAAATTCTTGGGTGACGCTAATGCTGCTGGCTTGGAACATGATCTTCGCAGTAAGATTATACACTTCCCCACATTGAAATTGGGAAGAAGATATATGGAGAGAGGTTCAAGACATAAGGGGCTCTGGGGAACAGCATAGTTTTGCTTTAATTCTACAGCATGGTTTCACTAAGGTGAAAGGAGAAAGAGAAGAAGTATAGATTCTACAGACGTCACATAGTACTGCTAAGAAAAGACAGAAAACTGATAGTAATAACCCATAGACACTGTAGAACGAGAACTAAGGAGACCCCTGATGTAGCAATTATTTTCCCAAGGAAGATGGATTGTCAGACAGGAAGGAGGGAAAAGAAGTTATTTATATAATTTAGGGGTTTCTGCTGAGGAAATCTGAGTGAACTCACTTCACACGCATTTGGAATATGTGCCTAAAAAATATTTGATTTTGGCAGCTCCAGGAATTACTGGAAGCAGGAAACAATGCTAGAATTGGGATAAAGCACACTGACTCATTACTCCTTTTTGTTACTATTAGGCATCAGAGATACATGTTTTGTTGACTTTACTTATAAAAATGAGATAAAGTTGAATATGAATACATTGGCTTCCTTGTTCAAGGAGCTACCTCTTGGATAAAATAGCTATTTCATGAAACTTCTTTAGAGACTAACATGATACTCCCAAGAATGCTATTTTAGAACAAAAATTATGTTGAATTCTAATTAACTCCTAAAATGGTAATTTTCAATGAATATTGCAGTGATTTCTGAATGAAAAACTGATTAATATCTAATGCTTGTAGCAGTTTTACTTTGTAGAAGTATGTCAAAATTGATAATTGATGATATTTTTATTGAGGCTGATATATTATGCTTTGGTGCCACGACTGGATGAAGAAATTTTCGGAAGGCTAAACTAGTGGATACAAGATACTTAGGCAAATTATTACACCACATGGGGGTGAGAGATAATGAATATTATCTACTAGGTATCAGCAAACAGATATCCAAGGTGATCAATTTAGGACACTTCCACTGAAGAGATGTGAAGTATACGTTCAACTGAATTGTCGTGGTAACTGTGTGCCTTCTCAGTTATTGGGCAAGTTAAAGAGCATGATGAATGTTTGTAGTACAATGGTGTAAATCCTTTTGATTTCCTGCATGAAAGACATGTGGGATCATGTAGCACCTGCTTTGACATTGATTCTCACATGTATGAGTTGCTCCTCTGATTTTAGATCACTTTGTCCTCATCACTCGGCATATCCACATTGATATTGACACGGTTTTATTTTAGTTTTCGACATATGACGAATCATACCATGTTTGAAATTGTAAGGATATATTTCATGGAGCCTGTATTCCCTTTTACCAGTGTATTTCTGTCATGTTCCAGTCCCAAGAGACAAAGTAGAAGACATCAGAGCCTACACTAGTACAGGCAGAAGGATACAGCTGGATGCTAACACTGTGTGAATGTATGGATAACTTTATCATATTTACATATGAGTGATTATGTATCCCTTTTGCTTTTCAGTGTCTTCTCAGAAGCAACCAGCCTTGAAGGTAATTAAACTCTCGTTTACATTGTGAACTAGTAATTCTATAGTCTATGAAACATACTTCATTGATTTATTTATTTATTATTTTCTTTCAAATTCCATTAAGGCTACAACTGACGAGGAAGATTCTGTTTCGAATATAGCCACAGAAATAAAGGATGGAGAAAAATCTGGGACAGGTAATTTTGCAAAACACATTCAATGTCATGTTCAATCCAGATAGAAAAGAACTTCTCTACCCCGAATAAATCAGCGGAGGGTGGGTGGGGGGCTCGCCTAATCTGCACATTCTGATTCAGCAGGCCTGAGAGTCTTCATTTGTAATAAATTCCTGGGTGACGCTAATGCTGCTGGCTTGGAACGTGATCTTCGCAGTAAGATTATACACTTCCCCACATTGAAATTGGGAAGAAGATACATGGAGAGAGGTTCAAGACATAAGGGGCTCTGGGGAACAGCATAGTTTTGCTTTAATTCTACAGCATGGTTTCACTAAGGGTGGAAGAAGAAAGAGAGGAAGTATAGATTCTACAGACGTCACATAGTACTGCTAAGAAAAGACAGAGAACTGATAGTAATAACCCATAGACACTGTAGAACGAGAACTAAGGAGACCCCTGATGTAGCAATTATTTTCCCAAGGAAGATGGATTGTCAGACAGGAAGGAGGGAAAAGAAGTTATTTATATAATTTAGGGGTTTCTGCTGAGGAAATCTGAGTGAACTCACTTCACATGCATTTGGAATATGTGCCTAAAAAATATTTGATTTTGGCAGCTCCAGGAATTACTGGAAGCAGGAAACAATGCTAGAATTGGGATAAAGCACACTGACTCATTACTCCTTTTTGTTACTATTAGGCATCAGAGATACATGTTTTGTTGACTTTACTTATAAAAATGAGATAAAGTTGAATATGAATACATTGGCTTCCTTGTTCAAGGAGCTACCTCTTGGATAAAATAGCTATTTCATGAAACTTCTATAGAGAACAACATGATACTCCCAAGAAGGCTATTTTAGAAACAAAAATTATGTTGAATTCTAATTAACTCCTAAAATGGTAATTTTCAATGAATATTGCAGTGATTTCTGAATGAAAAACTGATTAATATCTAATGCTTGTAGCAGTTTTACTTTGTAGAAGTATGTCAAAATTGATAATTGATGATATTTTTATTGAGGCTGATATATTATCCTTTGGTGCCACGACTGGATGAAGAAACTTTCGGAGGGATAAACTAGTGGATACAAGAAACTTAGGCAAATTATTACAACACATGGGTGTGAGAGATAATGAATATTATCTACTAGGTATCAGCAAACAGATATCCAAGGTGATCAATTTAGGACACTTCCACTGAAGAGATGCGAAGTGTACTTTCAAGTGAATTGTCATGGTAATTGTGTGCCTTCTCAGTTATTGGGCAAGTTAAAGAGCATGATGAATGTTTGTAGTACAATGGTATAAATCCTTTTGATTTCCTGCATGAAAGACATGTGGGATCATGTAGCACCTGCTTTGACATTGATTCTCACGTGTATGAGTTGCTCCTCTGATTTTAGATCACTTTGTCCTCATCACTCGGCATATCCACATTGATATTGACACGGTTTTATTTTAGTTTTCGACATATGACGAATCATACCATGTTTGAAACTGTAAGGATATATTTCATGGAGCCTGTATTCCCTTTTACCAGTGTATTTCTGTCATGTTCCAGTCCCAAGAGACAAAGTAGAAGACATCAGAGCCTACACTAGTACAGGCAGAAGGATACAGCTGGATGCTAACACTGTGTGAATGTATGGATAACTTTATCATGTTTATATATGAGTGATTATGTATCCCTTTTTGCTTTTCAGTGTCTTCTCAGAAACAACCAGCCTTGAAGGTAATTAAACTCTCATTTATATTGTGAACTAGTAAATCTATAGTCTATGAAATATACTTCATTGATTTATTTATTTATTACTTTCTTTCAAATTCCATTCAGGCTACAACTGATGAGAAAGATTCTGTTTCGAACATAGCCACAGAAATAAAGGATGGAGAAAAATCTGGGACAGGTAATTTTGCAAAAGACATTTAATGTCATATTCAGTCCAGATAGATAAGAATTTCTCTTTCCTGAATGAATTGGCCTGGGGCTCGTCGAAGCTGCACATTATCATTCAGCTGTCCTGAGATTCTTCATTTGCAGTAAGTTCTTGGGTGATGGTGATGCTGCTGGTCTGGAACATGATCTTCGCAGTAAGATTATACACTTCCCCACATTCAAATTTGGAAGAAGAAATATGGAGAGCAGTTGAAGACATAAGGGGCTCTGGGGAACAGCATAATTTTGCTTTAACTCTACAGCGTTTTCAGTAAGGGTGGAAGGAGAAAGAGAGGAAGTATAGATTTTACAAACGTCACATCGTACTGCTAAAAACAGACAGAAAACTGATTGTAATAACCCATAGACACTGTAGAAGGAGACCTACGGAGACCCCTCCTGTAGCAATTATTTTCCCAAGGAAGACGGATTGTGAGGCAGGAAGGTGGGAAAAGAGGAAGTCATTTATATAATTTTGGGGTTTTTCCTGAGGAAACCTGAGTGAACTCACTTCAGATGCATTTGGAATATTTTCATAAAACATATTTGATTTTGGCAGCACAAGGAAATACTGGAAGTGGGAAACAATGCTAGAATTGCCATAAAAACACACTGCCTCATTACTCCTGTTTGTTAGCATTAGGCATCAGAGATACATGTTTTGTTGATTTTAGTTATAGAAATGAGACCAACTTGAATATGAATATATTGGCTTCCTTGTTCAAGGAGCTACCTCTTGGATAAAATAGCTATTTAATGAAACTTCTTTAGAGAATAACATGATACTCCCAACAAGGCTATTTTAGAAATAAAAATTATGTTGGATTCTAATTAAGTCCTAGAGTGATCATTTTCAATGGATATTGGAATGATTTCTGAATGTAAAACTTAATAATATCTAATGCTAGTAGCAGTTTTACTCTGTAGAATATGTCAAAATTGATAATTGATGATTTTTTATTGTGGCTAATATATTATCCTGTGGTGCCATGAGTGGATGAAGAAACTTTAGGAAGGCTAAACTAGTGGATACAAGAAACTTAAGCAAATTATTACACCACATGGGTGTGAGAGATAATGAATATTATCTACTAGGTATCAGCAAATGGATATCCAAGGTGATCAATTTAGGACACTACCCCTGAAGAGATGTGAAGTGTACGTTCAACTGAAGTGTCATCATAATTGTGTGCTTTCTCAGTTATTGGGCAAGTTAAAGAGCATGATGAACGTTTGTAGTATAATGGTGTAAATCCTTTTGATTTGTTGCATGAAAGACATGTGGGATCATGTAGCACCTGCTTTGACATTCATTCTCAGGTGTATGAGTTTCTCCTCTGATTTTAGATCACATTTGTCCGCATCACTTGGCATATGGACATTGATATTGACACAGTTTGATTTTAGTTTTTGACATATGACAAATTATACCATGTTTGAAATTGTAGGGGTATATTTCATGGAGCCTGTATTCCCTTTTTTCAGTGTATTTCTGTCACGTTCTAGTCCCCAGACTAAAAGTAGAAGCCATCAAAGCCTACGCTAATACAGGCAGGAGAACAGAGGTTGATACAAACACTTCATGAATGTATGGATAACTTTGTCATAGTTACATATGAGTGATTATGTATCCCTTTTGCTTTTCAGTGTCTTCTCAGAAACCACCAGCCTTGACGGTAATGAAACACTCATTTATATTGTGAATGAGTTAAGGTATGGTCTATGAAACATACTTTATTAATTTATTATTTCATTTGAAATTCCATTCAGGCTACAAGTGACGAGGAAGGTTCTGTTTTGAGTATAGCCAGAGAAAACAAGGATGGAGAAAAATCTAGGACAGGTAATTTTGAAAAGAGATTTAATGTCATGTTCAGTGCAGATAGATAAGAAGTTCTCTTCCCTGAATAAATCAGCGGGGGGCTCGTTGAAGCTGCACATTCTGATTCAGCAGTCCTGAGATTCTTCATTTCAAATAAGTTCTTGGGTGATGCTGATGCTGCTGGTCTGGAACATGATCTTCGCAGTAAGATTATACACTTCCCCACATTGAAATTGGGAAGAAGAAATATGGAGAGCAGTTCAAGGCATAAGGGGCTCCGGGGAACAACATAATTTTACTTTAATTCTCCAGCTTGTTTTCAGTAAGGGTGGAAGGAGAAAGAGAGGAAGTATAGAATTTACACACTTCAGCTCGCACTGCCAAGAAAAGACAGAAAGCTTGTTGTAACAACCCGTAGACACTGTAGGAGAACTAAGGAGACCCCTGGTGTAGCAACTATTTTCCTAAGGAAGACGGATTGTGAGGCAGGAAGGTGTGAAAAGAAGAAGTCATTTATATAATTTTGGGGTTTCTGCTGAGGAAACCTGAGTGAACTCACTTCAGATGCACTTGGAATATTTTCATAAAAAATATTTGCTTTTGGCTACTCCAGGAACTACTGGAAGCAGGAAACAATGGTATAATTGGAATACACCACACTGACCCATTACTCCTCTGTTACTATTAGGCATCAGAGATACATGTTTTGTTGATTTTAGTTATAAAAATCAGATAATCTTGAATGTGAATAAATTTTGCTTCCTTGTTCAAGGAGCTACCTCTTGGATAAAAAAGCTATTTAATGAAACTTCTTTAGAGAATAACACGATACTCCCAACAAGACTATTTTAGACACAAGAATGATGTTGAATTCCAATTAACGCCTAAAATAGTCATTTTCAATGAATATTGCAGTGATTTCTGAATGAAAAACTGAGTAATATCTAATGCTTGTAGCCATTTTACTTTGTAGAAGTATGTCAAATGATAATTGATGATATTTTTATTGAGGCTAATATATTATCCTTTGGTGGCAAGATTGGATGAAGAAACTTTCAGAAGCCTAAACTAGTGGATACAAGAAAATTAGGCAAATGATTACACTACATGGGTGTGAGGGATAATGAATATTATCTACTAGGTATCAGCAAACAGATATCCAAGGTGATCAATTCAGGACACTTCCACTGAAGAGATGTGAAGTGTACGTTCAACTGGAGGGTCATCGTAATTGTGTGCCTTCTCATTTATTGGGCAAGTTAAAGAGCATGAAAAATGTTTGTAGTATAATGGTGTAAATCCTTTTGATTTGTTGCATGAAAGACATATGGGATCATGTAGCACCTGTTTTGACATTGATTCTCAGGTGTGTGAGTTGCTCCTCTGATTTTAGATCACATTTGTCCTCATCACTCGGCATATCCACATTGGGATTGACACGGTTTTATTTTAGCTTTCGACACATAAAAAATCATACTGTGTTTGAAATTGTAAGGGTATATTTCACGGAGCCTGTGTTCCCTTTTTTCAGGGTATTTCTGACATGTTCTGGTCCCCAGACAGAAAGTAGAAGCCATCAAAGCGTACACTAATACAGGCAGGAGGACAGAGGTTGATGCTAACACTGTGTGAATGTATGGATAACTTTATCATATTTACATGTGAGTGATTATGTATCCCTTTTGCTTTTCAGTGTCTTCTCGGAAAAAACCAGCCTTGAAGGTAATGAAACTCTCATTCATATTGTGAGCTAGTAAACGTATAGCCTATGAAACATACCTTATTTATTATTTTGTTTCAAATTCCACTCAGGCTACAAGTGATGAGAAGGATTCTTTTTCGAATATAACCAGAGGAAAAAAGGATGGAGAAATATCTAGGAAAGGTAATTTTGCGAAACACATTTAATGTCATGTTCAGTCCAGACAAGAAGTTCTCTTCCCCGAATAAATCAGTGGGGGGCTGGTCAAAGATGCACATTCTGATTCAGCAGGCCTGAGATTCTTCATTTCTAATAAGTTCTTGGGTTATGCTGATGCTACTGGTCTGGAACATGATCTTCACTGTAAGATTATACGCATCCCCACATTACAATTGGGAGGAAGAAATATGGAGAGCAGTTGAAGACATAAGGGGCTCTGGGGCCCAGCATAATTCTGCTTTAATTCGGTAGCATCTTTTCATTAAGGGTGTACGGAGAAGGAGAGGAAGTACAGATTTTACAGACGTCACATCGTAGTGCTAAAAACAGACAGAAAACTGTTCATAATAACCCATAGACACTGTAGAAGGAGAACTGAGGAGACCCCTGATGTAGCAATTATTTTCTGAATGAAGACGGATTGTGAGGCAGGAATGTGGGAAAAGAGGAAGTCATTTATATAATTTTGGGGTTACTGCTGAGGAAACCTGAGTGAACTCACTTCAGATGCATTTGGAACATTTGCATAAACAATATTTGATTTTGGCAGCTCCAGCAACTGCTGGAAGCAGGAAACAGTGGTTGAATTGGCATAAAAACAAAATGACTCATTACTCCTCTTTGTTACTATTAGGCATCAGAGATACATATTTTGTTGATTTTAGTTATAGAAATGAGATAAACTTGAATATGAATATGGTGGCTTCCTTGTTCAAGGAGCTACCTCTTGGATAAAATAGCTGTTTAATGAAACTTCTTTAGAAAATAACATGATACTGCCAACAAGGGTATTCTAGAAACAAAAATTATGTTGCATTCCAATTAAGTCCTAGAGTGATCATTTTCAATGAATATTGGAATGATTTCTGAATGTAAAACTTATTATTATCTAATGGTTGTGGCAGTTTTACTTTGTAGAAATATGTCAAAATTGATAATTGATGACATTTTTATTGAGGCTAATATATTATCCTTTGGTGCCATGAGTGGATGAAGAAACATTTGGAAGGCTAAACTAGTGGATACAAGAAACTTAAGCAAATTATTACACTACATGGGTGTGAGAGATAATGAATATTATGTACTAGGTATCAGCAAAGAGGTATCCAAGGTGATCAATGTAGGACACTTCCACTGAAGAGATGTGAAGTGTAAGTTCAACTGAAGCATCATCGCAATTGTGTGCCTTCTCAGTTATTGGGCATGTTAAAGAGCATGATGAATGTTTGTAGTATAAAGGTGTAAATCCTTTTGATTTGTTGCGTGAAAGACATGTGAGATCATGTAGCACCTGCTTTGACATTGATTCTCAGGAGTGTGAGTTGCTCCTCTGATTTTAGATCACATTTGTTCTCATCACTCGGCCTAAGACATTGATATTGATACGGTTTTATTTTAGTTTTCGACACATGAGAAATCATGCCATGTTTGAAATTATAAGGGTATATTTCATGGAGCCTGTATTCCCTTTTCTTAGTGTATTTCTGTCATGTTCTAGTCCCCAGACACAAAGTAGAAGCCATCAAAGCCTATGCTAATACAGGCAGGAGGACAGAGGTTGATGCTAACTCTGCTTGAATGTATGGATATCTTTGTCATATTTATGTATGACTGATTATGAATCCCTTTTGCTTTTCAGTGTCTTCTCAGAAACCACCAACCTTGAAGGTAATGAAACTCCCATTTATCATGTGAACGAGTTAATGTATGGTCTATGAAACATACTTTATTTATTTATTATTTCGTTTCAAATTCCATTCAGGGTACAAGTGACGAGGAAGATTCTGTTTTGGGTATAGCCAGAGAAAACAAGGATGGAGAAAAATCTAGGACAGGTAATTCTGAAAACAGATTTAATGTCATGTTCAGTCCAGATAGATAAGAAGTTCTCTTCCCCAAATAAATCAGCGGGGGGCTCATCGAAGCTGCACTTTCTGATTCAGCAGGCCGGAGATTCTTCATTTGCAGTAGGTTCTTGGGTGATGCTGATGCTGCTGGTCTGGAACATGATCTTCGCCGTAAGATTATACACTTCCACACTTTGAAGTTGGGAAGAAGATATATGGAGAGCAGTTGAAGACATAAGGGTCTCTGGGGAACAGCATAGTTTTGCTTTAATTCTCCAGCTTGTTTTCAGTAAGGGTGGAAGGAGAAAGAGAGGAAGTATCGATTTTACAGACCTCACATCATACTGCTAAAAACAGACAGAAAACTTGTTGTAATAACCCGTACACACTGTAGGAGAACTAAGGAGACCCCTGTTGTAGCAATCATTTTGCCAAAGAAGACGGATTGTGAGGCAGGAAGGTGTGAAAAGAGGAAGTCATTTGTATAATTTTGGGGTTTCTGCTGAGGAAACCTGAGTGAACTCACTTCAGATGCATTTGGAATATTTTAATAAAAAATACTTGATTTTGGCTGCTGCAGGAACTGCTGGAAGAAGGAAACCATTCTGGGATTGGCATAAAAACACACTGACTCATTACTCTCCTTTGTTACTGTTAGACATCAGAGATATATGTTTTGTTGATTTTAGTTATAGAAATGAGACAAGCTTAAATCTGAATACATTAGTTTCCTTGTTCAAGGAGCTACCTCTTGGATACAACAGCTATTTCATGAAACTTCTTTAGCGAATGACATGATACTCCCAACAAGCCTATTTTAGAAAGAAAAATTATGCTGCATTGTAATTAACTCCTAAACTGGTCATTTTCAATGAGTATTGCTGTGATTTCTGAATGAAAAACTGATCAATATCTAATGCTTGTAGCTGTTTTACTTTGTATAGGTATGTCAAAATTGATAATTGATGATATTTTTATTGAGGCTAAGATACTATCCTTTGGTGCCAAGACTGGATGAAGAAAATTTCGGAAGGCTAAAGTAGTGGATACAAAAAACTTAGGCAGATTATTACTCCATATCGGGGTGAGAGATAATGAGTATTATCTACTAGATATCTGCAAACATATATCCAAGGTGATCAATTTAGGACCCTTCCACTGAAGGGATGTGAAGTGTACTTCAACTGAATTGTCATCGTAATTGTGTGCCTTCTCAGTTATTGGGCAAGTTAAAGAGGATGATGAATGTTTGTAGTATAATGGTGTAAATCCTTTTGATTTGTTGCATGAAAGACATGTGGGTACATGTAGCACCTGCTTTGACATTGATTCTCAGGTGCATGAGTTGCCCCTCTGATTTTAGATCACTTTGTCCTCATCACTCGGCATATCCACGTTGATAGTGACACGGTTTTATTTTAGTTTTTGGCATATGACAAATCATACCATGTTTGAAATTCTAAGACTATATTTCATGGAGCCTGTATTCCCTTTTCTCAGCGTATTTCTGTCACGTTCTAGTCCCCAGACACAAAGTAGAAGCCATCAAAGCGTACACTAATACAGGCAGGAGGACAGAGGTTGATGCTAACACTGTATGAATGTATGGATAATTTTGTCGTTTTTACATATGAGTGATTATGAATCCCTTTTACTTTTCAGTGTCTTCTGAGAAACCACCAGGCTTGAAGGTAATGAAACTGTCATTTATATTGTGACCTAGTAAATGCATAGTCTATGAAACATACTTTATTAATTTATTATTTCATTTCAAATTCCATTCAGGCTTCAAGTGCCGAGAAAGATTCTGTTTTGAATATAGCCAGAGGAAAAAAGGATGGAGAAAAAACTAAGAGAGGTAATTTTGAAAAGAGATTTAATGTCATGTTCAGTGCAGATAGATAAGAAGTTCTCTTCCCTGAATAAATCAGCGGGGGGCTCGTTGAAGCTGCACATTCTGATTCAGCAGTCCTGAGATTCTTCATTTCAAATAAGTTCTTGGGTGATGCTGATGCTGCTGGTCTGGAACATGATCTTCGCAGTAAGATTATACACTTCCCCACATTGAAATTGGGAAGAAGAAATATGGAGAGCAGTTCAAGGCATAAGGGGCTCCGGGGAACAACATAATTTTGCTTTAATTCTCCAGCTTGTTTTCAGTAAGGGTGGAAGGAGAAAGAGAGGAAGTATAGAATTTACACACTTCAGCTCGCACTGCCAAGAAAAGACAGAAAGCTTGTTGTAACAACCCGTAGACACTGTAGGAGAACTAAGGAGACCCCTGGTGTAGCAACTATTTTCCTAAGGAAGATGGATTGTGAGACAGGAAGGTGTGAAAAGAGGAAGTCATTTATATAATTTTGGAGTTTCTGCTGAGGAAACCTGAGTGAACTCACTTCAGATGCATTGGGAATATTTCCATAAGAAATATTTGATTTTGGCTACTCCAGGAACTACTGGAAGCAGGAAACAATGGTATAATTGGAATACACCACACTGACCCCTTACTCTTCTTGTTACTAGGAGGCCTCAGAGATACATGTTTTGTTGATTTTAGTTATAAAAATCAGATAATCTTGAATGTGAATAAATTTTGCTTCCTTGTTCAAGGAGCTACCTGTTGGATAAAATAGCTATTTAATGACACTTCTTTAGAGAATAACACGATACTCCCAACAAGACTATTTTAGACACAAGAATGATGTTGAATTCCAATTAACTCCTAAAATGGTCATTTTCAATGAATATTGCAGTGATTTCTGAATGAAAAACTGAGTAATATCTAATGCTTGTAGCCATTTTACCTTGTAGAAGTATGTCAAAGTTGATAATTGATGATATTTTTATTGAGGCTAATATATTATCCTTCGGTGCCAAGAGTGGATGAAGAAACTTTCGGAAGGGTAAACTAGTGGATACAAGAAACTCAGGCAAATTATTACACTACATGGGTGTGAGAGATAATGAATATTATGTACTAGGTATCAGCAAACAGATATCCAAGGTGATCAATTCAGGACACTTGCACTGAAGAGATGTGAAGTGTACGTTCAACTGGAGTGTCATCGTAATTGTGTGCCTTCTCAGTTATTGGGCAAGTTAAAGAGCATGATGAATGTTTGCAGTATAATGGTGTAAATCCTCTTAATTTGTTGCATGAAAGACATGTGGGATCATGTAGCACCTGTTTTGACATTGATTCTCACGTATATGAGTTGCTCCTCTGATTTTAGATCACATTTGTTCTCATCACTCGGCATATCCACATTGAGATTGACACGGTTTTATTTTAGTTTTCGACACATGACAAATCTTACCATGTTTGAAATCGTAAGGGTGTATTTCACAGAGCCTGTGTTCCCTTTTTTCAGTGTATTTCTGTCATGTTCTGATCCCCAGACACAAAGTAGAAGCCATCAAAGCCTCCACTAATACAAGCAGGAGGACAGAGGTTGATGCTAACACTGTGTGAATCTATGGATAATTTTATCATGTTTACATGTGAGTGATTATGTATCCCTTTTGCTTTTCAGTGTCTTCTCGGAAAAAACCATCCTTGGAGGTAATGAAACTCTCATTCATATTGTGAGCTAGTAAACGTATAGCCTATGAAACATACCTTATTTATTACTTTGTTTCAAATTCCATTCAGGCCACAAGTGATGAGAAGGATTCTTTTTCGAATATAACCAGAGAAAAAAAGGATGGAGAAATATCTAGGAAAGGTAATTTTGCGAAACACATTTAATGTCATGTTCAGTCCAGATAAGAAGTTCTCTTCCCCGAATAAATCAGTCGGGGGCTGGTTGAAGCTGCACGTTCTGATTCACCAAGCTTGAGATTCTTCTTTTCTAACAAGTTCTTGGGTTATGCTGATGCTGCTTGTCTGCAGCATGATCTTCGCTGTAAGATTATACGCATCCCCACATTACAATTGGGAGGAAGAAACATGGAGAGCAGTTGAAGACATAAGGGGCTCTGGGGCCCAGCATAATTTTGCTTTAATTCTGTAGCATCTTTTCATTAAGGGTGTAAGGAGAAAGAGAGGAAGTACAGATTTTACAGACGTCACATCATAGTGCTAAAAACAGACAGAAAACTGTTCATTATAACCCGTAGACACTGTAGAAGGAGAACTGAGAAGACCCCTGATGTAGCAATTATTTTCTGAATGAAGACGGATTGTGAGGCAGGAAGGTGGGAAAAGAGGAAGTCATTTATATAATTTTGTGGTTACTGCTGAGGAAACCTGAGTGAACTCACTTCAGATGCATTTGGAATATTTGCATAAACAATATTTGACTTTGGCAGCTCCAGCAACTGCTGGAAGCAGGAAACAGTGTTTGAATTGGCATAAAAACACAATAACTCATTACTCCTCTTTGTTACTACTAGGCATCAGAGATACATCTTTTGTTGATTTTAGTTATAGAAATGAGATAAACTTGAATATGAATATGTTGGTTTCCTTGTTCAAGGAGCTACCTCTTGGATAAAATAGCTGTTTAATGAAACTTCTATAGAAAATAACATGATACTGCCTACAAGGGTATTCTAGAAACAAAAATTATGTTGCATTCCAATTAAGTCCTAGAGTGATCATTTTCAATGAATATTGGAATGATTTCTGAATGTACAACTTATTAATATCTAATGGTTGTGGCAGTTTTACTTTGTGGAAATATGTCAAAATTGATAATTGATGATATTTTTATTGAGGCTAATATATTATCCTTTGGTGCCATGAGTGGATGAAGAAACTTTTGGAAGTCTAAACTAGTGGATACAAGAAGCTTATGCAAATTATTACACCACATGGGTGGGAGAGATAATGAATATTATGTACTAGGTATCAGCAAAGAGGTATCCAAGGTGATCAATGTAGGACACTTCCACGGAAGAGATGTGAAGTATAAGTTCAACTGAAGCATCATCGCAATTGTGTGCCTTCTCAGTTATTGGGCATGTTAAAGAGCATGATGAATGTTTGTAGTATAATGGTGTAAATCCTTTTGATTTGTTGCATGAAAGACATGTGGGATCATGTAGCACCTGCTTTGACATTGATTCTCAGGTGTGTGAGTTGCTACTCTGATTTTAGATCACATTTGTTCTCATCACTCGGCATATCCACATTGATATTGACATGGTTTTATTTTAGTTTTCGACATATGAGAAATCATACCATGTTTGAAATTGTAAGGGTATATTTCATGGAGCCTGTATTCGCTTTTCTCAGTGTATTTCTGTCACGTTCTAGTCCCCAGACACAAAGTAGAAGCCATGAAGGCCTATGCTAATACAGGCAGGAGGACAGAGGTTGATTCTAACAGTGCTCGAATGTATGGAAATCTTTGTCATATTTACGTATGACTGATTATGAATCCCTTTTGCTTTTCAGTGTCTTCTCAGAAACCACCAGCCTTGAAGGTAATGAAACTCCCATTTATCTTGTGAACGAGTTAATGTATGGTCTATGAAACATACTTTATTTATTATTTCGTTTTAAATTCCATTCAGGGTACAAGTGACGAGGAAGATTCTGTTTTGGGTATAGCCAGAGAAAACAAGGATGGAGAAAAATCTAGGACAGGTAATTTTGAAAACAGATTTAATGTCATGTTCAGTCCAGGTAGATAAGAAGTTCTCTTCCCCAAATAAATCAGCGGGGGGCTCGTCGAAGCTGCACTTTCTGATTCAGCAGGCTGGAGATTCTTCATTTGTAGTAAGTTCTTGGGTGATGCTGATGCTGCTGGTCTGGAACATGATCTTCGCTGTAAGATTATACACTTCCCCACATTGAAGTTGGGAAGAATATACATGGAGAGCAGTTGAAGACATAAAGGGCTCTGGGGAACAGCATAGTTTTGCTTTAATCCTCCAGCTTGTTTTCAGTAAGGGTGGAAGGAGAAAGAGAGGAAGTATCGATTTTACAGACGTCACATCGTACTGCTAAAAACAGACAGAAAACTTCTTGTAATAACCCGTACACACTGTAGGAGAAGTAAGGAGACCCTTGTTGTAGCAATCATTTTGCCAAAGAAGACGGATTGTGAGGCAGGAAGGGGTGAAAAGAGGAAGTCATTTGTATAATTTTGGGGTTTCTGCTGAGGAAACCTGAGTGAACTCACTTCAGATGCATTTGGAATATTTTAATAAAAAATACTTGATTTTGGCTGCTGCAGGAACTGCTGGAAGAAGGAAGCAATCCTAGAACTGGCATAGAAACACACTGACTCATTACTCCCCTTTGTAACTATTAGGCATCAGAGATACATGTTTTGTTGATTTTAGTTATATAATTGAGACAAACTTGAATCTGAATACATTGGTTTCCTTGTTCAAGGAGCTACCTCTTGGATACCATAGCTATTTCATGAAACTTCTTTAGAGAACAACATGATACTCCCAAGAAGGCTATTTTAGAAACAAAAATTATGCTGGATTCTAATTAACTCCTAAAATGCTCATTTTCAATGGGTATTGCAGTGATTTCTGAATGAAAAACTGATCAATATCTAATGCTTGTAGCAGTTTCACTTTGTATGTGTATGTCAAATTTGATAATTGATGATATTTTTATTGAGGCTAATATATTATCCCTTCGTGCCACGACTGGATGAAGAAACTTTTGGAAGGCTAAACTAGTGGATACAAGAAACTTAGGCAGATTATTACACCATATGGGGGTGAGAGATAATGAATATTATCTACTAGGTATCAGCAAACAGATATCCAAGGTGATGAATGTAGGACACTTCCACTGAAGAGATGTGAAGTGTACGTTCAACTGAATTGTCATGGTAATTGTGTGCCTTCTCAGTTATTGGGCAAGTTAAAGAGCATGATGAATGTTTGTAGTATAATGGTGTAAATCCTTTTTATTTCCTGTATGAAAGACATGTGGGATCATGTAGCACCTGCTTTGACATTGATTCTGACGTGTATGAGTTGCTCCTCTGATTTTAGATCACTTTGTCCTCATCACTCGGCATATCCACATTGATATTGACACGGTTTTATTTTAGTTTTTCACATATGACAAATCATACCATGTTTGAAATTCTAAGACTATATTTCATGGAGCCTGTATTGCTTTTCTCAGCGTATTTCTGTCACGTTCTAATCCCCAGACCAAAATTAGAAGCCATCAAAGCATACGCTAATACAGGCAGGAGGACAGAGGCTGATGCTAACACTGCATGAATGTATGGATAATTTTGTCATTTTTACATATGAGTGATTAGGAATCCCTTTTACTTTTCAGTGTCTTCTGAGAAACCACCAGGCTTGAAGGTAATGAAACTGTCGTTTATATTGTGAACTAGTAAATGTATAGTCTACGAAACATACTTTATTAATTTATTATTTCATTTCAAATTCCATTCAGGCTACAAGTGATGAGAAAGATTCTGTTTTGAATATAGCCAGAGGAAAAAAGGATGGAGAAAAAACTAGGACAGGTAATTTTGAAAAGAGATTTAATGTCATGTTCAGTGCAGATAGATAAGAAGTTCTCTTCCCTGAATAAATCAGCGGGGGGCTCGTTGAAGCTGCACATTCTGATTCAGCAGTCCTGAGATTCTTCATTTCAAATAAGTTCTTGGGTGATGCTGATGCTGCTGGTCTGGAACATGATCTTCACAGTAAGATTATACACTTCCCCACATTGAAATTGGGAAGAAGAAATATGGAGAGCAGTTCAAGGCATAAGGGGCTCCGGGGAACAACATAATTTTGCTTTAATTCTCCAGCTTGTTTTCAGTAGGGGTGGAGGGGAAAAGAGAGGAAGTATAGAATTAACACACTTCAGCTCGCACTGCCAAGAAAAGACAGAAAGCTTGTTGTAACAACCCGTAGACACTGTAGGAGAACTAAGGAGACCCCTGGTGTAGCAACAGTTTTCCTAAGGAAGACGGATTGTGAGGCAGGAAGGTGTGAAAAGAGGAAGTCATTTATATAATTTTGGGGTTTCTGCTGAGGAAACCTGAGTGAACTCACTTCAGATGCATTTGGAATATTTTCATAAAAAATATTTGATTTTCGCTGCTCCAGCAACTGCTGGAAGCAGGAAACAGTGGTTGAATTGGCATAAAAACACAATAACTCATTACTCCTCTTTGTTACTATTAGGCATCAGAGATACACGTGTTGTTGATTTTAGTTATAGAAATGAGATAAACTTGAATATGAATACATTGGCTTCTTTGTTCAAGGAGCTACCTCTTGGATAAAATAGCTGTTTAATGAAACTTCTTTAGAAAATAACATGATATTGCCAACAAGGGTATTTTAGAAACAAAAATTATGTTGCATTCCAATGAAGTCCTAGAGTGATCATTTTCAATGAATATTGGAATGATTTCTGAATGTAAAACTTATTATTGTCTAATGGTTGTGGCAGTTTTACTTTGTAGAAATATGTCAAAATTGATAATTGATGATATTTTTATTGAGGCTAATATATTATCCTTTGGTGCCATGAGTGGATGAAGAAACATTTGGAAGGCTATACTAGTGGATACAAGAAAGTTAAGCAAATTATTACACCACATGGGTGTGAGAGATAATGAATATTATGTACTAGGTATCAGCAAAGAGGTATCCAAGGTGATCAATTTAGGACACTTCCACTGAAGAGATGTGAAGTGTAAGTTCAACTGAAGCATCATCGCAGTTGTGTGCCTTCTCAGTTATTGGGCATGTTAAAGAGCATGATGAATGTTTGTAGTATAATTGTGTAAATCCTATTGATTTGTTGTGTGAAAGACATGTGGGATCATGTAGCACCTGCTTTGACATTGATTCTCAGGTGTGTGAGTTGCTCCTCTGATTTTAGATCACATTTGTTCTCATCACTCGGCCTAAGCACATTGATATTGACACGGTTTTATTTTAGTTTTCGACATATGAGAAATCTTACCACGTTTGAAATTGTAAGGGTATATTTCATGGAGCCTGTATTCCCTTTTCTCAGTGTATTTGTGTCATTTTCTAGTCCCCAGACACAAAGTAGAAGCCATCAAAGCCTATGCTAATACAGGCAGGAGGACAGAGGTTGATGCTAACTCTGCTTGAATGTATGGATATCTTTATCATATTTACATATGACTGATTATGAATCACTTTTGCTTTTCAGTGTCTTCTCAGAAACCACCAACCTTGAAGGTAATGAAACTCCCATTTATATTGTGAACGAGTTAATATATGGTCTATGAAACATACTTTATTTATTTATTATTTTGTTTCAAATTCCATTCAGGCTACAAGTGATGAGGAAGATTCTGTTTTGAGTATAGCCAGAGAAAACAAGGATGGAGAAAAATCTAGGACAGGTAATTCTGAAAACAGATTTAATGCCATGTTCAGTCGAGATAGATAAGAAGTTCTCTTCCCCAAGTAAATCAGCGGGGGGCTCATCGAAGCTGCACTTTCTGATTCAGCAGGCCGGAGATTCTTCATTTGTAGTACGTTCTTGGGTGATGCTGATGCTGCTGGTCTGGAACATGATCTTCGCTGTAAGATTATACACTTCCCCACGTTGAAGTTGGGAAGAAGATATATGGAGAGCAGTTGAAGACATAAGGGTCTCTGGGGAACAGCATAGTTTTGCTTTAATCCTCCAGCTTGTTTTCACTAAGGGTGGAAGGAGAAAGAGAGGAAGTATCGATTTTACAGATGTCACATCATACTGCTAAAAACAGACAGAAAACTTGTTGTAATAACCCGTACACTCTGTAGGAGAACTAAGGAGACCCCTGGTGTAGCAATCACTTTCCCAAAGAAGACGGATTGTGAGGCAGGAAGGTGTGAAAAGAAGAAGTCATTTATATAATTTTGGGGTTTCTGCTGAGGAAACCTGAGTGAACTCACTTCAGATGCATTTGGAATATTTTAATAAAAAGTACTTGATTTTGGCTGCTTCAGGAACTGCTGGAAGAAGGAAGCAATCCTAGAATTGGCATAAAAACACACTGACTCATTACTCCCCTTTGTTACTATTAGGCATCAGAGATACATGTTTTGTTGATTTTAGGTATAGAAATCAGACAAACTTGAATCTGAATACATTGGTTTCCTTGTTCAAGGAGCCACCTCTTGGATACAATAGCTATTTCATGAAACTTCTTTAGGGAACAACATGATACTCCCAAGAAGGCTATTTTAGAAACAAAAATTATGCTGGATTCTAATTAACTCCTAAAATGCTCATTTTCAATGAATATTGCAGTGATTTCTGAATGAAAAACTGATCAATATCTAATGCTTGTAGCAGTCTTACTTTGTATGTGTATGTCAAAATTGATAATTGATGATATTTTTATTGAGGCTAATATATTATCCTTTGTTGCCATGACTGGATGAAGAAACTTTCGGAAGGCTAAACTAGTGGATACAAGAAACTTAGGCAGATTATTGCACCATATGGGGGTGAGAGATAATGAATATTATCTACTAGGTATCAGCAAACAGATATCCAAGGTGATGAATTTAGGTCACTTCCACTGAAGAGATGTGAAGTGTACGTTCAACTGAATTGTCATGGTAATTGTGTGCCTTCTCAGTTATTGGGCAAGTTAAAGAGCATGATGAATGTTTGTAGTATAATGGTGTAAATCCTTTTTATTTCCTGCATGAAAGACATGTGGGATCATGTAGCACCTGCTTTGACATTGATTCTCAGGTGTATGAGTTGCTCCTCTGATTTTAGATCACTTTGTCCTCATCACTCGGCATATCCACGTTGATATTGACACGGTTTTATTTTAGTTTTTCACATATGACAAATCATACCATGTTTGAAATTCTAAGACTATATTTCATGGAGCCTGTATTCCATTTTCTCAGCGTATTTCTGTCATGTTCTAGTCCCCAGACACAAAGTAGAAGCCATCAAAGCCTACGCTAATACAGGCAGGAGGACAGAGGTTGATGCTAACACTGTATGAATGTATGGATAATTTTGTCATTTTTACACATGAGTGATTATGAATCCCTTTTACTTTTCAGTGTCTTCTGAGAAACCATCAGGCTTGAAGGTAATGAAACTGTCATTTATATTGTGAACTAGTAAATGTATAGTCTATGAAACATACTTTATTAATTTATTATTTCATTTGAAATTCCATTCAGGCTACAAGTGCCGAGAAAGATTCTGTTTTGAATATAGCCAGAGGAAAAAAGTATGGAGAAAAAACTAAGAGAGGTAATTTTGAAAAGAGATTTAATGTCATGTTCAGTGCAGATAGATAAGAAGTTCTCTTCCCTGAATAAATCAGCGGGGGGCTCGTTGAAGCTGCACATTCTGATTCAGCAGTCCTGAGATTCTTCATTTCAAATAAGTTCTTGGGTGATGCTGATGCTGCTGGTCTGGAACATGATCTTCGCAGTAAGATTATACACTTCCCCACATTGAAATTGGGAAGAAGAATTATGGAGAGCAGTTCAAGGCATAAGGGGCTCTGGGGAACAACATAATTTTGCTTTAATTCTCCAGCTTGTTTTCAGTAAGGGTGGAAGGAGAAAGAGAGGAAGTATAGAATTTACACACTTCAGCTCGTACTGCCAAGAAAAGACAGAAAGCTTGTTGTAACAACCCGTAGACACTGTGGGAGAACTAAGGAGACCCCTGGTGTAGCAACAGTTTTCCTAAGGAAGACGGATTGTGAGGCAGGAAGGTGTGAAAAGAGGAAGTCATTTATATAATTTTGGAGTTTCTGCTGAGGAAACCTGAGTGAACTCACTTCAGATGCATTTGGAATATTTTCATAAAAAATATTTGCTTTTAGCTGCTCCAGGAACTACTGGAAGCAGGAAACAGTGGTATAATTGGAATACACCACACTGACCCATTACTCCTCTTGGTTACTAGGAGGCATCAGAGATACATGTTTTGTTGATTTTAGTTATAAAAATGAGATAATCTTGAATGTGAATAAATTTGCTTCCTTGTTCAAGGAGCTACCTCGTGGATAAAATAGCTATTTAATGTAACTTCTTTAGAGAATAACACGATACTCCCAACCAGACTATTTTAGACACAAGAATGATGTTGAATTCTAATTAACTCCTAAAATAGTCATTTTCAATGAATATTGCAGTGATTTCTGAATGAAAAGCTGATTAATATCTAATGCTTGTAGCCATTTTACTTTGTAGACGTATGTCAAAGTTGATAATTGATGATATTTTTATTGAGGCTAATATATTATCCTTTGGTGCCAAGAGTGGATGAAGAAGCTTTCGGAAGGCTAAACTAGTGGATACAAGAAACTTAGGCAAATTATTACACTACATGGGTGTGAAAGATAATGAATATTATCTACTAGGTATCAGCAAACAGATATCCAAGGTGATCAATTCAGGACACTTCCACTGAAGAGATGTGAAGTGTACTTTCAACTGGAGTGTCATTGTAATTGTGTGCCTTCTCATTTATTGGGCAAGTTAAAGAGCATGAAGAATGTTTGTAGTATAATGGTGTAAATCCTTTTGATTTGTTGCATGAAAGACATATGGGATCATGTAGCACCTGTTTTGACATTGATTCTCACGTATATGAGTTGTTCCTCTGATTTTAGATCACATTTGTCCTCATCACTCGGCATATCCACATTGAGATTGACACGGTTTTATTTTAGTTTTTGACACGTGACAAATCATATAATGTTTGAAATTGTAAGGGTATATTTCATGGAGCCTGTGTTCCCTTTTTCAGTGTATTTCTGTCATGTTCTGATCCCCAGACACAAAGTAGAAGCCATCAAAGCCTCCACTAATACAGGCAGGAGGACAGAGGTTGATGCTAACACTGTGTGAATGTATGGATAACTTTATCATATTTACATGTGAGTGATTATGTATCCCTTTTGCTTTTCAGTGTCTTCTCGGAAAAAACCAGCCTTGAAGGTAATGAAACTCTCATTCATATTGTGAGCTAGTAAACGTATAGCCTATGAAAGATACCTTACTTATTATTTCATTTCAAATTCCATTCAGGCTACAAGTGACGAGAAAGATTCTGTTTTGTATATAGCCAGAGAAAAAAAGGATGGAGAAAAATCTAGGACAGGTAATTTTGAAAACAGATTTAATGTCATGTTCAGTCCAGATAGGTAAGAAATTCTCTTCCCTGAATAAATCAGCGGAGGGCTCGTTGAAGCTGCACATTCTGATTCAGCAGTCCTGAGATTCTTCATTTCAAATAAGTTCTTGTGTGGTGCTGATGCTGCTGGCCTGGAACATGATCTTCGCTCTAAGATTATACCCTTCCCCACATTGAAATTGGGAAGAAGAAATACGGAGAGCAGCTCAAGACATAAGGGGCTCTGGGGAACAACATAATTTTACTTTAATTCTACAGCTTGTTTTCAGTAAGGGTGGAAGGATAAAGAGAGGAAGTATAGATTTTACAGACGTCACATCGTACTGCTAAAAACAGACAGATAACTTGTTGTAATAACCCGTGTACAGTGTAGGAGAACTAAGGAGACCCCTGGTGTAGCAACTATTTTCCTAAGGAAGACGGATTGTGAGGCAGGAAGGCGGAATAAGAGGAATTCTTTTATATAATTTTGGGGTTTCTGCTGAGTAAACCTGAGTGAACTCACTTCAGATGCATTTAGAATATTTTCATTAAAAAATTTGATTTTGGCTGCTCGAGGAACTACTGGAAGCAGGAAACAATGGTATAATTGGAATACACCACACTGACTCATTACTCCTCTTTGTTACTAGGAGGCGTCAGAGATACATGTTTTGTTGATTTTAGTTATAAAAATGAGATAATCTTGAATATGAATAAATTTCCTTCCTTGTTCAAGGAGCTACCTCTTGGATGAAATAGCTATTTAATGAAACTTCTTTAGAGAATAACGTGATACTCCCAAAAAGACTATTTTAGAAACAAAAATGATGTTGAATTCTAATTAACTCCTAAAATAGTCATTTTCAATGAATATTGCAGTGATTTCTGAATGAAAAACTGATTAATATCTAATGCTTGTAGCAGTTTTACTTTGAAGAAGTATGTCAAAGTTGATAATTGATGATATTTTTATTGAGGCTAATATATTATCCTTTGGTGCCATGAGTGGATGAAGAAACTTTTGGAAGTCTAAACTAGTGGATACAAGAAACTTAGGAAAATTATTACACCACATGGGGGTGAGAGATAATGAATATTATCTACTAGGTATCAGCAAGCAGATATCCAAGGTGATCAATTTAGGACACTTCCACTGAAGAGATGTGAAGTGTACGTTCCACTGAAATGTCTTCGTAATTGTGTGCCTTCTCAGTTATTGGGCAAGTTAAAGAGCATGATGAATGTTTGTACTATAATGGTGTAAATCCTTTTGATTTGTTGCATGAAAGACATGTGGGATCCTGTAGCACCTGCTTTGACATTGATTCTCAGGTGTATGAGTTGCTCCTCTGATTTTAGATCACTTTGTCCTCATCACCCGGCATATCGACATTGATATTGACAGGGCTTTATTTTAGTTTTCGACATATGACAAATCATAGCATCTTTGAAATTGTAAGGATATATTTCATGGAGCCTGTATTCCCTTTTTTCAGTGTATTTCTGTCATGTTCTGGTCCCCAGACACAAAGTAGAAGCCGTCAAGGCCTACACTAATACAGGCTGGGGGACAGAGTTTGATGCTAACACTGTATGAATGTATGGATAACTTTATCATATTTACATATGAGTGATTATGTATCCCTTTTGCTTTTCAGTGTCTTCTCCGAAACAACCAGCATTGAAGGTAATTAAGCTCTCATTTATATTTTGAACTATTAACTGTATAGTATATGAAATATACTTTATTTATTGACTGTTTTGTTTCAAATTCTATTCAGGCTATCTGTGACAAGGAAGATTCTGTTCCGAATATGGCCACGGAAAAAAAGGATGAACAAATATCTGGGACAGGTAATTTTGCAAACACATTTAATATGATGTTCGGTCAGGGTAGAAGAGAACTTCTCTTCACCAAATAAAACAGCGGGGGGTTCGTCAAGCCTTCATGTTCTGCTTCAGTATTCCTGAGATTATTCATTTGTAATAAGTTCTCGGGTGACCCTGATGCTGTGGTCCTTGGCCATGATGGAAGTACTAAGATTATAGATGTCTGTACTTTGAAATTGGGAAAAAGAACCATCTGACAGCAATTCAACACATAACAGGCTCAGGGGACAGCATCATTTTGCTTTAATTCTACAGCATGTTTCCATCAAGAGGGAAAAGAGAAAGAGATGAAGTAATAGATATTAGAGGCGTCAGATTGTATTGTGATAAACAGAGGGAAAAGTGATCCTAATACCACAAAAACACTGTAGAATGAGAACTAGCAAGAGCAGTGATGTAGCAATTATTTTCCTCAAGGAATAGGGATTGTGAGTCAGGAAGGAGGGAAAAGTAGTTATTTATGTAATTTGGGATTTCTGCTGAGGAAACCTCAGTGAACTCACTTCAATACATTTGGAACATTTGCATAAAAGAAGATTTGATTTTGGCTGCTCCAGGAACTACTAGAAGCAGGAAACTATGCTAGAATTGGGATAAACCACAGTGACTCATTACTCCTCTTTAGGAGTAATTTACTATTAGGCATCAGAGATACATGTTTTGTTGATTTCAGTTATAAAACTGAGATAAACGAATATGAATACATTGGCTTCAAAGTTCAAGGAGCTAAGTCTTGGATAAAATAGCTATTGAATGAAACTTCTTTAGAGAATAGCATGATACTCCAAAGAAGACTTTTTAGAAACAAAAAATATGTTGAATTCTAATTAACTCCTAAAGTGGTCCTTTCAATGAATATTTGATTGATTTCTGAATGTAAAACTTATTAATATCTAATGCTTGTAGCAGTTTTACTTTGTAGAAATATGTCAACATTGGTAATTGATGATATTTTTATTGAGGCTAATATATTATCCTTTGGTGCCATGAGTGGATGAAGAAACTTTCAGAAGGCTAAACGAGTGGATACAAGAAACTTAGGCAAATTATTACACCACAGGGGTGTGAGAAATAATGAATATTCTCTACTAGGTTTCAGCAAACATAATCCAAGCTGATCAATTTAGGACACTTCCACTGAAGAGACGTGAAGTGTACGTTCAACTGAAGTGTCATTGTAATTGTGTGCCTTCTCAGTTATTGGGCAAGTTAAAGAGCATGATGAATGTTTGTACTATAATGGTGTAAATCCTTCTGATTTCTTGCATGGAAGACATGTGGCATCATGTAGAACCTGCTTTGACATTGATTCTCAATTGTATGAGTTGCTCCTCTGATTTTAGATCACATTTGTCCTCATCACTTGGCATATCCACATTGATATTGACACGGTTTTATTTTAGTTTTAGACATATGACAAATCATGCCATGTTTGAAATTGTAAGTATATTTTGTGAAGCCTGTATTCACCTTTTTCAGTGTATTTCTGTCATATTCCAGTCCCGAGTCACAAAGTAGAAAACATCAAAGCCTATACTAATACAGGCAGGAAGATACATCTTGATGCCAACAGTGCAGGAATGTATGGATAACTTTATCATATTTACATATGAGTGATTATGTATCCCTTTTGCTTTTCAGTGTCTTGTCAGAAACAACCAGCCTTGAAGGTAATTAAACTCTCATTTATATTGTGAACTATTAACTGTGTGGTCTATGAAACATAGTTTATGTATTGATTATTTTGTTTCAAATTCCATTCAGGCTACAAGTGACAAGAAAGATTCTGTTTCGAATATACCCACAGAAATAAAGGATGGACAACAATCTGGAACAGGTAATTTTGCAAAACACATTTAATGTCATGTTCAGTCCAGATAGAAAAGTACTTCTCTTCCCCGAACAAATCAGTGTGGGGCTCATCAAAACTGCACATTCTGATTCAGCAGGCCTGACATTCTTCATTTTTAATAAGTTCTTGGGTGACGCTGATGCTGCTGGTCTTGGACATGATCTTTGCAGTAAGATTATAGACTTCCCCACATTGAAATTGGGAAGAAGAAATATGGAGAGCAGTTCAAGACATAAGGGGCTCAGGGGAACAGCATAATTTTGCTTTAATTCTACAGCATGTTTTCAATAAGGGTAGAAGGAGAAAGACATGAAGTATATATTTTACAGACGTCACATCATACTGCTATAAAAAAGACAGAATAGTGATCCTAATAACCTGTAGACGCTGTAGAATGAGAACTAAGGAGACCACTGATATAGCAATGATTTTTCCCAAGGAAGAGGGATTGTGAGGCAGGAAGGAGGGAAAAGAAGAAGTTATTTATGTAATTTTGGGGTTTCTGCTGAGGAAACCTGAGTGGACTCACTTCAGAGGCATTTAGCATATTTGCATAAAGAAGATTTGATTTTGGCAGCTGCTGGAACTACTGGGTGCAGGAGATAATGCTAGAATTGGGATAAACTTCATTTACTAATTACTCTTCTTTGTTACTGTTAGATATCAGACTTAAACACGTTTTGTTGATTTTAGTTTTTTATAGAAGTTAGATAAACTTGAATATGAATACATTGGCTTCATTGATCAAAGAGCTGACTCTTGGATAAAATAGGTATTTAATGAATATTCTTTAGAGAATAGCATGATATTCCTAACAAGACTATTTTAGAAACAAAAATAATGTTGAATTCAACAACTGACTCCTAAAATGGTAATTTTCAATGAATATTGGAGTGATTTCCAAGTGTAAAAGCTTATTAATATCCAATACTTGTAGCAGTTTTATTTAGTAGAATTATGTCAAAATTGATAATTGATGATGCTTTTTATTGAGGTTATATATTATACTTTGTTGCCACGAGTGGATGAAGAAATGTTCAAAAGGCTAAACTAGAGAATACAAGAAGCTTAGGCAAATTATTACAGCACATGGGTGTGAGAAATAATGAATTATTTACTTGGATTCAGGAAACATACATCCACGTTGATCGATTTAGGTCCCTTCCACTTAAGAGATGTGAAGTGCACGTTCAAGTGAAGTGTCATTGTAATTGTGTACCTTCTCAGTTATTGGGCAAGTTAAAGAGCATGTTGAATGTTTGCAGTATAATGGTTTAATCATTCGGATATCTTGCATGAAAGTCATGCGGGTGCATGTACCACCTGCTTTGACATTGATTCCCAGGTGATTAGTTTCTTCTGTGATTTTAGACCACATTTGTCCTCATCACTCGGCATATCCTTATTGAAATTGACACTTTTATTTTAGTTTTAGTCATATGACAAATCATACTACGTTTGAAATGCTTAGTGTATATTTCTTGAAACCTGTATTCCTGTTTTCTTCAGTGTATTTCTGTCATGTTCCCATCCCAAAACACAAAGTATAAAGCATCAAAGCCTACACTAATAACTGCAGACAGAGGCAGCTTGATGCTAACACTGCATGAATGTTTGAATAACTTTATCATATGCACATATGAGTGATTATGTATCTGTTTTGCTTTTCAGTGTCTTCTCAGAAACAACCGGCCTGGAAGGTAATTAAACACTCATATATATTTTGAACTATTAACTGTATAGTCTATGAATATATACTTTATGTATTGATTATTTTGTTTCAAATCCCATTCAGGCTACAAGTGTCAAGAAAGATTCTGTTTCGAATATAGCCACAGAAATAAAGGATGGACAAATACGTGGGACAGGTATTTTGGAATACACCTTTAATGTAATGTTCGATCAAATAGAAGAGAAATTCACTTCCCTAAATAAATCAGCGGGGGGTTCATTGAAGTTTTATGTTTGGATTCAGCATGCCTGAGATTCTTCATTTGTAATAAGTCCTCAGGTGACCCTGATGGTGCTGGTCCTTGACCATGATCTGAGTAGTAAGATTGTAGACTTCCCTACATTGAAATTGGGAAGAAGAGCCATAGGAGAGCGGTTCAGCACATAACAGCCTCAGGGGACAGCATCATTTTGCTTTAATTCTACAGCAAGTTTCCATCAAGAGGGGAAGGAGAAAGAGATGAAGTAATAGATATTATAGGCGTCAGATCATATTGTTATAAACAGAGGGAAAAGTGATCCTAATACCTCAAAAACAGCATAGAATGAGAACGAACAAGATCACTGAAGTAGTAATTATTTTCCGCAAGGAAGAGGGATTGTGAGGCAGGAAGGAGAGAAAAGAAGAAGTTATTTATGTAATTTTGGGGTTTCTGTTGAGGAAAGCTGAGTGAACTCACTTCAGATAAATTTGGAATATTTGCATAAAAGAATATTAAATTTTGGCTTCTCCAAGAACTACTGGAAGCAGGAAACAATGCTAGAATTGGGATAAAGCACACTGACTCGTTACTCCTCTTTGTTACTGTTAGGCATCAGAGATACATGTTTTGTTGATTTTAGTTATAAAAATGAGATAAACTTGAATATGAATACATTGGCTTCATTGTTCAAGGAGCTAACTCTTGGGTAAAATAGCTATTGGATGAAACTTCTTTAGAGAATAGCATGATACTCCCAACAAGACTATTATAGAAACAAAAAGTATGTGGAATTCTAATTAACTCCTAAAGTGGTCATTTTCAATGAATATTGGAGTGATTTGTGAATGTAAAACATATTAATATCTAACGCTTGTAGCAGTTTTACTTTGTAGAAGTATGTCAAAATTGATAATTGATGATATTTTTATTGAGGCTAATATATTATCCTTTGGTGCCATGAATGGATGAAGAAATTTTGGAAGGCTAAACGAGTGGATACAAGAAACTTAGGCAAATTATTACACCACGTGGGTGTGAGGAATAATAAATATTATCTACTCAGTTTCAGCAAACAGATATCCAAGGTGATCAATTTAGGACACTTCCACTGAAGAGACGTGAAGTGTACATTCAACTGAAGTGTCATTGTAATTGTGTACCTTCTCAGTTATGGGGCAAGTTAAAGAGCATGATGAATGTCTGTAGTATAATGGTGTAAATCCTTTTGATTTCTTGCATGAAAGACCTGTGGGATCAAGTACCACCTACTTTGACATTGATTCTCAATTGTATGAGTTGATCCTCTGATTTTAGATCACATTTGTCCTCATCACTCAGCATATCCACGTTGATATTGACACGGTTTTATTTTAGTTTTAGACATATGACAAATCATACCATGCTTGAAATTGTAAGTATATTTTTCATGAAGGCTGTATTACTTTATTCAGTGTATTTCTGTCATGTTCCAATCCCCAGACACAAAGTAGGAAACATCAAATCCTACCCTAATACAGGCAGAAGGATACAGCTTGATGCTAACACTGCATGAATGTATGGACGACTTTGTCATATTTACATATGATGAATTATATATTTCTTTTACTTTTCAGTGTCTCCTCAGAAACAATCGGCCCAGAAGGTAGTTACTCTTTCATTTATATTTTGAATTATTTATTGCATAGCCTATGAAATATATATTATGTATTGACTATTTTGTTTCTCTTTCCATTCAGGTTATATTTAAAAAGAAAGTTTCTCTTTTGAATATTGCCACAAGAATAACAGGCGGTTGGAAATCTGGAACAGGTAATTTAGCAATATACATTTAATGTCATGTGCACTCAAGATAGAAGACAACATCCCACCCCTGAATAGATCAGCAGGGTGCTCATTGAAAATGCACTTTCTGATTCAGCAGGCCTGAGATTGTGCATTTCTACTGAGTTGTCAGGTGTTGTTGATGCTGCTGGTCCTTGGCCATGATCTTAGTAACAAGCTTATAGACTTCCCTACATGGAAATTGTGTAGAAGAACCATTGGAAAACAGTTCAAGACATAAGAGATAAGAGGATCCGGGGACAGCATAATTTTGCTCTTATTTCAGAGCATGTTTCTATGGAAAGGGGAAGGAGAAAGAGAAAAAAGTAATAGAAATTATAGATGTCAGATGGTACTACTTAAACCAGAGGGAGGAAGTTGTCATAATAACCCATAAACACTGGAGAATGAGGAGCAAGGTGACCACTGATGTAGTAATTATTTTCATCAAGAAAGAGGGATTGCAAGGCAAGAAAGAGGGGAAGGAAGAAGTTATTTAGGTAATTTTGGGGTTTCTGCTGAGGAAGCCTGAGTGAACTCACTTCAGATGCATTTTGAATATTTGCATACCGGATCATCTGATTTCTGGCTGCTCCAATGACTACTGGAATCAGGAAGGAGTGCTAGAATTGGGATAAACCACAGTGCCTCATTATTCATGTTTCTTAGTATCAGACATCACACATATATTTTTTATTAGTTATTCAAATGAGTTGAAGTTTAATATGAATATTTAGTTTTTTTCCAAAGTGCTGGCTGTCTTGTTAAAATAGCTATTTAATGAAAATTCTTTATAGTAAAGTGATATTCCAGAGCAGACTAATTTTACAGACAAAAATAATGTTGAATTCATTAATTGAATCCTAAAGTGATTATTTTCAATGAATATTAGACTGATTTCCAAATGTATAAGTTTATTAATATCTAATGCCTGGAGTAATTCCATTTTGTATAAATATGTATAATTTATTATACTTTTTGATGGGGTTTATATATTATACCTTCTTGCCATTAGTGGATGAAGAAAGTTTCTGAAGGCTAAACTAGAGGATATAAGAAATGTAGGCAGATTATTACACCACATGGGCATGATAAATAATGAATATTAACTACTAGGATTCACCAAACATATATCCAAGCAGATCAATTCAGGACACTTACACTGAAGACACGTGAAGTGTATGTTCAACTGAAGTGTCATTGTAATTGTGTACCTTCTCAGTTATCAGACAAGCTATAGAGCATGATGAATGTTTATGTTATACTGGTATAAAGCCTTCTGATGTCTTGTATGAAAGTCATGCAGTCGCAGTTAGCACTAGCTTTTACACTTATTTCTAGGGTTATGACTTGCTCCTCTGATTTTAGATCACATTTCTCCTTGTTAATCAGTATACCCACATTGATATTAACACTTTTTTTTAGCAATAGATGTGGTGCATAATCTCACTTTTTAACTTGTAACTGTATGTTTTGAAGCTTGTATTCCTATTTTCTTCATTGCATTTCTATCATATTACTGTCCCAAAGAAACAAACTAGAAAAATATGAAACCCTACACTAATACAGGCAAGAGTATTCAGTTTGATGCTAACACTCCACGAATGTATGGTTGGCCTTACCATATTTACATATGATTGATTATATATTTCTCTTGCTTGTTAGAGTATCCTGAGAATCTGCCCACCTTGAAGGTAATTACTCTTACATTTATATTTTTAATTATTAACTGCATAACCTATACCAATATACATCATGTGCTAATCACTTTGTTTTAAAACCCATTCAGGCTACAATTGAAAATAAAAATTCTGTTCTGAATACAGCCACCAAAATGAAGGATGTACAAACATCCACACCAGGTAAACTTTGCATTGTAGATTTAACTCTGGAAAGAAGTACATTAATCTGTTTGTAATGCTCATAGTCTTTCTATTCTCAATTATTTCACTTTTTATATTTTATTTCAGGATTTCATCTAAATAATGCAGCTGTTATCATTTTTATTTATATTTTCAAAAATGAGATTTACATGCATAAAGAAAATATATTTTTAAAACATAAGGTTTTTTTGTTTTGTTTTGTTTTTTGTTTTGTTTTGTTTTTTGTTTTTGGAGACAGAGCTTTGCTCTTGTTGCCCAGGGTGGAGTGCAATGGCTCAATTGTAACTCACGACAACCTCCACCTTCCTGGTTCAAGCAATTCTCTTGCCTCAGCCTCCCGAGTAGCTGGGATTACAGGTATGCCCCACCATGCCCGGCTAATTTTGTATTTTTAGTAGAGACAGGCTTTCTCCATGTTGGTCAGGCTGGTCTTGAGCTCTCGACCTCAGGTGATCCTCCCGCCTCGCCCTCCCAAAGTGCTGGGATTACAGGTGTGAACCACCATGCCTGGCCTAAAAATATAAGGTTTTATTCAGATGTTTCTACTTTTACATTTTGATACTCTGAAGTTTCCAATTTGGAATTTCAATAGTTTTTAGCGAATTAAAGAGATCAATTTTGATACTGTAAAATATTTGTTTTGCTTTAAAAGTCAATTAAAATTATGGCTTTTAGCTAATGAAATGTTTTATTTTGTAACATATTTTGTTTTAACTTTTATTGGTTCTGGTCAATTTTGTTACACTTATTATATTAAGCCAATCGGATGTTCTGATTAGCACACTGTGTGTGTGTGTGTGTGTGTGTGTGTGTGTGTGTTTTATTTTTTTGTTTTTAATTTTAATGAGTAAATTGTAGGTGTTTATGTTTATGGAGTAGATGAGATAGTTTGATACAGGCATACAATGTGTAATAATGACATCATGGTTAATGGGTTATCCATCACCTCAAGCATTAACCATTTCTTTGTGCTATCTTTTCATTTGTACTTCCTCAGTAATGCTAAAATGGACAAGTTATTGCTGACTGTAGTCATGTTTTTGTGCTATAAAATGCTACATTTTATTCATTGTTTCTAACTATAGTTTGTACTTATTAAGCATCCTCATTTCCTACCACCCCCACACCCTTCCTAGACTGTGGTAATGGTGATTTTTCTCTTCATCTCCATGAGCTCTATTTTTTAAATTTCTCACACCCACAAAGGATTGACAACATGTGAAGCCTTCCTTTCTTTGCCTGGATTATTTTACTTGACATAATGTCCTCCTGTTCCATCCATGTCATTGCGAATGAGAGGATCTTATTCTTTCACATGGCTGAGCCGTATATGTATCACATTTTTAGAACCCATTTTTCTGTTGATGTACATTTAGGTTGATTCCAAATTATGGCTATTGTGAAAAGTGCTGCAATAAACATGTCAGGACAGATTTCTCTTTTATAATACTGATTTTCTTGCTTTTTTTTTTTTTTTTTTAATTTTTAATTTTCTTTTTTTTTTTTAATTTTTTTTTTTTTTATTATACTCTAAGTTTTAGGGTACATGTGCACATTGTGCAGGTTAGCTATATATGTATACATGTGCCATGCTGGTGCGCTGCACCCACTAACGTGTCATCTAGCATTAGGTATATCTCCCAATGCTATCCCTCCCCCCTCCCCCGACCCCACCACAGTCCCCAGAGTGTGATATTCCCCTTCCTGTGTCCATGTGATCTCATTGTTCAATTCCCACCTATGAGTGAGAATATGCAGTGTTTGGTTTTTTGTTCTTGCGATAGTTTACTGAGAATGATGATTTCCAATTTCATCCATGTCCCTACAAAGGACATGAACTCATCATTTTTTATGGCTGCATAGTATTCCATGGCATATATGTGCCACATTTTCTTAATCCAGTCTATCATTGTTGGACATTTGGGTTGGTTCCAAGTCTTTGCTATTGTGAATAGTGCCGCAATAAACATACGTGTGCATGTGTCTTTATAGCAGCATGATTTATAGTCCTTTGGGTATATACCCAGTAATGGGATGGCTGGGTCAAATGGTATTTCTAGTTCTAGATCCCTGAGGAATCGCCACACTGACTTCCACAATGGTTGAACTAGTTTACAGTCCCACCAACAGTGTAAAAGTGTTCCTATTTCTCCACATCCTCTCCAGCACCTGTTGTTTCCTGACTTTTTAATGATTGCCATTCTAACTGGTGTGAGATGATATCTCATAGTGGTTTTGATTTGCATTTCTCTGATGGCCAGTGATGATGAGCATTTCTTCATGTGTTTTTTGGCTGCATAAATGTCTTCTTTTGAGAAGTGTCTGTTCATGTCCTTCACCCACTTTTTGATGGGGTTGTTTGTTTTTTTCTTGTAAATTTGTTTGGGTTCATTGTAGATTCTGGATATTAGCCCTTTGTCAGATGAGTAGGTTGTGAAAATTTTCTCCCATGTTGTAGGTTGCCTGTTCACTCGGATGGTAGTTTCTTTTGCTGTGCAGAAGCTCTTTAGTTTAATTAGATCCCATTTGTCAATTTTGGCTTTTGTTGCCATTGCTTTTGGTGTTTTGGACATGAAGTCCTTGCCCACGCCTATGTCCTGAATGGTAATGCCTAGGTTTTCTTCTAGGGTTTTTATGGTTTTAGGTCTAACATTTAAATCTTTAATCCATCTTGAATTGATTTTTGTATAAGGTGTAAGGAAGGGATCCAGTTTCAGCTTTCTACATATGGCTAGCCAGTTTTCCCAGCACCATTTATTAAATAGGGAATCCTTTCCCCATTGCTTGTTTTTCTCAGGTTTGTCAAAGATCAGATAGTTATAGATATGTGGCATTATTTCTGAGGGCTCTGTTCTGTTCCATTGATCTATATTTCTGTTTTGGTACCAGTACCAGGCTGTTTTGGTTACTGTAGCCTTGTAGTATAGTTTGAAGTCAGGTAGTGTGATGCCTCCAGCTTTGTTCTTTTGGCTTAGGATTGACTTGGCGATGCGGGCTCTTTTTTGGTTCCATATGAACTTTAAAGTAGTTTTTTCCAATTCTGTGAAGAGATTTTCTTGCTTTTGAATCGTTACCTAGCAATGGGATTGCTGGATCATGTGGGTAGCTGTATTTTTAATTTTTTGAGGACTCTATAGTGTTCTCCATGGTGACTGTACTAATTCACAATGCCACCAATGGTGTAGGAGGGTTCTGCTTTCTCCACATCCTCACCAGCATTTCTTAATGCCTGCCATTTGGATAAAAGCCATTTTAACTGAGGTGAGACGATACCTCATTGTAGCTTTGATTTGCATTTCTGTGATGATCAGTGATGTCGAGCACCTTTCCATATACCTGTTTGCCTTCTGATAGCAGTTTGAAACATAACAGTGTCATTTTGCTACTATTTCTGAGCATGTTTCTAGCCAGAGGGAAAGGAACACAAATTTAGGAAATAGAAATTATACATGTAAGGTACTACTGCTAAATTAAGAGGCTTTCCTCTTCATTTGTGGTGGGAATAATTTATGAGAGCTATATAGAAGTGTTGATATTAGTTAATCAAATGAAATTTATTTGAACTAAGAAACTTTGACTGATTTTACTAAGAAACCTATTTTTTTAATAAGATCACAGTTCCATGAAAGTGCCTTAGAGATTAGCATGGTATATCAAATCAAACTAATTTTAGAAACAAAAAGTTATAGCATTCATTCTTTGAATAACAAAACCAAAATAATCAGTGAACGTTGCACTGATTTTGAAGTATAAAATGTTATTAATAAGTCTGTGGAAATTTAATTTTTTCATTTTTGACAATTATTTACATATTGAAAGCTTATTATACACTTTTTTTTTTTTTTTTTTTTGAGACAGAGTCTTGCTCTGTCTCCCAGCCTGGAGTGTAATGGCACAATCTCGGCTCACTGCAACCTCCACCTCCCGGGTTAAAGCGATTCTCCTGCCTCAGCCCCCTGAGTAGCTGAGATTACAGGCACATGACACCATGCCCAGCTAATTTTTGTATTTTGAGTAGAGATGGGGTTTCACCATGTTAGTCAGGCTGGTCTTGACCTCCTGACCTTGTGATCCACTTGCTTCAGCCTCCCAAAGTGCTGTGATTACAGGCGTGAGCCACCACACCCAGCCTATACACTATTTTTGATGTGGTTTACATATCTTCTTGCATGAGTGGATTCAGAAAGTTCTTGACAGGGCCAAACTGCAGGATACAAGCAATGTAGACATAGCAGTAGCCTACCTAGGAATGAAAAAAATGAATAGTTTTATTAATTTTTATTCTACAACTGTCTATCTAAGCTGATTAATTTTAAACAGTTTCTCTGATGAGAAATAAATTGTATATTTATTGGAAGTGTCCTCACAATTTTGTACTTCCTAAATAATAGGAAAAACAGTTGGACATGATAAATGCTTGTAGTATAATGGTGTAATTGAATCTGAAGTATTGCATTAAAGATAGGCCATAGCATCCTCCCATCAGCTTTGATACTTACTCTCTCAGGATCATGATTTGCTATTCTTTATAAGGATCATTTTTCTCATTATCAGTCAACATGTTTACATTGGAATAGATACACTCTTCTATTTCAGTTATAGTTAGTTGAGACATAATCTCACTTTAGAAACCTTAACTACATATGTTATAAAACCTGTATTAAATAAAACCGTTTATCTGAGGAAAGATAGCCAGAATCAAGGAAGACTTCACATAGCTGTCTGAGTCTTAAATTATGAAAGAAATCTGTCAGAATAGTTGAGGAAAATATTTTAGATATAAAGAAGAGACTGTACATTGATGAAAGTGTAAACAGTAGCAGTCATTTTGGAAATGATTAATAATGAACAGCAGGCTCAAAGTGCTGTTCTAAAGGTACTATTGTGAAGTAAAGAACAGTGTGCTGTTACTTTTTCTGTTTCTATTGGATTTTTACATTTTGTTTTATTTCTGATGGTTTCGTTCATTGATGTTGGGTGGGTGAATTTGTGAGTGAATCTTTGACCACGTTTGCATGGCTTGAACCTGGTGACATCTAGTGCCTCCCCAAGTGGTTTGCTGAAGTTTTGGAGGATTAAAAGCCTTTCTTAAAGAAGTAAATATTATACTAAAGATTAAGCTTCGTTGAAACACTTTTATTTTCTGGTTTTAGAAAGACTATCGTTTTGTTTTTTTGTTTTTTTGTTTTTTTTTTTTTGAGACACAGTCTCGCTCTGCCACCCAGGCTGGAGGTGCAGTGGTGAGATCTTCAGCTCACTGCAAGCTCCACTTCCCGGGCTCACGCCATTCTCCTGCACCAGCCTCCCGACTAGCTGGGACTACAGGCGCCCGCCACCACGCCCAGCTAATTTTTTGTATTTTTTAGTAGAGACGAGGTTTCACCTTGTTAGCCAGGATGGTCTCGATCTCCTGACCTCGTGATCCACCTGCCTCGGCCTCCCAAAGTGCTGGGATTACAGGCGTGAGCCACCGCTGACCATGGCTTTTATCTAACTGTTCTGTGTAGCTCATTTTAACTAAATATATAATTTTTTTAGCAGAACAAGACTTAGAAATGGCATCAGAGGGAGAGCAAAAGAGGCTTGAAGAATATGAAAATAACCAGCCACAGGTATGTAAAAATTTAAAATCAAATTTCTGGTTTAATCTTGTTTTCCTAGCTTTGGTAATACAGCATATTTGAAATGAATTTACCTTTGGATTAGCCTTTTAGTATCAGTTGATTATAATTTAATATTTCATTTTAAAAACATTTAACTAGTTATAAAACTTAAAATAGTGTTGGAATCTATAGCAACTTGTATCTTATCTTTACTCTTGGAACTGAGTTAAAAAGTTCCTGATATTGTTTGCACTTCTATTTTTATAACTTCCTATTATAATAAAGAAGGTAACATCAAATATTGAATTACAATTTTAAGCAATAGAAATTATGAACAATTTAACAGTGATGACCACCGTACTGGATTCAGATTAAAGGAGTAATTATTGCTAGTGGTTCAAACTTTGCAGTTTTTTTATTGCCAGTCACTAATACCAAGGTTAAAAATTTATTTTCCTTTTTGATCTCTGACTTCAGTTTCTATGTTCAGGGAGAGAATGCGTTATAAAATCAACCCAACTGGCTATCAAGAGAATTATACCTTGCAGAATGGCACCTTTGGTATTAGTGTACAAACAATAACTGCCTAATGTATTTCAATATAGAAAATCTCTAAATATTGTTAAATTTATTAAATCCACTGTCATTAGTAGACCTTAGAACTTAAGCCTATAATCTATATAAATATATAACACTGTCAATCATATTACAATGTGTAATTTGCATTAAAATGTAAGAATTTGCTTTTCTTTTTTTATTTTATTATTATTATACTTTAAGTTTTAGGGAACACTTGCACAATGTGCAGGTTAGTTACATATGTATACACGTGCCATGCTGGTGTGCTGCACCCATTAACTCGTCATTTAGCATTAGGTATATCTCCTAATGCTATCCCTCCCCCCTCCCCCAACCCCACAACAGTCCCCAGAGTGTGATGTTCCCCTTCCTGTGTCCACCTGTTCTCATTGTTCAATTCCCACCTATGAGTGAGAACATGCAGTGTTTGGTTTTTTGTCCTTGCGATAGTTTACTGAGAATGATGATTTCCAATTTCATCCATGTCCCTACAAAGGACATGAACTCATCATTTTTTATGGCTGCATAGTATTCCATGGTGTCTATGTGCCATATTTTCTTAATCCAGACTATCATTGTTGGACATTTGGGTTGGTTCCAAGTCTTTGCTATTGTGAATAGTGCCGCAAAAACATATGTGTGCATGTGTCTTTATAGCAGCATGATTTATAGTCCTTTGGGTATATACCCAGTAATGGGATGGCAGGGTCAAATGGTATTTCTAGTTCTAGATCCCTGAGGAATCGCCACACTGACTTCCACAATGGTTGAACTAGTTTACAGTCCCACCAACAGTGTAAAAGTGTTCCTATTTCTCCACATCCTCTCCAGCACCTGTTGTTTCCAGATTTTTTAATGATTGCCATCCTAACTGGTGTGAGATGGTATCTCATTGTGGTTTTGATTTGCATTTCTCTGATGGCCAGTGATGGTGAGCATTTTTTCATGTGTTTTTTGGCTGCATAAATGTCTTCTTTTGAGAAGTGTCTGTTCATGTCCTTTGCCCACTTTTTGATGGGGTTGTTTGTTTTTTTCTTGTAAATTTGTTTGGGTTCATTGTAGATTCTGGATATTAGCCCTTTGTCAGATGAGTAGGTTGCGAAAATTTTCTCCCATGTTGTAGGTTGCCTGTTCACTCTGATGGTAGTTTCTTTTGCTGTGCAAAATCTCTTCAGTTTAATTAGATCCCATCTGTCAATTTTGGCTTTTGTTGCCATTGCTTTTGGTGTTTTAGACATGAAGTCCTTGCCCATGCCTATGTCCTGAATGGTAATGCCTAGGTTTTCTTCTAGGGTTTTTATGGTTTTAGGTCTAACGTTTAAGCCTTTAATCCATCTTGAATTAATTTTTGTATAAGGTGTAAGGAAGGGATCCAGTTGCAGCTTTCTACATATGGCTAGCCAGTTTTCCCAGCACCATTTATTAAATAGGGAATCCTTTCCCCGTTGCTTGTTTTTCTCAGGGTTGTCAAAGATCAGATAGTTGTAGATATGCGGCGTTATTTCTGATGGCTCTGTTCTGTTCCATTGGTCTATATCTCTGTTTTGGTACCAGTACCATGCTGTTTTGGTTACTGTAGCCTTGTAGTATAGTTTGAAGTCAGGTAGCGTGATGCCTCCAGCCTTGTTCTTTTGGCTAAGGATTGACTTAGTGATGCGGGCTCTTTTTTGGTTCCATATGAACTTTAAAGTAGTTTTTTCCAATTCAGTGAAGAAAGTCTTTGGGAGCTTGATGGTGATGGCATTGAATCTATAAATTACCTTGGGCAGTATGGCCATTTTAACCATACTGATTCTTCCTACCCATGAGCATGGAATGTTCTTCCATTTGTTTGTATCCTCTTTTATTTCCTTGAGCAGTGATTTGTAGTTCTCCTTGAAGAGGTCCTTCACATCGCTTGTAAGTTGGATTCCTAGGTATTTTATTCTCTTTGAAGCAATTGTGAATGGGAATTCACTCATGATTTGGCTCTCTGTTTGTCTGTTATTGGTGTATAAGAATGCTTATGATTTTTTACATTGATTTTGTATCCTGAGACTTTGCTGAAGTTGCTGATCAGCTTAAGGAGATTTTGGGCTGAGACAATGGGGTTTTCTAGATATACAATCATGTCGTCTGCAAACAGGGACAATTTGACTTCCTCTTTTCCTAATTGAATACCCTTTATTTCCTTCTCCTGCCTAATGGCCCTAACCAGAACTTCCAACACTATGTTGAATAGGAGTGGTGAGAGAGGGCATCCCTGTCTTGTGCCCTCTTGTGCCAGTTTTCAAAGGGAATGCTTCCAGTTTTTGCCCATTCAGTATGATATTGGCTGTGGGTTTGTCATAGATAGCTCTTATTATTTTGAAATACGTCCCATCAATACCTAATTTATTGAGAGTTTTTAGCATGAAGCGTTGTTGAATTTTGTCAAAGGCCTTTTCTGCATCTATTGAGATAATCATGTGGTTTTTGTCTTTGGTTCTGTTTATAAGCTGGATTACATTTATTTATTTGCGTATATTGAACCAGCCTTGCATCCCAGGGATGAAGCCCACTTGATCATGGTGGATAAGCTTTTTGATGTGCTGCTGGATTTGGTTTGCCCATATTTTATCGAGGATTTTTGCATCAATGTTCATTAAGGATACTGGTCTAAAATTCTCTTTTTTGGTTGTGTCTCTGCCCGGCTTTGGTATCAGGATGATGCTGGCCTCATAAAATGAGTTAGGGAGGGTTCCCTCTTTTTCTATTGATTGGAATAGTTTCAGAAGGAAGGGTACCACTTCCTCCTTGTACCTCTGGTAGAATTCGGCTGTGAATCCATCTGGTCCTGGACTCTTTTTGGTTGGTAAGCTATTGATTATTGCCACAATTTCAGATCCTGTTATTGGTCTATTCAGAGATTCAACTTCTTCCTGGTTTAGTCTTGGGAGTGTGTATGTGTCCAGGAATTTATGCATTTCTTCTAGATTTTCTAGTTTATTTGTGTAGAGGTGTTTGTAGTATTCTCTGATGGTAGTTTGTATTTCTGTGGGATCGGTGGTGATATCCCCTTTATCATTTTGTATTGCATCTATTTGATTCTTCTCTCTTTTCTTCTTTTTTAGTCTTGCTAGCTGTCTATCAATTTTGTTGATCCTTTCAAAAAACCGGCTCCTGGATTCATTAATTTTTTGAAGGGTTTTTTGTGTCTCTATTTCCTTCAGTTCTGTTCTGATTTTAGTTATTTCTTGCCTTCTGCTAGCTTTTGAATGTGTTTGCTCTTGCTTTTCTAGTTCTTTTAATTGTGATGTTAGGGTGTCAATTTTGGATCTTTCCTGCTTTCTCTTGTGGGCATTTAGTGCTATAAATTTCCCTCTACACACTGCTTTGAATGTGTCCCAGAGATTCTGGTATGTTGTGTCTTTGTTCTCATTGGTTTCAAAGAACATCTTTATTTCTGCCTTCATTTTGTTATGTACCCAGTAGTCATTCAGGAGCAGGTTGTTCAGTTTCCATGTAGTTGAGCGGTTTTGAGTGAGTTTCTTAATCCTGAGTTCTAGTTTGATTGCACTGTGGTCTGACAGACACTTTGTTATACTTTCTCTTCTTTTACATTTGCTGAGGAGAGCTTTACTTCCAAGTATGTGGTCAATTTTGGAATAGGTGTGGTGTGGTGCTGAAAAAAATGTATATTCTGTTGATTTGGGGTGGAGAGTTCTGTAGATGTCTATTAGGTCCACTTGGTGCAGAGCTGAGTTCAATTCCTGGGTCTCCTTATTAACTTTCTGTCTCATTGATCTGTCCAATGTTGACAGTGGGATGTTAAAGTCTCCCATTATTATTGTGTGGGAGTCTAAGTCTCTTTGTAGGTCACTCAGGACTTGCTTTATGAATCTGGGTGCTCCTGTATTGGGTGCATATATATTTAGGATAGTTAGCTCTTCTTGTTGAATTGATCTCTTTACCATTATGTAATGGCCTTCTTTGTCTCTTTCGATCTTTGTTGGTTTAAAGTCTGTTTTATCAGAGACTAGGATTGCAACCCCTGCCTTTTTTTGTTTTCCATTTGCTTGGTAGATCTTCCTCCATCCTTTTATTTTGAGTCTATGTGTGTCTCTGCACGTGAGATGGGTTTCCTGAATACAGCACACTGATGGATCTTGACTCTTTATCCAATTTGCCAGTCTGTGTCTTTTAATTGGAGCATTTAGTCCATTTACATTTAAAGTTAATATTGTTATGTCTGAAATTGATCCTGGCATTATGATGTTAGCTAGTTATTTTGCTAATTAGTTAATGCAGTTTCTTCCTAGTCTCGATGGTCTTTATATTTTGGCATGATTTTGCAGTGGCTGGTACCGGTTGTTCCTTTCCATGTTTAGTGCTTCCTTCAGGAGCTCTTTTAGGGCAAGCCTGGTGGTGACAAAATCTCTCATCATTTGCTTGTCTGTGAAGTATTTTATTTCTCCTTCACTTATGAAGCTTAGTTTGGCAGGATATGAAATTCTGGGTTGAAAATTCTTTTCTTTAAGAATGTTGAATATTGGCCCCCACTCTCTTCCGGCTTGTAGAGTTTCTGCCGAGAGATCCACTGTTAGTCTGATGGGCTTCCCTTTGTGGGCAACCTGACCTTTCTCTCTGGCTGCCCTTAACATTTTTTCCTTCATTTCAACTTTGGTGAATCTGACAATTATGTGTCTTGGAGTTGCTCTTCTCAAGGGGTATCTTTGTGGCGTTGTCTGTATTTCTTGAATCTGAATGTTGGCCTGCCTTGCTAGATTGGGGATGTTCTCCTGGATAATATCCTGCAGTGTGTTTTCCACCTTGGTTCCATTCTCCCCGTGACTTTCAGGTACACCAATCAGATGTAGATTTGGTCTTTTCACTTAGTCCCATATTTCTTGGAGGCTTTGTTTGTTTCTTTTCATTCTTTTTTCTCTCAACTTCCCTTCTCGTTTCATTTCATTCATTTCATCTTCCATCACTGATACCCTTTCTTCCAGTTGATTGCATCGGCTCCTGAGGCTTCTGCACTCTTCACGTAGTTCTCGAGCCTCGGCTTTCAGCTTCATCAGCTCCTTTAAGCACTTCTCTGTATTGGTTATTCTAGGTATACATTCGTCTAAATTTTTTTTCAAAGTTTTTAACTTCTTTGCCTTTGGTTTGAATTTCCTCCTGTAGCTCAGAGTAGTTTGATCGTCTGAAGCCTTCTTCTCTCAACTCGTCAAAGTCATTCTCTGTCCAGCTTTGTTCTGTTGCTGGTGAGGAACTGCATTCCTTTGGAAGAGGAGAGGCGCTCTGCTTTTTAGAGTTTCCAGTTTTTCTGCTCTGTTTTTTCCCCATCTTTGAGGTTTTATCTACTTTTGGTCTTTGATGATGGTGATGTACAGATGGGTTTTTGATGTGGATGTCCTTTCTGTTTGTTAGTTTTCCTTCTACCAGACAGGACCCTCAGCTGCAGGTCTGTTGGAGTTTGCTAGAGGTCCACTCCAGACCCTGTCTGCCTGGGTATCAGCAGTGGTGGCTGCAGAACAGCAGATTTTCATGAACCGCGAATGCTGCTGTGTGATCGTTCCTCTGGGAGTTTTGTCTCAGAGGAGTACCCGGCTGTGTGAGGTGTCAGTCTGCCCCTACCTGGGGGTGCCTCCCAGTTAGGCTGCTCGGGGGTCAGTGGTCAGGGTCTCACTTGAGGAGGCAGTCTGCCCATTCTCAGATCTCCAGCTGCATGCTGGGAGAACCACTGCTGTCTTCAAAGCTATCATACAGGGACATTTAAGTCTGCAGAGGTTACTGCTGTCTTTTTGTTTCTCTGTGCCCTGCCCCCAGAGGTGGAGCCTACAGAGGCAGGCAGGCCTCCTTGAGCTGTGGTGGGCTCCACCCAGTTCAAGCTGCTTTGTTTACCTAAGCAAGCCTGGGCAATGGCAGGTGCCCCTCCCCCAGCCTCACTGCCGCCTTGCAGTTTGATCTCAGACTGCTGTGCTAGCAATCAGTTAGACTCCATGGGCGCAGGACCCTCTGAGCCAGGTGCAGGATATAATTTCCTGGTGTGCCGTTTTTTAAGCCCGTCGGAAAAGTGCAGTAGTAGGGTGGGAGTAACCCAATTTTCCAGGTGCTGTCTGTCACCCCTTTCTTTGACTAGGAAAGGGAACTCCCTGACCCCTTCCACTTCCTGAGTGAGGCAATGCCTCACCCTCCTTTGGGTCACACACGGTGCACTGCACCCACTGTCCAGCACCCACTGTCTGGCACTCTTTAGTGAGATGAACCTGGTACCTCAGATGGAAATGCAGAAACCACCCATCTTCTGCGTCGCTCACGCTGGGAGCTGTAGACTGGAGCTGTTCCTATTCAGCAGTCTTGGCTGCCAGACAAAGAATTTGCTTTTCTTACTGACTGGTGGTGATTTTGGCTCCTAATAATTTAAAGTTTGCCTAATCATTAGTTAGTAATATTAGGAAAAAGCACTCAAGTGTACACTGTTCATATAGTGATAAAATCTTTTAAAGTGACAGTGCCTTTATAGTACCACAAGTCATCTCCTAATTCATTTTTGGGAAATTTAACACATAATGAATTATTCAAGTTTAGTCCAAACAAACAGTGACAAATTAAAGTTTCATGGTTTATGTTTTTCACTGATTTTAGGCTAATGCAAATTATTTTTCACTTCTTAGTTACAATCCAGTGATTTGGGAGTAGGTAAACATAGATTAAGAAGTTTGATATTAAACTTTAATTATTTTAAAATTTTTCTCTTTTTACACTTGATTATTTAAAGATAAAGTTATTTTTAAAACATGTACTCTGACAGAAAAGACATCTAAGAAAGAAAACTAGCAAATTTATCTTCCACTTTTGCATGTGCAAAAATTGTCTCAACAACTAGTAGTGAAAAAGTGTTGTGATAGAAAGGACCTCTTTATATATGCAGGACTTACTTGTGCACAAAAGTATGAGAGAATGTGGATGAAACAAGACAAACTAGGGTAAAAAAAACCTTTAAAATTCATCACAAATAAGTTAAAGCAGAGTTTTGGTGAAATTTGTGAAAATTACAAAACTGCTTGTATTGAGGAAGAGCAACTACATAATAACTCTACAGGAAGAACAAACTTAAGTAAAAACCTTCTAATTTGACAAATGATTCACCTGATTGTCAGGAAAGTGATGCATCTGGCATGTCTGTCTCTGTAGTAGTCCAGATATTTCCTGAACAAAAATAACCCAGTCTCAAAAATGCCTTTCTTTCTCATTCATACTCTGGGTCCCCAGAATATGCTTGCCAGTCACCTTCAGAGCTTTATTTAAATACAAATAAAGTAGACTGTGAAAACGACAACAAACCAGATACTGAACATGTTTTTAACTCAGACAAGGAAAATTTTTATAATGATACTGAAAGTACAAAAGCAAGAAACCCAGAAGTAGTTATGGATGAAATAAAAGAAGACAAATAGGTTGTGAGGCAAATGACAAAAAAACAAAACACCGCTAATTGGAAATTAAACATCGGACATATGCCTCAATTTAGTGATTCAAAAAGCCTTTTAGGTATGTGGCTTACCTGCTCCAAAGAAATGAAGCATGTGATTTAAAAAAAAAAAAAAAGATGATGGTGTTTCTGTTGTTACAAACAGTACAAAACCAATACAGAATGTGTTCCAGAAGCCGTTATGTGACAACTGTAGTGCAAATAAATATGAAAGCATAAAACTTGAATTAGAAAATGTGCATTATTCTCCACCACATGGTGACAGAACATCAGCAGTATGTCTAGAAGTGGAATTAAGTGATATATGCAAAGATTTAAGAATGAGGTAAGCATATTACAAGTAAAGTAGAGTTCCTGGCTTTGGAGAAAGTTCAACTTCCAAAAGACTTAGAGGGTCACTTGCTGCTACTCTGGTTTTTCTCTTCACCAATTATTTGATCCATTTGAATTTTTTTACTTATGAAAATCTCTTGTGTAAAATGGGGTAATCTAAATACCTAATTGTATGTATAAATAGATTGTTTTTGCAATTAAAATAACTCAAGCTCAGGAAGACATTCTCTTAATCTTTGTTCCTTAATTAACCCAAGTCTCTCTGTCAGTTTTCTAAATAGCACAGGAACTGGGAAACTAATTTATCCATAGACCATGTGGTCTTCTGAACTAGAGTCAACATAAAGGAAATTGCTTAAAAAAAAAGTACGGAACAGGTACCTGTGTTTGTGCTCATAGAAACAGATGGGCAATTCCCACTTCTGTACATTTTGTATATGCTATAAATATTTTGGGGACATTTTGAAACAGTGTTATTTATTTTGTAGGTGAAAAACCAAATACATTCTAGGGATGACCTTGATGACATAATTCAGTCATCTCAAACAGTCTCAGAGGACGGTGACTCGCTTTGCTGTAATTGTAAGAATGTCATATTACTCATTGATCAACATGAAATGAAGTGTAAAGGTAGGACCAATGCATAAATATAAGGCTTTTTAAAAATCCTATAGCAATGTATGCACACATTGCTTAACACTGTACCATAGAGTACTGATATGTTACAAGAATGTTCATCTCAGAAATATGCCTTATGTTAAAATAGAATGAAAGCAACTGTATCTTGTACCTTCTCAGCCAAAGAGCTATGATCATTTCACTGTACTTTTCTCAGTGTGAATGATACACACAGTGTGTTTGTTTACTCTGCTTCTCTTCTATGCCATTACCCATTTACCCATGGTCATGTTACCATTTCCTCCCACCTGAAATACTGTGATAACCCTCTAACTGTCTTTCCTACTATTCCACCTTCCAAAACCATGGCCTGTTCTGCAATCATAATTATATAGTTGTAAAAAATCACACCTGATCATGTTACCTGCTTGCTGAAAACCCAGCTGCCATTTATTGCTATAAGATATGGATCTCAGTCCTCGAGCTTTATACTGCATCATTGCATACCCTTCTCTGTGCCACAGCCAGTGCCTTAGGTGTTTGCTCCTACAATCAGTAGCTTTAGTGTGGTAAAATTGATATGCGATACAGTGCACACATGTAAAAGGTACCATTTGATAAGTTTTAACAGATGTATACACATGTGAAACTATTACCATCATCGAGATAGTCAACATATATCCATCACCCACTAACGTCTCCTCATGGCCCTTCATATTCCTGTTTTTAAAAGCTGCTAAATGGTTTTCCAAAATATTTGTACTATTTTCTATTCTCATCAGCAGTAAATGACCATTCCAGTTGCTATGTTGTCACACTACTGCTGTATTTATTTTTTTAAATTTTAGTTATTCTGATGGGTGTATTATGTATATTCTTATGGGTTTAATGTACATGATCCTAATGACTAAAATGTTGAGCATCTTTCCATGTGTTTATTTGCCATCTGTACATCTTCTTTGTTGAACTGTCTTTTCACATCTTTTGCATATAAAAAAGTAGGTTGATGTTTTCTTACGTGTTGAATTTTAATAATTCTGTATGTATTTGGATACTATTACTTTTAGCTACTTTTTTACAAGGGTATTTTTGCCAGTTTTTGGGTTGACTTTTCACTTGCTTTGTAGTATCTTTTGAAGAGCAGAAGATTTTAATCATAATGAAATCCAATTTAATTGTTGAATTACAGATTTTGCATTTTGTGTCATATGTAAAAATGTTTGCCTAGCACAAGGTCACAAAGATTGTTCCTGTGTTTGTTCTAGAAATTTTATAGATTTGGATCTTCCATTTAAATCTGTGCTCCATCTTGAGTTTCCTTTTGTCTATGGAGTGAGGTGAGGTATGGATTCAAGTTCACTTTTTGGATATGGACAGCCAATTGTTCCAACACCGCATGTTGAAAAGGCTATCCTTTCTCCACTGCATTGCCATCCTGCCTTTGTCAGTCATAAGCTGGTTGCTTATGTGTTATCTATTTCTGGACTGTCTGTTGAATTTTATTAATTTGCAGATGCTCCCCAAATTGTGGGAAACCCAGTGTTTGAGTCAAAAGCAAGTTAATACTTCAGTAAACCCACTGTAAAGTCAGTAAGTCAAACCACCTTAAGTTGGGGATTGTCTGAATTTGACTTTCTTTATACAGGTTGAGCATTGCTAATTTAAATATCCCAAATCTGAAATGCTCTAAAACCCCAGACTTTTTGATTGCCAACATAGACAGCACAGTGGAAAAATTCTACATCCGACCTCATGTATACAAACATTGTTTCATGCCCCAAATTATTAAAAGTATTATTTAAAATTACCTTCAGTCTTTGTGTACAAGGTAAATATGAAAAACAAATGTATTTTGTGTTTAGACTTGGGTCCTATCCCCAAGATATTTCATCATGTATATGCAAATATTCCAAAATCCAAAATCTGAAAAACTTCTAGTCTGAAGCATTTTGAATAAGGGATATTCAGCCTGTACCTGTGGCACACTGTTTTTGTTACTATTGATTTATAGTAATTCTTGAAATGAATCCTCCAATTTTGTTCTTTGTTCTGTTTTGACTATGCTAGATCCTTTGCATTTTCACATGAACTTTAGAATCAGCTTATCAATAAAATAAAGACTGCTCGCTTGTTGGAAATTAAGTTGGGATTGGGTCATATTTATAGATTAATTTGGGGAGAATTGACATCTTAACAATAGCGAATCTACTCCTCAATAAAGTGTATGTCTGCTTTTATAGAGGTAATATTTAATTTTCTCAGTAGTATTTTGTAGTTTTTAGTTTATAGGTCTTTTCATATTTTATCAGATTTATCTGTATTTCATTTTTGATGAAGTTGTAAATGATAGTTTAATTAGTGTAGATGTATTTGACTTTCTTTATACAGGTTGAGCATTGCTAATCCAAATATACACTTTTATAAAACTATAGAAAATGATAGTTTTAAAATTTTCATTTGATTGTTTATCGCTAGCATATAGAAATACAGTTAATTTTTCTGTATTGAATTTGTATCCTTCATTCTTGTTAAACTCACTTATTAGTTCTGGCACATTGTTGGTAGATTTGATCAGATTTTCTTCATAGACCAAAGGTTGTTAAACCTTTCTTTCTCAAACTACCCTCTTACTAAGGATAGTGAATATTTTAGGCTTGTGGCAAAAGGGTCTCTTTTGCAGCTGATAAACTCTGCCATTTTAGTATGAGAGCAGCCATAGATCATCCATAAATTAATGAACACAGCTGTGTTCCAATAAAAGCTTATCGGACAAGAAGCTGGCCCACAGGTTGGGGTTTACCCATACCTATTTTATGGTCATGGTTGTGTATAAAGACAATTTTATTTCTTTTTTTTAAACTTGGATGCCTCTTATTTCTTTTTCTTGCCTGACTGCATTAACTAGAATCTTCAGAACAATGCTACAAACAAGTAGTGAAAGCAGACATTCCCATGTTCTTCCTCATCTTATGGGAAATGCATTCAGTTTTTCACTATGATGCACGTTAGCTGTAGGTTCATCATAGACGTTGTTTATCATGCTGAAGAACTTCCCTTGGATTCTTATGTTACTGAGAGTGTTTCTTCTTTGAGACATCAGGAGTAAATTTTATCAGATGCCTGTGTCTGTTGGGATGATCCTATGGGTCTTCTCTTTCAGTTTGTTTTGTGGTAAATAATGATGATGTTTCAATGTTAAGCCAACCTTCCATTTCTGGAATAAACCCCATTTGTTTATGATGTATTACCTTTTCATTATACTGTCGGATACAGTTTACTAAAGTCTCATTTAGAATTTATTATAAAGACTTTTATTTTTTAGACCAGTTTTATGTTCCTGTCAAAATTGAGAGGGAGGTTCAGATATTTTTTTGTATACCCCCAATCCAATACATGTTTAGCCTCCTTCATTACCAGTATCCTTCACCATAGTGGTAGTTGCTATGATAGATGAGCCTAAATTGACACATCACAATCACCCCAAGCCCATAATTTGCATTGGGGTTCACTCTTGGTACTTTACATGTATGGATTTGGACAAATGTACAATGATGTGTATCCATGTTATATAAATTATTTTGACTTCCCTAAAAATCCTCTGTGCTCTGCCTATGTATCTTTTCCTGCTGTCTCTTACCCTTAGGCACCCTTTTACTTTATCCATAGTTTTGCCTCTTCCTGATCATATAGTTGGAACCATACAGTAAGTAGCCTTTTCAGATGAGCTTATGTCACTTGGTAATATGCATTTAAGGTTCCTTCACATATTTTCATGAATTGATTGCTCATTTCTTTATGTGTAGAGTGATATTCCACTGTATGGCTGTGTAACCACAGTTTATTCACTCCACTATGGGAGGATGTCTTCGTTGCATCACAAATTGGTTGAATTTTTACATTCGTGCTCATGAGGGAATTTTCTTGTTGGTAATATTTTCTGGTTTTGGTTCAGGGTAAAGCTAACATTACAGACTGAGTTGAGATATACTCCTTCTTTCTGTTTCTTTTGGGAGAGTTTATGTATAATTGTATTAATTTCTTCCAGAAATGTTTTGTAGAATCACCAGCATAGCCAGCTGGGTCTGGAGTTTTCTTTTAGGAAGGTTTTTAACTATAACTTAACTTTCTTCTATAGATATAGGGCAATTCACGTTATCTATTGCTTCTTGATTGAGATTTGCTAATTTTCATTTTTAAAGGAATTTGTTAATTTTATCTAAGTTGTCCTGTTTACTTACATAGAAATTATAATATCTTGTTATATTTTTAGTATCTGTAGAATCTATAATTATGTCACATTGTTTATTTCTGAAATTAGTAATTTGTATTGTTTCTTTTATTCTGAGCAGCCTGGCTAAATGGAGCTTTATCACATTTATTGATCTCCTCAAGGTGTTTTGTGTTGTTGATTTTTTTCTATTGTTTCTTCTGGAACCAACAGTATAACAAAATACCATAGACTGGTTCAAACAACAGAAGTTGATTTCTCGCAGTTGTGGGTTCAGCAAAGTCCAAGATCCAGATGCTGTCATGTTTGGTGTATGGTTAGGGAACACGTCCTAGTTCATGAATGCTTTTTCTCTGTGCCCTCACTTGGCAGAAGGGGTGAAGGAGATCTGGGGTCTGTTGTATAGAGCACTAAGCACTAATCCCATTCATTAGGGCTTCGCTCTCATGACCAACTACCTGTAAAAATCCCCCCTCCTAATACCGTCACATCTGTGATTGGCTTTCAGCATATAAATTTTGGGGAAGACAAACATTCAGACCACAGCAGATGTTTATTATTTCCTTTCCTCTGCTTGCTTTGGGTTTATGTCACTCTTCTTTTATCTAGTTGCTTAAGGTAGAAGTCAAAGTCATTGATTTAAGACTCTTCTAATGTAGACATTCAGCAGTGCTAAAAATTTGTATTCAAGTACAGCTGTAGCTGCATTCCACAAATTCTGGTTGATGAATTTTTATTCAGTTCAGAATATTTTCTATTTTCTATTTCTATTTTCATTACCTGTTTGACCCAGGGTTATTTAGATGTGTGTTACTTAGTTTCCAAATATTTGTGTATTTCCCAGAGTTATTTTTGTTATCGGTCTTTAATCTGATTGATTTGTGGTCAGGGCACATACTTTGTATGAGTTAAATCCTTCTGACTCAATCCTTTAATTGAGAGTTGTTGTATGGCCTAAAATATGGTCTATTTTGGTAAGTGTTCCGTGGGTACTTGGAAAGCATAGTGTTGTTCAAGTCTATTCTCGCTGATTTTCTGCCTTCTTGTTCTATCACTTATTGAGTAAAGGGTATTGAAACCTCAGATTACCTAGAAATTGTCTGTCACTTTTTGTAGTTCTATCCACTTTGGTCTCATATATTGTGAGGCTGGTTTGTTATTAGGGGCATAAAGACTGAGGATTGTTATGTTTTGTTGATTAACTGAACCTTTTACTATTGTGACATGACCTTTGTTATTTATTGCTGGAATGTTTTTTTTTTTTTGCTATGAAATCTACTTTGGTATTAATACAGCCACACCTGCTCAGCTGCCTTTGCCAACTGTTAGCATGTATCTTTTTCCATCCTTACAACCAATTTGTGTCTTTACATTTAAAGTGCATTTCTTATAGGCAGCCTGTAGTTGGGTCTTGCTTTCTTGCTGAGCCTGACAGTCTGTATTATAGTTGAGGTTCTTAGACAAGTGTCATTTGTAATGTGATTACTGATATAGTTATGTTTGTCTGGTAGCTGTGTGATTGCTATTAGTCCCAACTGTTCTCTGTTCCCCTTCTTTTCCTGCTTTCCTTTAGATTAGTCAACTGTTTTTTATGATTCAATTTTATATATATTTTTGGGTTTATTAGCGATAACTGTTTTGCTATCTTAGTGTTTAGGATTTTTAGTATATAATTTTAACTTATCACAGTTCACCTTCAGTAATATTATACATCCTAGATGGTATAAAAAATGACAATGATACATTTTCATTTTTTTCTGTCCCAGACACTTCCTTCCTGAATCTGTGGGATTATGGTTTGTGTTAAGGTTAGAATATTTTTGGTCATTTTTTCTTTAATTTTTTTTCTGTCTCTTCTTTTTTATTTGAGGAGTTATCTATTAGCTGCTTGAAAGTTTCTTGCAGTTTATCGTGTCAAATTTAGGAATTTTTCCTTTGTTATCTCTAATTTGTGTTTATTTCCATCCACTATAGTTTTTACTTATGACAATGTAATTTGTGTCTCTACAAGTATGGTTTGTGTTTTTTTAAAAAAAAACCTTCCCTGCCTCCACTTATTATCTTGAGTTTTATTTGGAGTACAGAGATTTACTTATAATCTTTCCATTCTTGCTTTTAGATTTGGGGTAATTCCTCACTCCTGAGGCAAGACCTTTCGGAGTATTCATTGTCCTGTGAAGTATGCGGTATTTTGGCCTGGCTCATGGGAATGGACCCTCTTCCAGTCATTGTGTGAACCCCAGACATCGTTTCTGCTAATTTTCTTTAACTGTTGTTTTTTTTTATTTTATTTTTCATTGTTCTTAGGAAGTTTCCTAGTACACAAGCACTTTTCATTACTCCACTAAATACCCAAGAGGGAATCTCTGCACATCTCCAGGATTTGTTTCCTGTACTGCTTTTTTCTCTCCAGTTTTCTGTCCTGTGATCTCTATCTGCTTTGGTTTTACTGGCCTCTCAGCGTCATCACCCCAGCTCTATGTCAGATTTTCTCCCTTTGTGATGGCCTCGAACCTCCGTCAAAACTCTGTCAAAAGAGCTGGGATATTTGTAAGGCCTGCTGTATTTGTTTTCTGTCTTTCAGTGATCACCTACCATCTTCATTGCCTGAAGTCCACTGTGTTGAAAATCAGTTTAATGTATTGTGTCTGTTTTGTTTTTTATTCATTCAGATAAGATGAAAAATCAGTATCTGTTACTCCATCAGAGCTAGTAACAGATTGCAGCAGAGCTTCAGCACAGCACATGCTGCAAACTAGCCAGAGTGCTTTGCTTTCTTCTTTGCTTAACTGCTTCTTTCTCATCCTTCATTTCTCAGTGTAGCATCTCTTCCTCAGGGAAATCTTCCCTGGGTGAAGTATAGATCAAATTATCTTATGCAATCACATAACTATGTTTTTTTTTTTTTTTTTTTTTTTTTTTTTTTTTTTTACAGGACCTATCTGAGTTTATAACTGTCACCTTTTTATCTTGGTTCTTCACTATACTTTAAGCTAAAACAATAGCAGAGGTGTTGTCTTATCTGCAGACCTTACTATAATATCTTCCACCTTGTAGGCACTCAATATGTACATACTTGTTCAACGTATGAATGAATACATGTTAAAAATGCACAGTCCTTTATATCCAAAAATCTACTCATGTATTTTATCTCTACTTTGTTTTTTCCTGGTTACAGATTGTGTTCACCTATTGAAAATTAAAAATACATTTTGTTTATGGAAAAGATTAATAAAACTTAAAGATAACCACTGTGAGCAACTTAGAGTAAAAATTCGAAAACTGAAAAATAAGGCTAGTGTACTACAAAAGAGAATATCTGAAAAAGAAGAAATAAAATCGCAGTTAAAGCATGAAATACTTGAATTGGAAAAAGAACTCTGTAGTTTGAGGTATGACCTAGTTTTAAATAAATGTTTGAACTGTTTGTTTTATATTAAAGACGTATAAGGAGAAGTTTTGTAATTGCGAACTTTCCTTCTAGGATTTAACAGGGAAGAAAGCTTCTTAATCTTATGGAGTGTGAAATTATTGGATATAATATCACAAGTTCTTAATTGTGAATACTTCTCTAATAATTAAATGCATATTCTTTTAAATCATAGTTTTAATGGCTGTATAGAATTTTACCTTTTGGAAATCTCATTATTTAATTGATGAATTGAATTTCAGGTTTTAAAAAGTTTTTGTAATAATGCTACAAGGAACATCTTTTATATACACATAGTTTTCTACATTTCTAATTATTTACATTGGATAAATTCTTCTGGTTAAAGTATAGAAACTTTTTTAGATCTGTTTTAGATCTGTGATCAATATTTCTAAATTGTTCTTAAGGATGTTCATATTAATTTATAATTCAACCAACAGAGTATAAAACAGATATTTTTCTTTACCCAGAATAATTATTTTAAAAATTATCAGCCGGGTGCAGTGGCTCATGCCTGTAATCCCAGCACTTTGGTAGGCCGAGGTGGGCAGATCACGAGGTCAGGAGTTCGAGACCAGTCTGCCCAACACAGTGAAATGCTATCTCTACTAAAAATACAAAAAATTAGCCAGGTATGGTGGTTGTACCTGTAATCCCAGCTACGCAGGAGGCTGAGGCAGGAGAATCGCATGAAACTGGGAGGCAGAGGTTGCAGTGAGCAGAGATTGCACCAGTGCACTCCAGCCCAGTGATAGTAGGAGACTCCCTCTCAAAAAAAAAAAAAAAAATGTATCCAGTTTTATTCTTAATATGCAGGGAATGAAAAGTAAAATGTAAAGTGATTACTGATTAGCTTATTCAACATCTCTCTGCTATGTAGATAAAATTAATTCAGTTTTATGCTGAAGACATGTATTATTCTTTATTGTTTAATTAAATATTAGATCTTGTGTTGTTCCAAAACAGATTTTACAATTGGTTATAAAGTACATACTAATCAGCAGGATAGACTGAAAGTGTTACCCAAAAAACAATCTGAAAAAGTGTAGGGTAACATATTACCTTCTTAACCTAGTCTTGGATTACAGTAATCTGCTGATATATGTTTCATAAAGACATCGAAAATGCTATCTTGCAATGTAAATTATGTTTAGGGATACTTGCAATGAATGTTTCATGAAGATGAAAATGTATTTCTAGTGAATGTACCAACTTGTTTATAAAAAGTAACTTTATGTTAATTAACTCTAAATGATTCATCCTAATTGAGGAGTAATTACTGTGAAGAAAAGATAATTTTTATCTTGTAACTTTACTGAATAATTTTCAACGTCCTTTTTCATAATATTTGCTAGAGTTACTAGTAATAGAAACTTATGCAGGATGTTCTTTTATCAATACATTTCAACTTATACATGCCCTTTGGATGAGATTGAGGTGAGAAATTAAAAACATGAGAACTAGAAAGAAAAATAGTATTTAAGAACATAGAAACTTTATTAGGATAATAAACCAACATATGAATGTTTTATTTTCTAATATCAACAAAGAGAGTCAAACTCTGTAAGATATTTGAAGAGATTTATTCTGAGCCAAATATGAGTGACCGTGGCCCCCGACACAGCCCTCAGGAGGTCCTGAGAACATGTGCCCGAGGTGGTCGGGGTGCAGCTTGGTTTTATACATTTTAGAGAAGCATGAGACAGCAATCAAATACATGTAAGAAATACATTGGTTTGGTTCAGAAAGGCAGGCCAACTCAAAGCTGGGGCTTCCAGGCTGTAGGTAAATTTAAACATTTTCTGGTTGACAATTGCTTGAGTTTATTTGAAGACCTGGGATTAATGGAAAGAAATGTTCAGGTTAAGATAAATGATTGTGGGGACCAAGTTTTACTGTGCAGAGGAATCTCTCAGCAGACTTCAGAGAGAGCAGATTGTAAAATGTTTCTTATCGGACCCAAAAGGGTGCCTGGCTCTCAGCTGAATATCCCCTGGATCTGCATAGAAAGGAAGGAAAACAAAGGGGAAAGGGGGTTCTCTATAGAATGTGGATTTTTCCCACAAGAGACTTTGCAGGGCAATTTCAAGGCATGGCAAGGAAATATATTTTGGATTAAATATTTTCTTCCTTGTCTCGTAAGGTTATGCCAGAGTCAGATTGAAAAGCAAGTCACAATATACAGGGTCAAATAAAACCCATCTGATGAGAATCCATGGTTTGTAGGGCACGACTCCCTGGACCCCTTAGGTAGGAATTTGGGCAAGATAAAAAATTAGAGCTTAGTCCTCACTGATAAGATAAATTCTAAGATAAGTATATTTACAGATTTGCCATACAGCAAGAAAAAAAGAAAAGAAGAAATGTTGAAGAGGTGCACCAAAAAGTTAGGGAAAAGTTAAGAATAACAGAAGAGCAATATAGGATAGAAGCTGATGTGACAAAACCAATTAAACCGGCTCTCAAATCAGCAGAGGTGGAATTGAAGACAGGAGGAAATAATTCAAATCAGGTAAATTAATGTTTGGTAAAACTTCATATTTCTACTCTTATTAATATTACTTATACCATCTCTTTCATTTAACGTATATTATTTAGGCCTGAACAATCCCCAAATTTTATTTCATCTTAAAAATGAATCATGGCATTTATAGCTATAATTATTTATAATAAACCTTGAAATATTTTATTTTAGTTCAAAGGCCTTTTGAAAACAATGCTATTCTACAATATATACTTAATGATATTGTAAGTATTTTGTTCCTAGTGACATAGTTCAGCATATTTCCCCTATTTCATGTTAATTACATTTCAAATGTTATGGAAAAGGAATAAAAGTTATCACAATAGCAAATAATGTCATGATTTTCTAAGAAGAGTTTTATAGATCTAATTTTCTTGACTTTTGGTGTCTTGAAATAAAAGATTATTTTTGTATGTATATATCTACCTCACAGAAGTTACTGATTTGGTGGAAGAGCACTAGGAATAGAGTCAGAAAAGCTGGGAAAAATCCTGCAGCTTGCTTATATTTTTAACCTTTTGCTATAGAATTATAACTAAATGAGTTCATTGATTTGTGCACGTAAAAGTGCTTAGTATAATGCCTAGCTTTATCATTTATCAATAAATGTCATTCTTAAAACTGACCATAACAATATTAGAAAAGTAGAATATCTATACAATATTTTAGAAAAAGGGAACTTAAAGAATTTGGAAAATGTCATTCATCTGTCCAAATATCTGCCAAGCTAAGGCTCTCACTATAGGGAGAGGTATAGTTTAGATGTTAGAGTGTAAACCCAATTTTTTAATGTGGTCATAGTTATTAATTCTTTATGCCTTGCAATTTGTTGTAATTCAGTAAAAGCCTTTTTTTATCCTGAAATTTAAAAAAATTATCTAGTGGCTTCTTTTTTGCTTTCATGGATTCACTGTCTTCAAATAAACTTTTGAACTTTGGGGAATTTATGCTGTATGAGGTTTGAGGTTTTGACTTAACTTCTTTTTTCCCAGTTAGATATCCAGTTATGGCAACCTCTCATTGTATAAATGTACAGGTTATTATTTAATTTCAGAAGCAATCACAATATGTTATCCTATTGGATACTAGTTACAAGTTTGCTTTGTTTTACTTAGGTTTCTGAAACTGATGAAAAAGAAGACCTGCTGCATGAAAACCGCTTGATGCAAGATGAAATTGCCAGGCTCAGGCTGGAAAAAGACACAATAAAAAACCAAAACCTGGAAAAGAAATACTTAAAAGACTTTGAAATTGTGAAAAGAAAGCATGAAGACCTTCAAAAGGCTCTAAAACGGAATGGGGAAACATTAGCAAAAACGATAGCCTGTTATAGTGGACAGCTTGCTGCTCTGACAGATGAAAACACAACGCTCCGTTCCAAACTGGAGAAGCAAAGAGAGAGCAGGCAAAGACTGGAAACAGAAATGCAATCATACCATTGTAGACTGAATGCTGCTCGATGTGATCATGATCAAAGTCACTCATCAAAAAGAGACCAAGAGCTTGCTTTCCAGGGCACAGTAGATAAATGTCGTCACTTACAGGAAAATTTGAATTCTCATGTTCTGATTCTTTCTCTGCAACTTTCTAAAGCTGAGAGTAAGTCCAGAGTCCTCAAAACTGAGCTCCATTACACAGGAGAGGCTCTGAAAGAAAAGGCTTTGGTTTTTGAACACGTGCAAAGTGAGCTAAAGCAAAAACAGAGTCAAATGAAGGACATTGAAAAAATGTACAAAAGTGGATACAATACAATGGAAAAATGCATAGAAAAACAGGAAAGATTTTGTCAACTAAAAAAACAAAATATGTTGCTTCAACAGCAACTGGATGATGCTCGCAACAAAGCTGACAATCAAGAAAAAGCAATACTTAATATTCAAGCCAGATGTGATGCTAGAGTACAAAACCTTCAAGCTGAGTGCAGAAAGCACCGTCTTTTACTAGAAGAAGACAATAAAATGTTGGTCAATGAACTGAATCATTCGAAAGAAAAAGAATGCCAATATGAAAAAGAGAAAGCAGAAAGAGAAGTAAGTATCAAGAAAAATAAGTATTTTTCAAACTTCCTGAAGTAAAATTTAAAGTAATATTTGGTTACAGCTGAATGTTGGATCTAGTTGAATATAAAAAAGGATACATATGATAAATATATCTGCTTAGAAACATTCCTTGTCTCCAGCAAGTCAAAGTTAGAACTGAGAGATGCTTTCCTCTGATTAAAGTCAATGTGTCACTTATAAAATTTTAAGTTATAAAATGTTAACATAGACTAACATTAATAATGTAGTCTTATACTGCTGAAGTAATAATTTTAATGTATTTATGTTGCAACATTTTAAGACCATGATAAATCAGGTATATGGAAATGCTCATACCTAAAATGGTATTTTGAAATTGATTCAATTAAGTGGGGTACTTTGACAGTGAATTTCAGATTTCCTAGATGAACTGAAGTGTATTCCCTATTTCATAATTACTTTTCTTCAGTAGCTTTAAATATGTCTTAGTTGGTAAAATTTTGTTTTTCTTCATGTCAATTTGACTTAAATCTGAAACTATTTCAATCTCAAATTATGTATAGATATGACCATTCTATTCTTTCAAGGCATCTAATTTTACTTCTATTATAATATGGGGCAAATGCAGTAAATTTTAGCCAAATCATGTTTGATTTAATCTTCCCACTGGCATTTATAATTTACTTTCAGTTTTTAAATAAAAAATTTGTTCATAATTTTTATTTCAAGGCTCAATTACTATCATTTGGATATAACTTTGTCCAGGACAAAGAGAGGCATAGCTATCTGTGATTTATTAGTTTGACACTGGATCCCCATTTTCAGACTAAGGAGGATTTCAGACTAACGAGGAGTGGCAGGATTCACGTAGAGTAGGAATGGAGTGAGTACGGAGGAGAGATATAGCAGCTGAGTCAGGGCGGGAGGTGGAGGGCGGGTTACTTAGAGCATCTAAGGCCACTGGAATTTTACTTTTCTTCTGAGATAGACATCTATTGGAAGGATTTAAGCAGATGATTTAATGTGAGGAACTCTGAGGTTGATTTGAGTTTCTAATTTAAAAAAAGAGGGAAATCATTCCACAATGTATAATTTACTACCATCAGTCTCACCCACATACTCATTTCTTTTTGAGACTTCAGAAGGTTTTTAAGCATTGCAGATTCATCAAGGGAGGAATGACTAGTGGGCTGAATATGTTGTGTGAATAACAATACCAGTTTGGCAGGAAGATAACACCTTCTGTATCCTTAACTGGATTCAGTAATACACAGGAATGTGTACACATGAGGAAAAGAAGGTGAATCGGTCTGTGTGGTGATATTTTTCAAAGAGTATGCTTTAGAGTTAAATATTATTAATGGTTTAATAATAAGGTGATTTGTAAAATCAGTAACAAAAATAACATCTTATCAGGTAGCTGTGAGACAGCTTCAACAAAAACGAGATGATGTCTTAAACAAAGGATCAGCAACAAAAGCTCTGCTGGATGCTTCATCGCGTCACTGCACCTATTTAGAAAATGGGATGCAGGATTCAAGGAAGAAATTAGACCAGATGAGAAGTCAAGTATGTATGCAACTTTGCACACCAACAACTGTTAATCTGTAGCTAGTTAACTAATATAAAGTGTTTTGGGGTACTAATTTTAGTGGATGGCTTTCTTTTGTATTTTTATGATAATTAATGTTATTAAAATTTTATAGTGGATGGCTTTCTTCTGTATTTTCCTTATTATTAATTTTATTAAGATTTTATTATAATGCACCTATATCTTAATCTCTGGCTTTCATTCTGCCATTTTTTATACATATATTTTTTTCTTAAATATTTAACCTTAGGAAAGTTGAGAATTATGCATCATTTCTCACAGAAGTTGAGAGAGTTTTTTTTTCCTGTTAAACAGTCTATTTTTAATGATTTCTCTATTGGCATGGTGAGGCAAGCCAGGTTAATTCAGAGGATAATGTCTAATGGAATGTTTCAGAAAATTATCTTCTTTTTAGTCTCTACTTTTCTGAATGTATAAAGAACCTGTGTATACTTATTTCTTAGATTTCAGGTTAACTTGTTCAGAAAGGCCATTTTACTGAATAAATTTTTATTTCGATGAAAATCCTTACTTCCTTTGTATTGGGCTCAGAGAGCACACTCTGTCTCTATATGAATATGGACAGTTAGCATTTGCCAACATGTATCTATTTTCTCTTATTTGTAGAGAAAGCTAAACTAAAAAGGGGGTTATAGAAGGTCAGCAAAGGATGGGTTTGAGATGTTTGGGTTGGTTAAGTGGGCATTTAGACAACAGGGCTTCTCCTTTGGCATGTTTAATGGACATCTTTGCAGTTTAAGATGACGCTTTTAAATCACTTCTCTCCTAATGATGACCTGAGTCCTGCTATTCAATGGGAGAGTCAATAAGATCCTGTAGGATCTTATTTGGAACTGACTTTGTCGATTTTAATTTTGTTCCTGCTTGTTTTTAAATTTTCTTGTTGTTTCCCTAGAAAGGAAAGATGATGCTTAGTTTTAAATATTTAAAAATGTGCAAGTTGCTTTGCTATAATAAAACTAAATGCATACATACAAAAAATAAAATTATAGTTGATGTGGTAGTGTTTGGAATTCAAAATATAAATGCTTAGCGTGAGGTAATCCTTTATCTTTCCACATTTTACCAGTTTGTAAGTTTGAGTATTTAATTGATAAAATGTAATTCAAAAGCAAGAAGAATGTTGTGTTTTAGTCCTAGAGCAGGGGTCTGTGAACTTTTCTGTAAAGGGCCAGATAGTGTTATGTAAGGCTTTGTGAGCCATAAGATCCTTGTTGCAATAACTCGGCCCTGCAATTACAGCACAAAAGTAGCCATGAACAATATGCAGACTGAAGGGGTGTAGCAGTGTCCCACTAAAATTACTTACAAAAAACAGGTAATGGGATGATTTCTCCTAGATTATGACCTTTTATAAATAAAAAAGATTGTGATAGTCTAAAATATTTCATATATATTTTGTTGATTCATTCATCTACTGATGGACATTTAGGTCATTTCCAAATGTAATTTTTTAAAATTCTTTGTTTCAGTTTCAAGAAATACAGGATCAACTTACAGCTACTATAAGATGTACTAAGGAGATGGAAGGCGACACACAAAAGTAAAATTTGAAGCAGCACACAAAATAACTTGAGTATTTATAAAGCAAAAGAGCACTGTAGTATGAAAATTGTATCAGTTATGATAATTAGTATGTCTTTGTGAAGCCAAAAAAGTTTCATTTGTAAGCTATATCGAAATACATCATTTTTCTACATTATTCCTAAATTTTGCATATTATCACCAAAACACAGGTAGAAAATGACACAGTAGCCCAATCGTCTACTTTTGTGATTGCTAAGAATTTGTGTAATTATACCTTCAGAAGTTTGTTTAGAATTTACATGATTTAAAAAAAATTACGTGTGAGAGTAATTATTTTAAAATGCACATTTTAGGCTTGAAGTAGAACATGTGATGATGAGAAAAATTATTAAAAAACAGGATGACCAAATTGAGCGGCTTGAGAAAATCCTGCAGCATTCAAGTTTGGTAAGCTGATCTCTTAATTTCTGTCATACTGAAAAGGAATTTTATTTTTCCAGTAGGATGGGTTAAATATCCCTTGTCCAAAATGCTTGGGACCAAAAGTAGATTTTTTTCAGATTTTGGAATATTTGTATATACCTAATGAAATATCTTGCGGATGGTACCTGAGTCTAAACATGAAATTCATTTGTGTTTCATATATACCTTATGCACATAGCCTGAAGGTAATTCTCTACAATGTTTTACAGTAATTTTTTGCAGGTAAGAAAGTTTTTACTGTTTTCCCCAGAGCCTGTCACATGAGGTCAGGTGTGGAACGTTGCAGTTGTGGTGTCATGTCCGTGCTCAAAAAGTTTCAGATTGTAGAGCATTTTGGATTTCAGATTTTTAGATTAGGGATGATCAATCTACAGTACAGATGCTCCTTGACTTACAGTGGGTTTACATGATAATGTCTCTTGTTTGACTGAAACATTATAAGTAATATTTGATTTATTTCAGATGCTGCAGGTGTTTGAGAGCTAGATGAAGGTATGTTGCCAAAATTTATGAATTAAATTCAAATCATTGATTTCTGAAATAAACTCTAAGTAGTGAACGGTATTCCCTCTCAATTGCTTGGTTAATAAATGCTACATTAAATATTTTTTCTTACACACATCTAGTGAAAGATGTGAAAACATAAACATTCATAGTGAAGGGTATACTTATGCTTTGTTAATTCATCATGTTTCATAGCTTTAAAAAAATCGCAAGAAATCTGTGTATCCCTTTTTTTCTGGCCCTACACTTTTCTTCTGCCACCCCTATAGACTATCAGCCTGCACACTGAAACTGTTCTCACAAAACAAAGGCATTATCAACTTCTCAAGGTTAAGGTAGTGATTTAAGGCTAACAGACCCCACACTCATGTGATAATAATTAGTTAAGCAATTACAGGTCACAAGCAGTCACTTGACCAGTGACATTTTAAATCTCTAGTCATTGACTTTGTCATTGGTTTACTTTTGCCCCTGGGAAAAGTTGAAAATTCCTTAGCATGGAATCAAAACTCTCACATCAGTGTGGTTCTTGTCAAGTTATTCAGCCTTATCTTTCGCCACTTACCATACTCTACACCTTTGTTCTAGCATCCAGCCAAACTAGACTACATGGAGCTCCACAGTGATCGTCTTCACCTCCAGCTGTTTGCATTTACTTCTTCCCTCTATCCTACATGTGTTTTCCTTCCCCTTCAGATATCAACCTATGAATTGCCTCTACCAAAAAGCCTACAATATTGACACAAACCTGGGCTAGTATCCCTTCTATGTCTTCCAATAAGTGCTGTCTTATGCTTGTCATTGTATGTATGACTCTGTATGGGAATTGCCTGTTTGTTTTTTCAGATTATAGCATACAGTTGTTGAGGGGCGGACCGTATCATCTTTATCTTGTAATTCCAGTGCTTGTCCTAGTACCTTAGCACATGGTTGCTGAATACATGAACGAAGAGTGAGAAACCAGAAGCTCTGATACTTAACTGCCATGATAATGAATTCGGTGTGCAACTATGGGCAAATTATATTTAATAGTAATTGCATATTGTACATATTTTTCATTCTTATTAACACTGATAAGCTTTTCAGCATATACTGACTTTCTCTTAGTTAACTGTGAAATCATTTAGATAAAGAATATAATTCTTTTTCATTCTAACTTCTGAATTTAAATCTGAATCCTCTATAGCAGGGGTCCCCAACTCCCAGGCCACACACAGTTCCATGACCTGTTAGGAAGCAGGCTGCACAGCAGGAGGTGAGTGGCAGGCAAGCGAGTGAAGCTTCATCTGTATTTCCAGCCACTCCCTGTTGCTCACATTATCACCTGAGCTCTGCCTCCTGTCAGATCAGCAAAGCCATTAGATTCTCACAGGAGTGAAAATCCTACTGTGAACTGCTCGTTCAAGGGATCTAGGTCACATGCTCCTTATGAGACTCTAATGCCTGATGATATGTCATTGTCTCCTATCTCTTCACGATGGGACCATCTAGTTACAGAAAAACAAGCTCAGGACTCCCATTGATTCTCCATTATGATGAGTTGTGTAATTATTTCATTATGTATTACAATGTAGTCATAATAGGAATAAAGTGCACAATAGATGTAATACGCTTGAATCACCATCCTGAAACCATCCCCCAAACCCCCATCTGTGGAAAAATTATCTTTCACAAAACTGCTGCCTGGTGCCAAAAAGGCTGGGGACTGCTGCTCTATAGCTTCTGCACTAGAATCTACTAATGAGTAAAATTTAAATCAATAACTAGTTTTAAAAGCATAACAAGAATATGTGCTGTCTGGCTGCAGTGGCTCATGCCTGTATTCTCAGCACTTTGGGAGGCCAGTGCAGGTGGATCACTTGAGGTCAGGAGTTCAAGACCAGCCTGGCCAATATGGTGAAATCCTGTCTCTACTAAAAATACAAAAATTAGCTGGGTGTGGTGGTGCATGCCTGTAGTCTCAGCTACTCGGGAGGCTGAGGTGGGAGAATCACTTGAACCCGGGAGGCAGAGGTTTCAGTGAGCCAAGATCGTGCCACTGCACTCCAGCCTGAGCAACAGAGTGACTCCATCTCAAATGCAAAACAAAACAGAAAGAATACATGCTGACGAAAAAAATCTAAGACAATAAAATTGTATTACTAGGCTGTTAACATGATATTTTGTTTCCCGTTAAATGTGTGACATGCAAAAGTATTTATTAAATGAAAATATTTTTTATCTTTTATGTCTGATGAAAATTTATATCGTGTTTTAAATGATGTTTCTTGGCCTCTTTAACTTTTTATTTTTTTATTATTTTTTTTTTGAGACGGAGTCTGGCTCTGTCACCCAGGCTGCAGTGCAGTGGCGAGATCTTGGCTCACTGCAAGCTCCGCCTTCTGGGTTCACGCGGTTCTCCTGCCTCAACCTCCCGAGTAGCTGCGACTACAGGTGCCCAGCTAGTTTTTTTTTGTATTTTTAGTAGAGATGGAGTTTCTCCCTGTTAGCCAGGATGGTCTCCATCTCCTGACCTTGTGATCTGCCCACCTCGGCCACCCAAAGTGCTGGGATTACAGGTGTGAGCCACTGCACCGAGCCTGAAAATCTTACTACCTAAATAACTTCCCACTCCACTCACACCCACAATCTTTCTATAATCCACATTCTCTCCTGAGACAAGAGCTTGGGAAGTTCCGTCTTGCTGAGGGAACTTTATATTGTTCAGGAATTCTTTAATAAGGTTTTACATAGTTGGGGAAACCAGGGAAAAGCAGGTTTGTCACTGCTTTGCTGAGGAGCAGACTCACGTGCCTTGGAAGAATTTAGTAAACCTTCAATAGATGGCCTAAGATACTAACAGGGGCCATCTCATTAAGCTACACAGTTATTTATAAATGAAAGTATAATCTAGAACTTACATGTCAAAGTCTTCCACTAGAAAGATGGCAATATTTGACTAAAACTGCAAAGTTTGTCCCAGTTGACAAAACTCTAATCAAGCCCCTGCCCTTCTCATTCTGTTTTTCCTTTTAAACTTTTTCTTATATTTTAATTTTTCATTTGACAAATGCATATTTCCTCTTTATACCATGCTTCCAAGTGTCACTCTGATACATACCTTCAATGAGCAGACACAGGATTGTGGAGTTTGTTGTGGACACTCATCCCATGAATAGGGAGACTCCGATAACCTGAACAGACGGCTCTAGAAAAGAAAGGAAACTTTCTTTTCCTTCCATACAGAGCTTCCCCCCATTATTTCAGTGTACACAAACCAACATCAGTTCTTTAACACAAAAATAAAAATACTCAAGATCAAGCAATTGTGAGGGGAATCATCTTTCCAGAAGTCAATTCTTCTAGCGGCTACCTTCAGCATATACAACTTGAATAAAAAGAAGTTGGTCAAACGAGTAAAACTTTCCCACCTCATTCCAGTTCTATCTACCCATTGACAACACCTTCGGTCTTCTCACAAATATTGAGTAGAAACACTGCCAACTCTTCACCTTTATCTGGCTCATTCCCAGAGCCAGGAGAAGATGTGACTTATTTGGTGGATGGGAAATCTTATCCATTGGTCCCATCAAATCCATTGGTCCACGTTTGCCTATTAGTAAGGCAAACTTACTCAGTGATCAATGAGTACATCTAGTCTCTCTTTCTCCTCTGGATTCTGAACAGGAGACTTGGAAGGCAGGTGAAGACCCTCCCTGCACTGGGTGGGTAACTGACTGTTCTTCAGATGAACTTTTTTTTGTTCAGGTTCTAAAGTCAAGGCTAGGGGGCAATATTAGAAGTCTTTTTTGGTCAACATTAAGCCATAGTTTCTAAATCAGCTTTAGGAGGAATAATGTATTTGGATATTGATCTGACCTTTTGTTTTTATTTCTAAGTTGGTTTGGCACTGAAAAAGGAGAGGTTTGTTATCAGTCCACACCCCTAATGCCCTGACATCCATGAATCCGTTTTAGTGGAATCCAGATCTCTAAGAAAGAGATATAAAATATTTGTTCCTATCCAACTGTGATTACTGTATTTCCAACTATGTTGCTGTCGGTAAGTAGAGTCTGCATACATGTTTCTGGTTCATATATGCCTAGGGTTCCAGAGCATTACATTTCCATCAAAATGTAGATCCCGAGAATGCCAGAGAGGGTCAGGCCGAGGATAGAACAGACAGTGATTTTCAGATACTGCAGTAGGAAGGTGGATCCATGTCTTGGCTGGTACTTGTAACCATGAAGTGTGGGAAAGTAATGACCAGATTGAGTAAATGACCAGAAATTCAAAACTAAGCCACAAGAAATTTGTCTATTTCTGCTTTTGTTGACTGCTATCAGGGTTGCATCAAAAACAGTATTGCTGAGACCAGTGTTGTGGAGCTTTAACTCTATGTTTTCTTCTAGTAATTTTACAGTTCAGGCCTTCTATTTAAATCTTCATTTGGAGTTGATATTAGTATGTGGTGTAAGTTAAGGGACTAACTTTATTTTTCCTGTGGATATTCAGTTTTCTCAACACCATTTGTAGAACAGACTATCCTTTAACCATTGTATGTCCTTGGCACCTTTGTCAAAGATAAGTTGACGTGTGTGGATTTATTTCTGGGTTTTCCATTTTGTTTAGCAAATTTGTCCATTTATATGCCACTACCATGATTACAATTGTTTTACAATATGTAATAAAATTAGGTAGCATGCTGTCTCTAGCTTTGTTCTTTTTGCTCAAGATTATTTTGTCTATTTTAGGTCTGTTCAATACAAATGTCAAGATTTTTTTCCATTTCTGTAAAAGAATGGCATTGGAATTTTGATAGTGATTGCATCAAATATGTTGCTTTTGGTATTTTGTTCATTTTCACAATATTAATTCATCCCATCCACAAGCATGAATTTTTTTTTCATTTACTTGTGTTTTTAAATTTTTGTTCATTGGTGTTTTATAGTTTTTCATATACAGGACCTTTAATTTTTTGCTTAAATTTACACCTAAGTATTTAATTTCTGTTGCTATCATACTTGGGATTTTTAAAAAATTTCTTCAGGTAGTTTGTTATTTGTATACAGAAACACTTCTGATCTTTGTTAGATTATTTTGTATCCTGAAACCTTATCGAATTCATGCATCAGTTCTAACAGTTTTTGGTGGAATATTTAGGGTTTTCTGTATACAGGATCATGTTGTCTGCAATTAGAGATAATTTCACTTTTTTCTGAGTAGGATGCTTTTCTTTTCTTGTCTAATTGTTCTGCCTAGGAATTCCACTGTTAACGATGAAAAGAAGTGGTGAGACTGGTCATCCTTGTCTTGTCTCTGAACATGGAGGAAAAGCTTTCCACTTTTCACTGTTGAGAATAATGTTAGCTAAGAGCTTGTCATACACGGTTCTTTTTTGTGTCGAGATACATTTTCTCTACACTTAATTTGTTGAGAGCTTTCATCATGAAAGGGTTTTAAATTTTGTCATGTGCTTTTTCTGCATGTATTGAGAGAATCGTATGATTTTTGTCTTTGACTTTGTTCATGCATTTTATCACATGTATTCATATGCATATGTTGAAACCAACTTGCATCCAAAGGATAAATCCCACTTTATCATGGTGAATGATTCCATTCATATATTCTTAAATTTGGTTGCTAATGTTTTGTTGAAGATTTTTGAATCAGGGTTCGTTACTGACATTGGCCTAGTATTTTCGTCTCTTGTAGTGTCCTTGTCTGTCTTTGGTATCGGAATGATGGTACCCTAATAAAATGAGTTTGGAAGTATTTCCTCTATTTCACTTTTTTGAAAGAGTTTGAGAGTAATTAGTATTAGTTCTTTAAAGGTTTGTCAGAATTTAGCAGTGAAGCCTTCTGGTCCTATGCTTTTCTTTCATGGGAGGCTTTTAATTTCTGCTTCAGGCCAGGCTTGGTGGCTCACACCTGTAATCCTAGCACTTTGGGAGGCTGAGGTGGGTGGATTGCTTGAGGTCTGGAGTTCGAGACCAGCCTAGCCAAAGTAGTGAAACCCTGTCTCTACTAAAAATACAAAAAATCAGATGGGTGTGGTGGTGGGCGCCTGTAATCCCAGCTACTTGGAAGGCTGAGGTAGGAGAATTGCTTGAACCTGGGAGGCGGAGGCTGCAGTTAGCTGAGACTGTGCCATTGCACTCTACCCTGGGCAACAAAAGCAAAACTCCGCTTCAAAAAAAAAAAATTCTGCTTCAATTTCCTTATTATTTATTAGTCCATTCAGATTTTCTGTTTCTTCTTGATTCAGTCTTGGTAAGTTGTATGTTTGTGGAAATGTTTTTATTTCTTCCATGTTATCCAAATTGTTGGCATACAAATGTTCATTATATGAACAATTGTAATCCTTTGTATTTTAGAGTTAAAAGTTGTAATTTCTCCTATTTCATTTCTGATCTTATTTGTTGGAATAGTCCTTTTTCTAGTTAGTCTAGATACGGATTGGTTGATTTTGTTTATCGCCTTAAAAAGAAGTTCAGTATTAATTCTTTCCATTGGGTTTCTCATATCTATTTTATTTATTTCCACTTTAATCTTTGCTATTTTCTTATTTCTGCTAATTCTTGGCTTTGTTTCTCATCTAGTTCATTGAGGTATAATGATTGATTTAACTACATTCTATAAGTTTTGGTATGTTGTGTTTTCATTTTTGTGTGTCTTAAAATATGTTTTTAAATTTTTTCTGTAACTCATGGGCCATTTATGAATATGTTAAATTTTGCTATTTTATGTATTTTTCAAGATTTCTTCTGTTACGGATTTCTAGCTTTATGCCATTGGGATGCAAAAATTTTCTTTCTATAATTCAATTCTCTAATATTTGTTAAGATCTGTTTTGTGGCCTAACATATGACATATACTGGAGAATGTTCCACCCACATTTCAGAAGAACAGGTACACTTCTGCTGTTGGATAGGATGTTCTGGGTATATCTGTTAGATCCAGTTGCTCCAAAGTGTGATTCAAATCTAATGTTTCTTAATTTATTATCTTTCTAAATGATCTTTCCATGGTTGAAATTGGAGTATTGAGGTCTCCTACTATTATAGTATTGCAGTATATTTTTCTCATGAGATTATTTAATAATTGCTTTATGAATTTAGGTCTTGTGACCTTGAGTGCATATATATTTACATGTATTATGTCTTCATGATGAATTAACTCCTTTATCGTTATGCAGTGAACCCTATCTCTTTTATAGGTTTTGACTTAGTTTATTTCTTTTAATAGTAAGTATAGCTCCCCTGCTCTATTTTAGTTTGCATTTGCATGGAATATCTTTTTTCATCTTTTCAGTTTCAGCCTATATATGTCTTGACTGGTAAAGTGAGTCTCTTGTAGGCAGCACATGATTGAATCTTGTTTTTTATTCTATCCATTGAGATGCTCTATGTCCTTTTATTTGACAATGTAATGCACTTACTATCAAGGTAATTATTTATAGGGAAGGACTTGCTACTGCCACTTTGTAATTTTTTTTCTGATTGTTTTATGAGTTCTTTGTTCCCTTTTTCTCTCTTGCTGAACTATTTTATAGCTTGATGGCTTTCTGTGGTGGTATGCTTTAAAATTTTGGATAAATTGCAAAATAAACTTTTTTATTTTGTGCAGTTATGATAGGTTTTGTTTTGTGGTTATCATGAAACTTACCTAAAATATCATATTCTTATAACAAACTACTCTAACAACTTCTGATAGCAACTTCTCTTTAATTGCATCCAAAAGTCTACATTTTCATTCTCTCTCCCTTACAATTGTACAATTTTATGTCAAAACTTACCCTTTTAGTTCATACTTATATACCTTAGCAATTTATTGTAGCTACAGTTATTTTCAATACCTTTGTCTGCTAACCCTACTAGTAGGGATAAAATTGCTTTACAAACCACCCTTAGAATATTAGAGCATTTGGAACATGACTGTGTATTACTGATAGCATTGACGCTTTTTACTTTTATGTGTTTTTTCTTACTATTTAGCCTTTTATTTCAATGTAAGGCTCTTCCTTTAGTAATTCTGATCAATCAGGGATATTGATTATAAATTTTATTAGTTTTTTTTTGTATAGAAAGGTTTTTATATCTCCCTCTCCCTCATTTCTACAGGACAGCTTTGCTAGGCACAGCATTTTTTTTTCAAGATGGAGTCTTGCTCTGTCACCCAGGTTGGAGTGCAGCGGTGTGATCTCGCCTCCCAGGTTCAAGCTTGCTCACTGCCATCTCTGCCTACCAGGTTCAAGCAATTCTCCTGCCTCAGCCTCCCGAGTAGTTGGGATTACAGGCCCATGCCACCATGCCCAGCTAATTTTTGTATTTTTAGTAGAGATGGGGTTTCATCATGTTGGCCAGGCTGGTCTTGAACTCCTGACCTCCTGATCCACCTGCCTTGGCCTCCCAAACTGCTGTGATTACAGGTATGAGCCAGTTCACCCAACCGGGAACAGTATTGTTGATTGGCATTTTTGTTTGTTTGCTTGCTTGTTTGCTTTAGCATTTTGAATACATCATCCCTCTCTCGTGGACTGTAGGGTTTTCTGCAGAGAAATCCACTGAAAGCCATATTGAAGCTCCCTTGAATGTGATGTATTTCTTGTTTTTTTGCTGTTTTCAGTATTCTTTGTTTTTCATTTTTAATAACTTCATTGTGATGTGTGTTGATAAATGCCTCTTGGATTGAAATGGATTCATGACCTCTGCAGTTTTCATACCTCAATGTTGTCATCATTCTTCATGTTTGGGAAATTTTTAGTCATTATTTCATTAAATATGCTTGCTAGGCCTTTTTCTTTTTCTTCTCCTTCAGAAACTGTTATTATATGAAAGTTGGGTTGTTTGATTGAGTCCCATAATTGCCATAGGCATTTGTTATTCTTTTTTGTTGTTGTTTTTCCCCGATGGAATCATTTCAAATGTTTTTTCTTTAAGCTCACTGATTCTTTTTTTCTGCTAATAAAATCAGCTGCTGAAGCATTGTATTAAATTTTTAGTTTGTTGTATTCTCTATATCTAGAATTTCTATTTGTTTTTTTGTTATCATATCTATTTCTACTTCAGAACTATCATTCTGTTAATGAATTGTTTCCCAAATTTATTTTAGTATGTTATCCATGATTTCTTGTACAGGCATACTTCAGGGATATTGCAGGTGTGATTCCAGGCAACCACAATGTAATAAGAACTTGAATTTTTGGTTTTACACTGCATATAAAAGTTTTTTACACTATACCATAGTCTATAAAGTGTGCAATAGCCTTATGTCTACAATTACATACTTTAAAAACTACTTTATTGCTAAAAATGCAAATGATCATCTGAGCCTTCAGTGAATTTTAATTTTTGCTGATAAAGAGTCTTTCCTCTGTGTTGATGGCTGCTGAATGATTAAGGTGGTGGTTGCTGCAGATTGAGGTGGTTGTGGCGATTTCTTAAAATAAAACAACAGTAAAGTTTGCTGCATCACTTGACTCCTTTGATGAAAGGTTTATCTGTAGTGTGCCATGCTGTTGGATAGCATTTTACCTCACAGTAGAACACCTTTCAAAATGAGAGTCGATCCTATCTAATGCTGCCACCGCTTTATCAACTCAGTTTGTATAATAAGATAGGTGTTTTTTTGTCATTTCAACAGTGTTTACAGTATCTTCACGAGGAATAGATTCCATCTCAGATGGATGGGCTATAAGAAACAACTTTTAGTACATTCAAGTTTGATCATGAAACTGCAGAAATTCAGTCACAGGCTCAGGCTCCAGTTTTACTCTTAGTTCTCTCCCTAGTTCCATCACACTCACAGTTACTTCCTCCACTGAAGTCTTGAAACCCTGCAAGCTATCTATGAGGGCTGAAATCAATTTCTTCCAAACTTCATATTTTGACCTCCTCCAAGGAATCACAAATATCTTTAATTTCATCTAGAATAGTGATTGCTTTCTAAAAAAATCCAGATGATTTTTAATTTGCCTTGTGCAGATACACAGAAGAATCATTGTCTATGGCAGGTATAGGCTTACAAAATGTATTCTTAAATAATAAAATGTCCTTGATCCATGGGCTTCAGAATGAATGCTGTGTTAGCAGGCATGAAAACAACATTAATCTATTTGTACAACTCCATCAGAGCTCTTGGGTTATGAGTGCATTGTCAATGAGCAGTAATATTTTAAAAGATATATATATATATATATATATATATATATATACACACATATATACATACACACACATACACATATACACACACACAAACACACACACACACACACACGTTTTCTGGACAATAGGTCTCAACAGTGTGCTTAAGATATTTGGTAAACCATACTGTAAACGATGTGTTTTCATCCAGGCTTTGTTGTTTCATTTATAGAGTATAGGTAGCATAGGTTTAGAAGAACTTAAAAATGTAGCAGAATGGTAAATGAGTACTGCCTTTAATGTTTTAATGTAACCAGCTGCATTAGCCAGTACATAAAGAGTCAGCCTGTCCTCTGAAGATTAGAAGCCAGGCATTGACTTCTCCTCTATAGCTGTGAAAGTTTTAGGTATCCTCTTCTTCCAGTATAATGCTGTTTTGTCTACATTGAAAATCTGTTATTTAGCATAACTGCCCTCATCAATGATCTTAGCTAGATCTTCTGGATAACTTGCTGCAGCTTCTCTATCAGCACTGGCTGCTTTACCTTGCACTTTTATGTTATGAAGATTCTTTTCTTAAACCTCATGAACCAACCTCTGCTAGCTTTAAACTTGTCTTCTGCAGCCTCCTCACCTGTGTCAGACTTCATAGAATTAAAGAATGTTAGGGCTTAGCTCTGGATTCAGCTTTGGCTTAGCGAAATGTTGTGGCTCATTTGATTTTCTATCCAGACCACTAAAACTGTCTTCACATCAGCAATAATACCATTGTACTTATCATTTGTGCATTCACTGGAGTAGTCTGTTTAATTTCCTTTAAGAACTTTTTTTTTTTTGCATTCACAGCTTAGTTTACTGTTTGATGTAAGTTGCCTAGCTTTCAGCCTATCTGAGCTTTCAACATGCTTTTCTCACCCTATTAATCATTTCTAGCTTTGTATTTAAATACTGGCATCATGGGGGCTAATGTGGCTTACAAAGTACAATTCATCTGGCAGATGGAACCATAGTTTGACACTACCAGTCTTATGTCGGGTTCAACCCAGTAATAAATCCAAGCCTACCCATTCTTCCCGGAAGGAGCTTGATTATGCATTGAATCAAGCTCCCAGAAGGAGCTTGATTATGCATTGAAATTCCACAACCTCCGTGGTTAGTGCCCAAGGAACTGTTTTCTTAAGAACTCTGCTCTGTGAGTCGACAGGATTTTGTATTTTTGAATGTATTTAGACCATAGAAAACAAAGAAGTAAGCATACAATGGGCCCACATTCAGAAGCTATCTCCTCAGGATCAGAGGCTGCATCCAGAGTGTGCATAGGTGTTTGTCACAGATCCTCTACCAAGCTTAATGGAGAGAGAGTGGGAGATAAATGTCCATACTAATCTTCATCATGTAGCTAGAAAGAACTGAAACACTCCTCCAGCCTTCTAACTTTCTAGCTACATCTGGATTGTCTGGCTCCTACCTTAACCAATTTCTGGTTACTGACAAGGCGTGGCACATCCTAAGTTCCAGGGAGCCACCAAAAACAGTCAATACTAGAGCACACAAGGACTTGAGAGGTACCTGAAGATCTCTGGCTGGAAAGTTTGGTGAGATCCTTTTCCTACATGAGGCCAGTCTTATCAAATGCACGGGAACCAACAGAGAGAGTCGAGGAAAAATGAAGAAACAGGGAAATATATTCAAAGCAAGAAAACAAGATAAATCTCCAGCACCTGAGTGAAGTGCAGATATGTAATTTATCTGACAGAGATTTCCAAATAATGGTCATAACAATAATCACTGAGGTCAAGATAGCTTTGCAAGAACAAGTTGAGAACTTCAAGAAAAGGAAAAACGTTATACAATAATGTCAAACAAATCATAGATCTAAAGTGTACTGTAACTGAACTGAAAAAATTTAATAGAGGTGTCCATTAATAGAATCTATCAGTGAACTTTGAGACTGGTCACTGGAAATTATCTAACCTGAGGATCAGAAAAAAAGATAATGCAAACGGAGTGAAGACAACTTTAGAGAGTTATGGGACACCATCAAGCAGGACCACTCACACATTATTGGCATGCCTGAAGGAGAAGTGAGGAAGAAAGGAACGGAAAAGTGTTTAAAGGAATAATGACAGAGAATTTATCAAGCATGGGGAAGAAAACAGAAAGCCTGATCCAGAAAGCCCAAAGGAAACCAAATAAGGTGAATCCAGGGACTCACAACAAGATACACTATAATCAAATTGTCCAAAGTTAAAGACAAAAAGAGAGTGATATTGTTTGCAAATTTGTACCCTCCAAATATTGTGTCAAGATTTGATCCCCAATGTTGGAGGTGGGACCTAGTGGGAGGTGTTTGGGTCATGGTGGTTGATCTCTCCTGGATAGCTTCTTGCCCTTTTTTCACTAATGAGTGAGTTCTCACTGCATTACACGAAAGGTGGTTGTTTAAAACAGTGTGGCACCTCTCCCGTCTCTTCTACCTCTCTAGCCATGTGTGTCATACCCGTTGTCTCTTCACCTTTAGCCACAAGTAAAAGCCTTCTGGGTCCCTGACCAGAAGCTGTGCAGATGCCACTGCCATTCTTCTTCTACAGCCTGCAAAACTGTGAGCCAAACAAACCTCTGTTCCTTATAAATTACCTAGTCTCAGCTAATTTTTTATAGCAACACAAAAATTTGTGTTTTTCCGTGTTGCTCTTTTCTGTGTTATTCTGTGTTGCTAACACAGAAATTAGTACCAAGGAGTGGGGTTTTGCTATAAAAATACCTGATAATGCAGAATTTGCTTTGGAACTGGGTAATAGGCAAAGAAGTCAGGAAGATGAGGAAACTTGTGGAACTTAATTAGACCTTGGTTAAGTGGTTGACCAAAATGATAATAGGAATATGAACAGTGAAGGCCATGCTGTTGAGGTACATAGAATACAACTTTCAAGAAGTGACTGCACCATTTTGCATTCCCACAAGCAATGAATGAAGTTTCCTCTTGCTCCACATCCTTGCCAGCGTTTGATGTTGTCAGTGGTTCTAGATTTTGGTTATTCTAATACGTGTGCAGTGGCATCTCATGGTTGCATTTCTCTGAGGAAATATTATGTGTAGCCTCATTACATATGCTTATTTTCCATTTGTATAATTTACTTGGTGAGGTACTTGTTAAGGTCTTTAGCTCATGTCTTTTACTGCTCAGCTTTAAGAATACTAATATGTTTTGAATAATAGTTCTTAATCAGATACGTTTTGGCAAATTTTTTTCCATCTGTGGTTTCTCTTTTCTTTCAGTGTCTTTAATGGTGTAAAAATGTTACATTTTCATCAAGTCCAGCTTGTCAATTCTTTCTTCTATTGACTTCAACTTTGGTGTTTTTTCTAAAGGTCATCATTAAACCCAAGATAATCTGTATTTCCTTCTATATTATCTTCTATAAATTTTATAGTTTTTTGTATATTTATGTTGCTGATCCATTTTGAGTTAATTTTGGTGGGGGTGTAAGGTCTGCAATTTATTTTTTTTTTGCATGTGGATATCCAGGTATTCCAGCAGCCCTTCCTGAAAAAACTGTTTCATCATCATAATGCCTTTACTTTTTTGTCAAAAATTAATCGAATGTATTAATGTGTTTCTATTTGTGAACTCTCTATCTCATTTTATCCGTTTGTTCTTTCACTAATACCACACTGTCTCCATTACTGTAGCTTTAGGGTAAGTCTTGAAATTGAGTAGTGTCTGTCCTCCAAGTTTGTTCTTCTCCTTCAATATGGTGTTAGCTATTCAAGGTCTTTTGCCTCTCCATATAAACATTTTCATTTAGAGTAGAATTGCATTGAATCTATACATTGGAAAGAACTGACATCTTAATAGCATTGAATCTACTTATGAATACGGTACATATCTCTTTTTGTTTCATTCTTCGCTTTCTTTCATCAGATATGGACATTTCTGGAATTAAGAGCATTGAATCTACTTATGAATACGGTACATATCTCTTTTTGTTTCATTCTTCGCTTTCTTTCATCAGATATGGACATTTCTGGAATTAAGAGCCCCCTCTACATTGAGCACAAGACAGTGACGAATCCACATTCTTCAGCCAGAAAGTCACCTCTGAGAGCCAAATGTCTGACTATAGAAAGGAGAGTCAAAGAATGATAACGACATCTCAGGAAAATTGTGAAAATAATCAGCAGCCGGATGTGGATAACCCTTTCAAATTTCTCCAGGGCACCTGTCATTTCAGCCAATACTTGCCAGCTTGTGCCAAGGATGCTGGAGCTCCCTGGGATGAGTTTCCCAGGGGAGGAGCTGGCCGCCATCTTTGCTGTTTGGGTGACACAGCCATTCCAGCCTGTGGGCTTTGGACAGTGCAAACTGGTGGGGTAGAAGGGATCCCTAGAATAGCACAGCTGCTCTCCCAACATGTGCCCAGATCCTTTTTTTTTTTTTTTTTTTTTTTTTTTTTTTTTTTTTTTGAGAAGGAGTCTTGCTCTGTCACCCAGGCTGGAGTGCAGTGGCATGATCTCGGCTTACAGCACCCATCACAGCCCTGGTTCAAGCAGTTCTTCTGCCTCAGCCTCCCAAGTAGCTAGGACTACAGGTGCCCATCACCACGCACAGCGAATTTTTTTATTTTTAGTAGAGATGGGGTTTCACCATGTTGGCCAGGCTGGTCTGGAACTCCTGACCTCAAGTGATCCACCCTGCTGGGCCTCCCGAAGTATGGGGATTACAGGCATGAGCCACCGTGGCCGGCCCCAGACAGAATCTTTAAGGGGATTCCCAATCTGTTCCTCCCAACCAGGGCCTCCAGCTACCCCACTGGTGTCTGGGGCTGAGAGGAATTTGAATTCTCCCTGGGAGGGAGTTCTGGAGTTCCTGCCCAGTGGGAGTCCTTCCAACTGGGGCCTGGGGGAGAGGATGGGGCCAGCTTTGGAGAGTCCCAAATGACTGGGGGTGGAAGGGATCCCCCAGCACATCACAACTGCTCTACCAAATAGTGGCCAGGCAGATTCTTTACACAGATCCCTGATTCTTTCCTCCTCTCTGGGTGGGACCTCCCACCTGGGGCCTCCACCACCCCACCGGTGTTCTCGAGCTGACAGAGATTTACATTCTCCCCGGGAAGGAGTTGTCGAGGTCCTGCCCAGTAAGGAGGAATGGATCAGGAACCTGGTAAAAGAATCTGCCTTCTAAGATTTTGTAGAGTAGCTGTGCTGTGCTGATGATATATCCCTTCTGCCCCGGTAGGTATGGATTCTCCAGAGCCCGCGGGCTGTAACGACTAAGTTGCACAAACAGCAAAGATGGCTCCTTGCTCTTGCGCGTGGGAACTCATTCCAGGAATTCAAATCTCTGTCAGCCTGAGAACACCGGTGTGGGTGGCTGGAGGCCCCAGCTGAAAGGACCCTCATTGGGCTGGACCTCCAGGCCTCCATGCCAGGGAGAACTCAAATCTCTGTCAGCCCCAGAACACTGGTGGGGGTGGCTGGAGGCCCCAGTTGGGAGGTCCCCCACTGGGCCAGACCCCGAGACCTCCATGCCAGAGAGAATTCAAATCTCTGTCAGCCCCAGAACACTGGTGGGGGTGGCTGGAGGCCCCGGTTGGGAGGTCCCTCACTGGAAGGGACCCCAAGAACCGCATCCCAAAGATAATTCAAATATCTGTCAGCCCCAGAACACTGGCGAGGGTGGCTGGAAGCCACGGTAGGGAGGTCCCTCACTAAGCAGGACCTCAAGACCTCCATACCAGGGGGAATTCAAACCTCTGTCAGCCACAGAACACTGGCAGGGGTGGCTGGAGGCCCTAGTTGGGAGGTCCCTCACTGCGCCAGACCCCAAGACCTCCATGCCAGAGAGAATTCAAATCTCTGTCAGCCCCAGAACACTGGCGGGAGTGTCTCAAGGCCCCTATTGGGAGGTCCCTCGCTGAATGGAACCTCAAGACCTCCATCCCAAAGAGAATTCAAATCTCTGTCAGCCTGAGAACACCAGCGGGGGTGGCTGGAGGCCCCTGTTGGGAGGTCCCTCACTGGGCGGGACCTCGAGACCTCCATGCTGGGGAGAATTCAAATCTCTGTCAGCCCCAGAACGCTGGCGGGGGTGGCTGGAGGCCCCGGTTGGGAGGTGCCTCACTGGGCAGGACCTCCAGAACTCCATGCCAGGGAGAATTCAAATCTCTGTCAGCCCCAGAACACTGGTGGGGGTGGCTGGAGGCCCCGGTTGGGAGGTGCCTCACTGGGCAGGACCTCCAGACCTCCATGCCAGGGAGAATTCAAATCTCTGCCAGCCCGAGAACACTGGTGGGGGTGGCTGGAGGCCCTGGTTGGGAGGTCCCGCCCAGTGAGGAGGAATGGATCACAGACCTTCTTAAAGACCCAGTATGGCCACATTTTGGTAGAGCACCTCGCTGGTGTTCCAGGGCTGACAGAGATCTGAATTCTCCCTGGCACGTAGTTCTCAAGGTCCTGCCCAATGAGGGTCCTTTTACCTGGGGTCCCCAGCCACCCCCTCCGGTGTTCTCAGGCTGACAGAGATTTGAGTTCTCCCTGGCATGGAGGTCTCAGGATCTTGCCCAGTGAGGGACCTCCCAACTGGGGCCTCCAGCCACCCCCTCCGGTGTTCTGGGGCTGACAGAGATTTGAATTCTCTCTGGCATGGAGGTCTTGGGGTGTGGCCCAGTGAGGGGCCTCCCAACTGGGGCCTCCAGCCACCCCCACCAGTGTTCTGGGGCTGACAGAGATTTGAATTCTCCCTGGAATGGAGGTCTCCAGGTCCCACCCAGTGAGGGACCTCCCAACTGGGGCCTGCAACCACCCCTGTCAGTGTTCTGGGACTGACAGAGATTCGAATTCTCCCTGGCATGGAGGTCTTTAAGTCCTGCCAAGTGAGTGACCTCCCAATCGGGCCTCCAGCCACCCCCGCCGGTGTTCTTGGGCTGACAGAGATTTGAATTCTCCCTGGTATGGATGTCTCAGGGTCTGGCCCAGTGAAGGACCTCGGCATCCAGCCACCCCTGCCAGTGTTTTGGGGCTGACAGAGATTTGAATTCTCCCTGGCATGGAGGTCTTGAGGTCCTGCCCAGTGAGGGACCTCTCAACCGTGGCCTCCAGCCACCCCCACCGGTGTTCTTGGGCTGACAGATATCTGAATTCTCCCTGGCACCTAGTTCTCAAAGTCCCGCCCAATGAGGGTCCTTTTAGCTGGGGTCTCCAGCCAATCCCACCGGTGTTCTCAGGCTGACAGTGATTTGAGTTCTCCCTGGCATGGAGGTCTTTAGGTCCTGCCCAGTGAGGGATCTCCCAACTGGGGCCTCCAGCCACCCCCGCCAGTGTTCTGGGGCTGACAGAGATTTGAATTCTCCCAGGTATGCAGTTCTTGGTTCTTGAAGTCCCGCCCAGTAAGGGTTCTCCTAACTGGGGCCTCCGGCCACCCTCACCTGTGTTCTCATGCTGACAGAGATTTGAACTCTTCCTGACATGGAGGTCTCCACTTCCTGTCCGCTGTGGGTCTTTTCAATTCAGGCCTCCAGCCACCCACCCCTGGTGTTCTCAGGCTGACAGAGATTCGAATTCTCCCTGGCACTTAGTTCTTGAGGTCCTACCCAATGAGGGTCCTTTTAGCTGGGGTCTCCAGCCAACCCCACTGGTGTTCTGGGGCTGACAGAGGTTGGAGTTCTCCCTGGCATGGCGGCCTTGGGGTCCCGCCCAGTGAGGGACCTCCCAACTGGGGCCTGCAGCCACCCCTGCCAGTGTTCTGGGGCTGACAGAGATTTGAATTCTCCCTGGAATGGAGGTCTCAGGGTCTGGCCCAGTGAGGGACCTCCCAACTGGGGCCTCCAGCTAACCCCACCAGTGTTCTGGGGCTGACAGAGATTTGAATTCTCCCTGGCATGGAGGTCTTTAGGTCCTGCTTAGTGAGGGACCTCCCTACCGTGGCTTCCAGCCACCCTCGCCAGTGTTCTGGGGCTGACAGAGGTTTGAATTCTCCCTGGAATGGAGGTCTCAGGGTCTGGCCCAGTGAGGGACCTCCCAACTGGGGCCTCCAGCTAACCCCGCCAGTGTTCTGGGGCTGACAGAGATTTGAATTCTCCCTGGCATGGAGGTCTTCAGGTCCTGCCAAGTGAGTGACCTCCCAATTGGGTCTCCAGCCACCCCCACCGGTGTTCTTGGGATGACAGAGATTTGAATTCTCCCTGGTATGGAGGTCTCAGCGTCTGGCCCAGTGAAGGACTTCGGCCTCCAGCCACCCCTGCCAGTGTTTTGGGGCTGACAGAAATTTGAATTCTCCCTGGCATGGAGGTCTTGAGGTCCTGCCCAGTGAGGGACCTCTCAACCGTGGCCTCCAGCCACCCCCACCGGTGTTCTCGGGCTGACAGAGATCTGAATTCTCCCTGGCACGTAGTTCTCAAGGTCCCGCCCAATGAGTGTCCTTTTAGCTGGGGTCTCCAGCCAATCCCACTGGTGTTCTCAGGCTGACAGTGATTTGAGTTCTCCCTGGCATGGAGGTCTCGGGGTCTTGCCCAGTGAGGAACCCCCCCAACCGGGGCCTGCAGCCACCCTCGCTGGTGTTCTGGGGCTGACAGAGATTTCAATTCTCCCAGGCATGGAGTTTTTGAGGTCCCACCCAGTTAGGGTTCTCCTAACTGAGACCTCTGGCCACCCACACCTGTGTTCTCATGCTGAAAGAGATTTGAATTCTTCCTGGCATGGAGGTCTCCGGTTCCTGCCCAGTGAGGGTCCTTCCAACTCAGGCCTCCAGCCAACTCCCCCCACCCCCGCCAATATTCTGGGGCTGACAGAGATTTCAATTCTCCCTGGCATCGAGGTATCGGGGTCCTGCCCAGTGAGGGACCTCCCAACGGGGGCCTGCAGCCACCCCCGCCAGTGTTCTGGGGCTGACAGAGATTTGAATTCTCCCTAGTGTGGAGGTCTTGAGGTCCTGCCCAGTGAGGGACCTCCCAAGCGGGGCCTCCAGCCAACCCCACTGGTGTTCTCATGCTGAGAGAGATTTGAATTCTCCCTGGCATGTAATTCACAAGGTCCCACCCAATGAGGGTCCTTTTAGCTGCGGTGTCCAGCCACCCCCACTGGTGTTCCCAGGCTGACAGAGATTTGAGTTCTCCCTGGCATGGAGGTCTTGGGGTATCGCCCAGTGAGGGACCTCCCAACCGGGGCCTCCGGCCACCCCCGCCTTTATTCTGGGACTGACAGAGATTTGAATTCTCCCTGGCATGGAGGTCTCGGGGTCTGGCCCAGTGAGCGACCTCCCAACTGGGGTCTCTGGCCACCCCTGCCAGTGTTCTGGGGCTGACAGAGATTTGAATTCTCCCTGGCATGGAGGTCTCGGGGTCCCGCCCAGTGAGGACCTCCCAACTAGGGCCTGCAACCACCCCGGTAGTGTTCTGGGGCTGACAGAGATGTGAATTCTCTCTGGCACGGAGGTCTCGGTGTCTGACCCAGTGAGGGACCTCCCATATGGGGCCTCCAGCCACCCCCGCCAGTGTCCTGGGGCTGACAGAGATTTGAATTTTCCCTAGCATGGAGTTCTTGAGGTCCCACCCAGTGAGGGTTCTCCTAACTGGGCCCTCCGGCCACCCCTACCTGTGTTCTCATGCTGACAGAGATTCGAGTTCTCCCTGGCATGGAGGTCTCCAGTTCCTGCCCAGTGAAGTTCCTTTCAACTCGGGCCCCCAGCCACCACCCCACCCCCTCCTCCAGTGTCCTCAGGCTGCCAGAGATTTCAATTATCCCTGGCATGGCGGTCTCAAAGTCCTGCCTGGTGAGGGATCACCGCACTGGGACCTCCAGTCACTCCTGCTGGTGTTCTCGGGCCCAAAGATATTTGAATTCTTGGGATGAAATGGCCAAAGATGAGCTGCCATCTTTGCTGTTTGTGCAACTTAGCCACTCCAGCCTGAGGGTTTTGTGGAATCCATACCTACCGGGGCAGAAGGGATCTCCCAGCACAACACAGCTACTCTACAAAATCTTGGTCAGGCAGATTCTTTTAGCAGGTTCCTGACCCATTTCTTCTTAATTGGCAGGACCTTGACAACTCTATCCAAGGGAGAATGTAAATCTCTGTCAGCTCTAGAACTAAGGGGTGGAAGCCCCACTTGGGAGGTCTCACCCAGTGAGGAACGGATCGGGGATCTACTTAAAGAATCTTGCCATGATTTGATAGAGCAGTTGTGCTGTTCTGGGGATCCCCTCCACCCTAGTCACTTTGGACTCTCCAAAGCCCACAGACTGGAATAACTGAGTCACCCAAACAGCAAAGATGGCGGCCCCCTTCTCCCCCAGGGAACTCATCCCAGGGAGAATTCAAATCTCCGTCAGCCTGAGAGCACCTGCAGGAGTAGCTGCAGGCCCCAGTTGGGAGGTCCCGCCCAGCGAGGAGGAATGGATTGGGGATCCACTTAAAGAGGCAGTCTGGCCACATTTTGGTAGAGCAGCTGTGCTGCGTGGGGGATCCCTTCTGCCCTCAGTTGGTTTGGGTTCTCAAAAGCCCAACAGGCTGGAATGGCTAAGTTACCCAAACAACAAAGATGGTGGCCTGCCCTGTCCCCTAGGAAGTCAGTCTCAGGTAGGTAAAACACTGTTGCTGGTGGCTGGCTGGAGTTGTTTCCTTGATTATGTGAGTAATGCGAGTACCTGGTTGTTTCAGTTGAAGGTGCTGTATTGACTTGCCCTTTTCATTCCTCTCCATGAGAGCCGTGCACCCTAGCTTCTTCTAGTCAGTCATCTTGGCCACACACCCCCATAATCGTATTTTTTAACTAAATCATTCTTTAAAACTCTAACAAAATATTTAAACATTTAAAAAGTGTGAGCTTTAGAAATGCCTAATTACATCTTAGGTTTGAGACACGTAGCAGTTATGTACATTGTCAATTCCAGATTTTGCATCTTACAAGGAAAGGACTTAGATCTTATTCAGTCTTTGTGTGTCTAAACTATCTTCGCCTGTAAAATGAGTACAATGAAGTACTTTATAGAGTTGTAAATGTTATATGTAAAAATATAGCAGTGAGGGGGCAGTGGGCTGGCCAAGGTGGCCGAGTTGAAGCAGCTAGTGTGTTTGGCTCTCACAGAGAGGAACACAAGGGGAGAGTCAATACTGCACCTTCAACTGAAACATCCAGGTACTCACATTGGGACTAACCAAGGAAACAACTTGACCCAGGGAGAATGAAGAAAAGAAAGGCAAAACGACAGCCCACCTGGGAGTACCACAGAGCCAGGGGGAGCTCTCTCACCCAGGGAAGCAGTGAGTGAATGTGTGACCCTGGAAACCCATGCTTTTTCCATGGATCTTTGCAATCCTTGGGTCGGGAGTTCTCATGAACCCACTTTACCAGGGCCTTCAGTCTGACAGAGCTACGTGGAATCTTGGCACAGCAGCCACTCAGGCACACATGGAGACCTGGGAGCCTTAGGTACCTGGGCTTTCCTGCAAAAGTAGCTGCAACTGTGGCAAAGTGGGAGGTGAGACCCTCATACATATCCCTAGGGAAGAGGCTGAATTCAGGGAGCTGAGCAGCAACAGCCTGCAGGCCCCACTTCCACAGCACCTCACAGGATAAGAGCCACTGGCTTGGAATTCCAGCCAGCCACCAGCAACACTGTTGAGCCTCCCTGAGACAGAGCTCCTGAGAGAAGGGGTAGGCCACCATCTTTGCTGTTTGGGCAACTTAGCTGCTCCAGCCTTCGGGATTTGGAGAGTCTCAGCGGACCAGGGACAGAGGGATCCATTAGCACAGCACAGTGCTACTCTACCAAAATATGGCCGGACTACTGCTTTAAGAAGGTCCCCAATCCCATTCCTCCTCACTGGGCAGGACCTCCCAACCAGGGCCTCTAGCTACCCACTCTGGTATTCTCAGGCTGACAGAGATTTGAATTCTCCCTGAGATGGAGTGCCCTGAGGGAGGCGTGGGCCGCCATATTTGATGTTTTGGCAACTTAGCCATTCCAGCCTTTGGGCTTTAAGGAGTCCCAGCTGACTTAGGGCGGATATGGCCCCCCAGCACAGCACAGCTGCTGTACAAAAGCATAGCCAGACTGCTTCTTTAAGTAGGTCCCGGATTCATTCCTCCTCACTGTTTGGGACTTCCCAACTGGGGCCTCCAACCACCCCCACTGGTGTTCTCCTGCTGACAGTGATTTCAATTTTTTCTGGGCTGGAGCTCCCTGATGGAGGGGCAGGCCACCATCTTTGCTGTTTTTGCAACTTAGCCACTTCAACCTTCAGTCTTTGGAGTGTCCAAGGAGACCAGGGGGTGATGTGGACCCTCAGCATACCACAGCTGCTCTATAAAAATGAGGCCAGACTGCGTTTTTAAGCACTTTCCCAATGCCATTCCTCCTCACTGGGCAAAACCTCCAAACTGGGGTCTCCAGCCACCTCCTACAGGTGTGTTTGGGCCAGCAACAAGTTCATTCATACCTCCCTAGGGCAAAGCTTCCAAAGGGAGCGGTAGGCTGCCATCTTTGCTGTTTCACAGGCTTCACTGATGATAACTCCAGGTACTGGAAAATCTGAGGCTACTAGAGACTGGAGCGGGCCCTGGGCATACTGCAGCAGCCCTATGGAAAAGTGGCCAGACTGTTACCTGGGTTCCCATTCCTATATCTTCTCACTAGGCAAGTCTTGCAGGCCTGGACCTCTACCTAACCCCCCCTACCAGAACTGTTGAGCCAGTAGCAACTCAGCCACTCCCTGGAGAGAGCCTCCAGGGGCAACTGAAAGCCTCTCTGCCACTGCTTCTGCAGTGGAACTGTCCTTGCTACCCTCAGACTGATGAAGGAGCTAACACCCTTATCTACACCTTCAACAAGCTTTAATTGACCAAAGCCCATCTCTCATGGGTTCTACACACTCCCCACTGCTCATGACAGGGAACCCCTGGATTGGCCCCCACAGCACGAATTCTCCATCCTGATTGCTGATTGCAGTAAACAGTTGCTGTATTCTCCAGGGGTGGTGGAACTCTGAGGAGACAAACAAAAGACCCTTGGCTACAACCACTACTAATGTCCCTTCCTCTTCTGCCTCAAAGTTAGGAAAGAAATATAAACACTGAGATTGCCCCAGAGCTGCAGTGGGCAGCCTAGGAGTGCCAAGCCATGACCTACAGCCAGCACTCAAGGGGGAGAGAAGCACATTTTCAGATCATTGAGAGGGAACATGGCTGCAACTGTAAGGAAACATAGGGGAGCCACATGACCAAGCAAGAGTCTACCAACTGACCAGTAAGCCCAAGTGCCACCTACTGGATCACATCCCAAAGCTTCAGCATCAAAAATACCTTACTAATATACTCCCCTCTGAAACCAGAAATGAGAAGTCAGCTTCAAATAAAGACCCTGCACAAAGCCTCAGCCTGGTGAAAACATCCGAAAATAAGTCTACGGACTGTACTCAATCTACACTGCAATTAAAGGAAAACCCATAGGTGGAAATGAGAAGAAACCAATGCAAGAACTCCAGTAACTCAAATGGCCTCTGTGTCATATGTCCTTCTAACAACCACACCAGTTCTCCAACAAGAGTTCTTAACCTGGATGAACTGTCTGGAATTACATAAATATAATTCAGAATATGGATAGGAAAAAAAATCATCAAGACTCAGGAGAATGGCAAAACCCAATCCGAGGAAAATAAGAATAACAGTAAAGTGTTACAGGAGCTGAAGGATAAAGTAGCTGGTATAATAAAAAAGAACCTAACCGATCTGAAAGCGCCGAAGAACACAATACAAGAATTCCACAATGCAATCACAAGTATTAACAGCAGAAAAAAAAATCTGAGGAACGAATCTCAGAACTTGAAGATTGGTTCTCTAAAATAAGATGGACAAAAATAAAAAAGAATGAACAAAACCTTCAAGGAGGATGGGATTATATAAAGAGGCCAATTCTACAAATCACTGGCATCTCTGAAAGGGAGGTGGAGAAATCAAACAACTTGGAAAACGTAGTTCAGGATATCATCTTTGAAAGCTTCCCTAACCTTGCTAGAAAGGCCAACAGTCAAATTCAGGAGATACAAAGAACTCCTACAAGATTCTACACAAGACCATCCTCAAGACACATAAACATCAGGTTTTCCAAGGTCGAAATGAGGGAAAATATGTTAAAGGCAGCCAGAGAGAAAGGGCAGGCCATCTACAAAGGGAACCCCATTAGGCTAACAGCAGATCTCTCAGCTGAAATCCTACAAGCCAGAAGGGATTGGGGGACTATATTTAACATTATTAAAGAAAATCTTCAACCAAGAATTTCATATACAGCTAAACTAAGCTTTCTAAATGAAGGAGAAATGAGATCATTTACAGACAAGCAAATTCTGAGGTAATTCATTACCACCACATCTGCCTTACAAGAGATTTTAGAAAGGAGGACTAAATATAGAAAGGAAAGACCACTACACGCTAATGCAAAAACATACTTAAACACACAGACCGGTGACACTATAAAGCAACCACACAAAAAAGCCAACATAATAACCAGCCAACAGCACAATGACAAGATCAAATCTACACAAATCGATACTAGCCTTGAATGTAAATGGGCAAATGCCCCACTTAAAAGGCACAGAGTGGCAAGCTAGATTTAAAAAAAAAAAAAGCGAGACCCAATGGTATGTCGTCTTCAAGAGACCCATCTCACACATAATGACACTCATCGTCTCAAACTAAAAGGATGGAGAAAAATCTACCAGACAAATAGAAAACAGAAAAAAAGCAGAGGTTGCAATCCTAATTTCAGACAAAACAGATTTCAAATGAACAATAATTTTTCAAAAGGACAAGGGGGCAGGGGCAAGATAGCCGACTAGAAGCAGCTGCAGTTTGAGGCTCCCACTGAGAAGAACTAAAAGAGTGTGCAAATCCTGCAGCAGCAACTGACATATCCAGGTTCTATGATCAGGACTGACTAGGTGGTTGCCGTGACCCATAGAGAACAAGGAAAGATGGGCTGGTGGATTGGCCCACCTGGGAGCCACATGGGGCAAGGGGAGCCCTCACCCTCAGCCAGCCAAGGGAGGCAGTGAGTGAGCATGCTACCCAGCCTGGGAAACTGCTTTTTCCATGGATCTTTGCAATCCACAGATCAGAAGATCCCACTCATGAGACCACACCACGAGGGCCTTGGGTGCCAACCACAGAGCCATGCAGATTCTCAACAGCCACTCAGCTGGAGTCTGCCTAAAACTACCGAGTTCCCAAGTTGGGGAGGGGTGGTCATCATCACTGTGGCTGCCTGCTGCCTAAACCCTCTGAGTTCCCTGGGGGAGGGGGAGCAATCATCACTGTGGTTGCTGGCTGCCTAAGACAACTGAGCTTCCCAAGAGAGGGGCAGTCATCATCACTGCAGCTGCCTGCTGCCTGAGGAAACTGAGCTCCCTAAGAAGGGACAGCAGCCATCACTGTGGCTGCTAGCTGCCTAAGACACTGAACTCCTGGGGAGGAAGGGCGGCAGCCATTTCTACAGATCCAGGCTGCTGTTTTTCCTTTGCTGATGCCAGGAAGACTGGACGGCTTGGTCCCAAGAGGTATTCCCCACAGCGCAGCATACTGGCTGTGGCAGATCATGGCCAGACTGCCTCTTTAGGCTGACCCTGACCCATCCCTCCTCACTGGGTGGGGCCTCCCTGCAGGAACTCCAGCAACTCAAGCCAGGGAATTAGGGAGAGAACTCTGATCTCTCTAGGTCTGAGTCCCTAGTGGGAGGGGTGGCTGGCTGTTGTCTCCACAAACCGGAAGACTTGTTCTTTCCCCCTGCTCACTCTGAGGATTCCAGGCAGCCCAGATGAGTGGGATTTTCCCCGGCACAGCATACCCCCTTCCCAAAGGGACAATCAAAGTGCTTCATTAAGCAAGTCCTGGATCCTGTGCCCCTCAACTGGGTGAAACACCCCAGTGGGTCACCAGACACCTTATACAGGAGCATTTCTACTGGCATCAGGTGGGTGCCCCTCAAGGACAGAGATCCCAGAGGAAGGAGTGGGGTCCCATCTTTGCTGTTCTCCAGCACCCTCTGGTGACATCTTCAGGTGTGGGAGGGACCCAGATAAATAGGGCTTGAAGTGAATCCCCAGCAAACCACAGCAGCCCTACAGAAGAGGTACCTGACTGTCGAAAGAAAAACAGAAAGCAACAACAACATCAACCAAAAAGTCCCCACGAAAACCTCATCTAAAGGTCAGCAGCCTCAAAGATCAAAATGAGACAAACTCATGAAGATGAGAAAGGAATGAAAAACCCCTAACAACTCAAAAGGCCAGAGTGACTTGTTTACTCCAAATGATCACAACACCTCTACAGCAAGGGCACAGTCCTGGGTGGAGGTTGAGATGGATGAATTGACAGAAGTAGGCTTCAGAAGGTGGGTAGTAGCAAACTTCACTGAGCTAAAGGAGTACGCTCTAACCCAACATATTGGAACGAATCCCAGAACTTAAAGATTGGTTCTCTAAAATAAGACAGACAAAAATAAAAAAGAATAAAACGGAAGGAAGAAAACCTCCAATAAGTATGGGGTTATATATAGAGGCCAATTCTACAAATCACTGGCATCCCTGAAAGGGAGGTGGAGAAATCAATGCATTGGGTTAGAACATGCTCATTTAGCTCTGTGAAATTTGTTATTACCCACCTTCTGAACCCTACTTCTGTCAGCAAAGAAGCTAAGAACCATGTTAAAAGATTACAGAAGATGCTAACTAGAATAACCAGTTTAGAGAGGAACATAAATGACCAGAGCCAGCTGTAAAGCACATAAGGGGAACTTTGTGATGCAAACACAAGTATCAACAGCTGAATTGATCAAGCAGAAAAAAGAATATCAGAGCTTGAAGACTGTCTTGCCAAAATAAGGCAGGCAGAGAAGATTAGAGAAAAAAGAATGAAAAGGAATGAACAAAACCTCAAAGAACTGTGGAACTATGTAAAAGACCAAACCTATGACTGATTGGACTACCTGAAAGAGACAAGGAGAATGGAGCCACGTTGGGAAAACACACTTCAAGATATCATCCAGAAGAACTTCCCCAACCTAGCAAGACAGGCCAACATTCAAATTCAGGAAATCCAGAGAACCCCAGTAAGATACTCCACAAGAAGATCAACCCTCAAGACACATAGTCATCAGATTCTCCAAGATCAAAATGAAGGAAAAAATGTTAAAGGCAGACAGAGACAAAGGGCAGGTCACCTACAACGGGAAGCCCATCTGACTAAGAGTGGGCCTCTCAGCAGAAACCCCACAAGCCAGGAGACAGTTGGGTCCAATGGTCAACATTCTTAGAGAAAAGAATTTCTAACCTAGAATTTCATATCTGGCCAAACTAACCTTCATAAGTGAAGGAGAAATCCTTTTCAGACAAGCAAATGCTGAGGGAATTTATCACCACCAGGCCTGCCTTGCAAGACCTCCTGAAGGAAGTGCTAAAGATGGAAAGGAAAAACTGGTACCAGCCACTGCAAAAATGTACTGAAGTACAAAGACCAATGACACTATGAAGAAACTGCATCAACTAGTGAGCAAAATAACCAGCAAGCATCATGGTGACAGGATCAAATTCACACATAACCATATTAACCTTAAGTGTCAATGGGCTAAATGTACCAATTAAAAGACACAGACCAGCAAATTGGATATAAAGAGTCAAGATTCAGGTGTGCTGTATTCAGGGTTCCTATCTCATGTGCAAAGACACACATAGGCTCAAAGCGATGGAGGAAAATTTACCAAGCAAATGGAAAGCAGAAAAAAGCAGGGGTTGCAATCTTAGTTTCTGACAAAACAGACTTTGAATCAACAAAGATAAAAAAAGACAAAGAAGAACATCACAATGATAAAGGAATCAATTCAACAAGAAGAGCTAACTATCCTAAATATGTATGCACCCAATACAGGAGAACCCAGATTCACAAAACAAGTTCTTAGAGACCTACAAAGAGACTCAGGCTACCACACAACAATAGTGGGAGACATTAACACCCCACTGTCAATATTGGATCATCTAGGCAGAAAATTGACAAGAAAGGACTTGAACACAGCTCTGGATCAAGTGAATCTCATAGATATCTACAGAACTCTCCAACACGAAACAACAGACTATATATTATTCTTAGTGGCATATGACACTCTAAAATTGATCACAAAATTAGAATTAAAACACTCCTCAGCAAATGCAAAATAACTGAAATCATAACAATCTCTCAGACCACAGTGCAATCAAATTAGAACTCAAGATTAAGAAACTCACTCAAAACCACACAACTACATGGATATTGAACAACGTGCTCCTGAGTGACTTCTGGGTAAATAATAAAATTAAGGCAGAAATCAAGAAGCTCTTTGAAACCAATGAGAACAAAGAGACAATGTACCAGAATCTCTGGGAGGCAACTAAAGCAGTGTTAAGAGGTAAATTTATAGCACTAAATGCCCACATCATAAAGCTAGACATATCTCAAATTGACACCCTAACATCACAACTAAAAGAACTAGAGAAGCAAGAGCAAACAAATCCAAAAGTTAGCAGAAGAGAAAAAAAAAAATGACTAAGATCAAAGTGGAACTGAAGGAGACAGAGACATGAAAAACCCTTCAAAAAAAAAAAGAAAGAAATAAAACATGTTCAAATAGCAAGAGATAAAATCAAATTGTCTGTGTTTGCAGAAAATGTGATTCTATATCTAGAAAACCACATCGTCACAGCCCAAAAACTCCTTAAGCTGATAAGCAAGTTCAGCAAAGTCTGAAGATACAAAATCAATGTGCAAAAATCACAAGCATTCTTATACACCAGCAATAGACAATATTCTTCAATTCCTATACACCAACAATAGGCAAGAGAGCCAAATCATGAATGAACTCCCATTCACAATTGTTACAAAGAGAATAAAATACCTAGGAATACAGCTAACGATGGATGTGAAGAACCTCTTCAAGGAGAACTACAAGCCACTGCTCAAGGAAATAAGAGAGGACACAAACAAATGGAAAAATATTCCATGCTCATGGGTGGGAAGAATCAATCTCATGAAAATGGCCATACTGCCCAAGGTAATTTATAGATTCAGTGCTATTCACATCAAACTACCATTGACATTCTTCACATAATTAAAAAAAAACTACTTTAAGTTTCATATGCAACCAAAAAAGAGACTGAATAGTCGAGACAATCCTAAGCCAAAAGAACAAAGCTGGAGGCATCATGCTATATGACTTCAAACTATACTACAAGGCCACACTAATCAAAACAGCATGGTACTGTTACCAAAACAGACACACAGACCAATGGAGCAGAATAGAGATCTCAGAAATAAGACCACACATCTACAACCATCTGATCTTTGACAAACCTGACAAAAACAAGCAATGGGGGAAGGAATACCTATTTATTTATTTATTTATTTATTTTGAGACAAAGTCTCACTCTGTCACCAGGCTGGAGTGCAGCGGCATGATCTCAGCTCACTGCAACCTCTGCCTCCCGGATTCAAGTGATTCTCCTGCCTCAGCCTCCTGAGTAGCTGGGACTACAGGTTCGAGCCACCACGCCCAGCTAGTTTTTGTATTTTTAGAAGAGACGGGGTTTCACCATGTTGGCCAGGATGGTCTTGATCTCTTGACCTCAAGATCCACCTGCATCAGCCTCCCAAAGTGCTGAGATTATAGACATGAGCCACTGCACTTGGCCAGGATTCCCTATTTAAATGGTGCTGGGAAAACTGACTAGCCATATGCAGAAAACTGAAACTGGACCTCATCCTTACATCTTATGCAAAAATTAACTCAAGATGGATTAAAAACTTAAATGTGAAACCCCGAACTGTAAAAAACCCTAGAAGAAAATCTAGGAAGTTCCATTCAGGACATAGGCATGAGCAAAGATTTTATGATGAAATCATCAATAGCAATTGCAACAAAAGCAAAAATTGATAAATGGGATCTAATTAAACGTAAGCACTTCTGCACAGGGAAAGAAACTATCATCAGAGTGAACAAGCAACCTACAGAATGGGAGAATATTTTTGCAATCTACCAATCTGACAAAGGTCTAATATCCAGAATCTACAAGGAACTTAAACAAATTTACAAGAAAATAACAACCCCATCAAAACATGGGCAAAGGCCACGAACAGACATTCTGAAAAGAAGACATTTATGCGTCCGACAAACATATGAAAAAAAAAGCTCAACACTAGTGTTTATTAGAGAAATGCAAATCAAAACCACAATGAGATACCATCTCATGCCAGTCAGAATGGCAATTATTAAAAAGTCAAGAAACAACAGATGCTAGAGAGGCTGTGGAGAAACAGGAACACTTTTACACTGTTGGTGGGAATGTAAACTAGTTCAACCATTGTGGAAGACAGTGTGGCAATTCCTGGAGGATCTAGAAGCAGAAATACCATTTGACCCAGCAATCCCATTACTAGGTTTATATCCAAAGAAATATAAATCATTCTGTTTTAAAGATACATGCACACTTATGTTTATTGCAGCACTATTCACAATAGCAAAGACATGGAATCAGCCCAAATGTCCATCAATGATAGACTGGATAAAGAAAATGTGATACATATACACCATGGAATACTATGCAGCCATAAAAAGGAATGAGATCATGTCTTTTGCAGGGACATGGATGAAGCTGGAAGCCATAAACTTCAGCTAATTAACACAGGAACAGGAAACCAAACACCACATGTTCTCATAAGTGGGAACCGAACAATGAGAACACATGGACACAGGGAGGGGCAGAACACACACCGGAGCCTGTTGGGAAGGTAGGGGGAAGGAGAGCATCACGATAAATAGCTAATGCACGTGGGGCTTAATACCTAGGTGATAGGTTGATAGGTGCAGCAAACCACCATGGCACATGTTTAACTATGTAACAAACCTGCACATCCTGTACATGTATCCTGGAACTTAAAATAAAATAGAAAAGACAAAGAAGGATATTACATAATGGCAAAGGCTTCAATTCAACGAGAAGACCTAACTATCCTAAATATATATTCATCCAATGCAGGAGCACCCAGATTCATAAGTAAAGTTCTTAGAGACCTACAAAGTATGTTTCACAGTAATAGTGGGAGATTTCCACACTCCAATGACAGTATTAGACAGATGATTGAGGCAAAAAAATGAACAAAGATATTCAGGACCTGAACTCAACATTGGATCAAATGGATCTGATAGACCTTTACAGAACTCTGCACTCAAAAACAACAGAATATGCATTCCTCACATCATCATATGCCACATACTCTAAAATCAACCACATAATTGGACATAAAGCAATCCTCAGCAAATGCAAAACAACTGAAATCATACCAAATACATACTGAGATCACAGTGCAGTAAAAATAGAAGACTAAGAAAATTGCTGAAAATCATGCAATTACATGGAAATCAATCAACATGCTCCTGAATGACTTTTTAATAAATAATGAAATTAAGGCAGAAATCAAGAAGCTCTTTGAAAATAATGAGAACAAAGTTACAACATACTAGAGCCTCTGGACACAGCTAAGACAATGTTAGGAGGGAAATTTATAGCACTAAATCCCACATCAAAAAGTTAGGAAGAACTCAAATTAATAACCTAACATCACAACTGAAAGAACTAGAGAAGCAAGACAAAACCCCAAAGCTAGAGGAAGACAAGAAATAACTGAAAATCTGAGCTGAACTGAAAGAAACCGAGACATGAAAAAAAGAAATTCAAAAGATCTATGAATTCCGGGTAGGTTTCTTGAAAATATTAATAAGAAAGTCTGCTAGCAGACTAATACAGAGGATGATTGAAAGAAACACAATTAGAAATGACAAAGGGAATGTTACCACTGACCCCACAGAAATAGAAACAGCCATCAGAAACTACTGCAAACACTTCTATGCATACAAACTAGAAAACTTCAAAGAGATGGATAAATTCATGGAGAAATACACCCTCCCACAACTGAGCCAGGAAGAAATTGATTTGCTGTAAACAGACCAATAACAAGCTCCGAAATTGAATCAGTAATAAATAACCTACCAACCAAAAAAAGCCCAGAACATGATGGATTCCCAGTCATATTCTACTAGAAATACAAAGAAGAGCTGGTACCATTTTTACAGGAACTATTTGAAAATATTGAGGAGGAGGAACTCCTCCCCAACTCATTCTATGAGGCCAACATCATCTTGATACCAAAATCTGGCAGACACACACACACACACACACACACACACACACACACACACACACACACACACTCTTCAGGCCAATACCCTCGATGAACATCAATGCAAAAATCCTCAACAAAATACTGGCAAACCAAATCCAGCAGCACATCAAAAAGTTAATCCATCATGATCAAGTATGCTTCATCCCCAGGATGCAAGGTTGCCTCAACATACACATATCAATTAATCTGATTCATCACATAAACAAAACTAAAGATAAAAACCATGTGGTTATCTCAATATAAGCAGAAAAGGCTTTCAATAAAATTCAATGCCTCTCCATATTAAAAACTCTAAAAAATCTGGGTATTGAAGAAACATAGCTCAAAATGATGAGCTGTTTTTGTATCAGTATCATGCTGTTTTGGTTACTGTAGCCCTGTAGTATGGTTTGAAGTTGGGTAACATGATGCCTCCAGCTTCGTTCTTTTTGCTGAGGATTGCTTGGCTATTAGGGCTCTTTTTTTTGGTTCCATATGAATTTTGAAATAGTTTGCTCTAGTTCTGTGAGGAATGCCGTTGGTAATTTAATAGGGATAACTTGCATCTGTAAATTACTTTGGGCAGTATAGCCATTTTAATGACATTAATTCTTCCTATCCATGAGCATGACATGTTTTTCCATTTGTTTGTGTCTTCTCTGATTTCTTTGAGCAGTGTTTTGTAATTCTTCTAGAGATCTCCTAGAGATCTTTCACCTCCCTGGTTAGCTGTATTCCTAGGTATCTTATTTTTTCTGTGTGTAGCAATTATGAATGGGATTGTGTTCTTCATTTGACTCTCTGCTTGACTTGATGTATAGGACTGCTAGTAATTTTTGCACATTGATTTTGTATGCTAAGACTTTGCTAAAGTTTATCAGCAGAAGAAGCTTTGGGGCCAAGACTATGGGGCTTTCTAGATATAGAAACATGTCATCTGTAAACAGAGACAGTTTGACTTCCTGTCTATTCCTCTCTTCCCTCCTCTGTTTGGATGCCCTTCCAGTTTTGCACATTCAGTGTAATGTTGGCTGTGGGTTTGTCATGGCTAGCTCTCATCATTTTGGCACTTCTGACTAGAAGGGCAAGAGGGGCCAGTGTTGTTGTTACCTGAAAGGTAAGTGCAGCCCACAAAAATGCAGTGAAGAAGAAGATGTATTATGCATATGTTTAAGTTAATACAATTGAGATATATTTAGCAGACAGAATCAATAGAGTTGATGAGTGACTGACTGGATGTGTGGGGAGTTTATATCACTCCCAGGTTTTTGACTTGGGCAACCGGGCACTCATGAAGGAAAAAGGGGATCCAGGGAGAGGAACTTTTCTGAGGACTGGGGTAGGGCTGAACAGCTGCATTCGAGGCTGGTGGAGGGTGGGCTGGGCATGGGATGCACAAATGGAAATTCCACTGGGTCTGCAGCTCACACATAGGCATGACCAGCATAGAGATAGAGAGGCCCCAGTGCTGCTGAGTAACTGTGATTCCCCAGGTGATGGCATCAGCTGAGAAGGGAAGGAAGCCCATGAGAGGACACTGAAGAAGGAGTGAGCAGACAATAAGAAGCCCACAGAAGACAGAGAAGGAACAACTAGAGGGAGAAGCCAAGGCAGGCGTGTGTGGTAACACATAGGAACTGAGGGAGAGGACATTTCAAGATGGTGGGGATGCCATACAACAGGACTATGTGATGGTTTTTGGCTGTGTCCATAGGAAGTCACAACAGGCAAGGGAAAGAAACCAGAACCCAGTCATGGAGTTAAGAAGTGAGTCAGAGAGTAGATGGGTAGGGACAGTGAGGTAAGGCCTCTTTCTAAGGAAGTTTGGCTGAAGGATAGACTAGCTGGACACATGCTGGCTGTGTGGGGTAGAGGGAGGAATGATGGAGGGTAGGAGAGCCTTGAGCCTGCGAGAAGAGTCTCTTAGAATAGAGAAGCTGAAGTTAAAGTTGTGGAAGAGAGTGGGGATAACTGAGTGACAGATAATCAGGAGAAGAAAAGGAGATCCAGACTCATGACAGAGAGATGACCTTTGCCAAGAGCACAGCCGTCTTTCACGGTCACAGAGAGGTAGGACAAAATGAGTGGTGTTCAAGAATTGGTTTGTAGCACAATATTTCAACTATGTCCTTTAAAAAGTTTCTCCACAGACACTACCCAAAGCAGTGCTTCACTACAGTGGCAGACAGACCTGAAAATTTTCATCTGAAGCAGCAGAGTGAACTGCAGAGGCAGGTAATTTCTAGAAGGCTTGCTTTGTTACATTGAAACTGAAGATTATTCATGAGGCCAGTCTTCTGAGATTTCTGTCATTTCTCTCATGTCAGGTCACCAACCAGTGTGGAGGCTAAAAGCGGGCCTCTTTGGGGATTCCAGGTGGAAGTGTTGGACATCTGTAGTATTCCTGGTCTCGAATCATCCTGATATTCTTCATTTTGTTATTCACATTGGACTAGGGTGAGGAAATGAGTTCTGGTCAGAGTCAATGTTTCCTAACAATGTTGATTTATTTGGTCCTAAATATTTAAACACATTTTATAAATAGCTTTTCCACACCACATATATAGGGAAAAACAGGGAGTTAACTTGGCCCAGCAGCACTGTTTGTGGGGCTAACACCCTGTCTGTGTATCTCACACCAACCCTAAGCTTTGTTTCTCTCCTGTCACTTTGCTCCTATTTCTTTCATGTGAAAGAATGTTCATTTTCTTTGAAAATGAGCTCATTTCCTCATTTTCTTTCCATATTTCAGCAGGAACAAAGATCACCACAACTGGCTCCCCTTCAACTATGTTAGATGGCAACTTGCCTTCAGTATGGTGAAACACATCAGTTAAGACCGGGGTTGTGCATGGCAGGACTTTCTACAAGGACACCCAGTCTCCTTAATAAACATGAGATGCTCTCTTTCCAGAATTTCTCTTGCCTGACACAGCATAGGAAGATGCTGAACGGCCACACAGTGATCCATTGGTCAGTGGTGACATAAGGAGGTCAGAGGGGAGGAGTGAGGAGAAGTAGGGAAGACTAGGTGGTTGTAGGCCTCCTTCATCTGTTCATTGGCTGTGGCATTAGGCCAGCTACTCTTTGCACTTCTGTAAAGTGAGACGGTCGATCTTGTCTGCCTCTCTAGAGGATGGTTGCAGGTGTCAAATGGGGTAGTTAGGTGGGAGGGCATTTCACAAAGTTAAAAAATATGACTTTGGAGGCTTGTTATATTGATGAGGATTATAATCCCTGAGAATTCCTGGTATGAAGAAGGGAAAAGAAGATAATTTGTGAAAGAAATGTGTCCAGTTACTAGTCTTTGAAAAGGGTCAGTCTGTAGCTCTTCTTAATGAGAATAGGCAGCTTTCAGTTGCTCAGGGTCAGATTTCCTTAGTGGTGTATCTAATCACAGGAAACATCGTGGTTCCCTCCAGTCTCTTTCTGGGGGACTTGGGCCCACTTCTCATTTCATTTAATTAGAGGAAATAGAACTCAAAGTACAATTTACTGTTGTTTAACAATGCCACAAAGACATGGTTGGGAGCTATTTCTTGATTTGTGTAAAATGCTGTTTTTGTGTGCTCATAATGGTTCCAAAAATTGGGTGCTGGCCAAAGAGAGATACTGTTACAGAAGCCAGCAAGAAGACCTCTGTTCATTCACACCCCCGGGGATATCAGGAATTGACTCCAGTGTGTGCAAATCCAGTTTGCCTATCTTCTCAAGTTAGGGTTAATTGGATAATTCTGGAGAAGTACACATTGAAAACTAGAACTAAGCCAAGCAATTAAATACGTTTCCTGCCTATTACATGCCTTGGTACTGTGCAAAAGAGCTCACAGGGCATCTGAGGAAAGATTACTAACACACACCTCAAATGACTGTGTCTGATTTCCTAGAAGGACTCAGAAAGGGAGTGATCACTGTGGATTGGACTGGATAGTGCCTCATGCTGGAGGTGGGCTTTGAGTGGAGCCGTGAAGGTCAAGAAAAAGTGATATAAACACTGGCTCCTTCCTTTTGAAGGGACACCACACTCTTTGGGCTTAGTGGTTATAGATGCCTTTAGCGCAGCCCAGGAGCAAGCATTTGTTGTCTACCTACCACGTGCTTGGCTTTGGAAATGCAAATAAAAAAGGAGGTCACTATTTTATGAAAGGATGATTTTATTCTACCTGATGTAGCCAGCTGCAAGCTTCAGAAGGCAGCACATACAATAATGATGGGCTGGTGAGATGAGAGCTAATGGAGAGATGTACAAAGTGCCATGGGATCACCAAGCAGTGGTCAGGTGAAGGCATCTGATTTTCTTTAAGATCTTGCTCAAATGTCATCTCCTCTAGAAGAAAATGTAGGGCTTCATCAGTCAGACAACATGGGGAAATTGATCTCAGTTCAAGAAACATGTATTGATTATCTAATAGGTTCAAGCAGTTGTGCACTGGGGATAGAAAAATATTATCATCATCATCATCATCATCAACAACAACAACAATCTTGCTGTATGCCAGGCACATAATTTTACATGTATTATCTCATTTAATCTCAAACAACTCTATGCTATAGGTGTTTATTATTATCCCTATTTAGATGAAACATTTAACCTTCAGAGAATTTAAATAAGTTGCACTTGCAAGCTTAGCAGGTGAGGAATCAAATTTGGAATAGGACCTAGATCAGTGATCCCCTAGATCTACAATCTTAACCAGTACCCTGTTCTCTCTGCTTAGAGAGCACCTAGAGAAAATCTGTAAGCAAATAATCACAAAACAAGGGATGACACAATATATGTAAATGTAGGATTTTACATTAAGTGGAAGAAGGAAGAAGGTCATTATTTACTTTTTCTGGGTGAGAGATGAAAACACTTCTGCAAGAGTATTTCCAATTTCACCAAAGTATGGAAAGATGTTTATCCTAATAACAATACTCAGTAATGGTATTTGATTTAATTTCAGCCTAGTACATGATTTGATTCTAAAACAACATTTCCTTAGAATTTCAATATCTGGAATTCTATAGCTCAATGGTTTTGGTGACTATTAATATTTTATATACTTCTTTTGATAGTTTTGGGGCTAAGTGAATCAAATCTATTCATAACTCTAAGTTTTCAAATTCTGAAATCTTTTAGAGTTGTTTAGTTAAAACTGGTTCTTTTCTTCCAGTTTGTTAGCTTACCAAATGAGCCAAAATAAAGAAAAAACAAAAATTTATTTTCAGTCTGATATAGAGAGTTATTTATAGTTACATGGTGCTATCTCTTCCTTTAAAAACATTTCTTCTTTCTTTTTTTCTCCCTCTCTCTTTTTGAGGGGATTATAAACACTGCCAGTATTTTTTGCCTAAAGGGTAAATCCTCTTAAACTCTTTTGGGATCTATATTAGGTGCCAGATGGTCATAAGAAAATTATGTGAGATACTGGTGAATAAACAAGCAAACCAGAAGCTAGGTTTTCAGAATAGATGCTAGCCAGTAGTTCACAGGCATTATCCAGCAACTGGTGGGGATCTACTTGGCCAGCCCGTGACCACTGAGATGTGAACTTCCCTGGACCTTGGCAGTCAAGAGGGAGAGAGGCAGAGAAAGCTCCATTATCATCACTAATTCCCTTTTGACCACACGTGACAGCATGACCTGCTTCAAAGAAATAAGATAAATGGTGGTTAGGTGCCCCCACAGGCCCACAGTAGCCCATTCAACAAAGAGCAAAAGTAAAACTACTCCTGATGGATTTAGCAACATCATAGTTCACTTGTGAGGCAACAGGCTTTTATTGCTTGCTTTGGGACTGGCTTCTTCTCATTTTCTGTAGGAAAGTGAGCCTACCTGACTTAGAAACAAAATTTTGGAACACAAACCCTTTGTAAGTTGGGAGATCCCTAAACTAAAATTTCCAGTGAGATGAAAAGCCCCTTGAGAAAGAAATTTCTGGCTGGGCATGGTGGCTGATACCTCTAATTCCAGCACGTTGGAAGGTTGAGGCAGGAAGATCACCTGAGGCCAGGAGTTTGAGACCAGCCTAAGCAACATAGGGAAACCCCTGTGATATAGTTTGGATCTGTGTCCCCACCCAAATCTCATGTTGAACTGTAATCCCCAGTGTGGTAGGTGGGGTCTGGAGGGAGGTGACTGGATTAGGAGGGTGGATTTCTCATGAATGGTTTAGTACTATCTCCTTGGTACTCCTCATGATAGCAGGTGAGCTCTCAAAAGATCTGGTTGTTTAAAAGTGTGTGGTATCTCCCCCCTCACTCTCTTGTTCCTGCTTTCACTGTGTGACATGCCTGCTCCCGCTTCACAATCTGCCAGTAAATTGTGGCAGGTTATGAGTGTGTGTAATTTATGAGTGCTGATAGGATGAAAGATAGAAAATGATTTTAGATAGAAAGAAAATCATTCTGGAAGCTTTGAGTCTTCCTTTTGTAATCTATGTTGGTTCTTTTTTAACATCCCCTGTTTCAGCACTTACTGACCTGGAGTCTGTCTCACAATGACTAAATGTAATATAAGATTCTAGGATGTACACTAGAACAGAAAATGGAAACTAAATAAAAACTGAGGAATTCTGAACAAGTATGGTCTTTAGATAATAATAATATGACAATATTGATGCCTTAATTGTAATGAATGCACCACACTAATATAAAATTTTAGTAATAGAGAAAGCAGAGTTTGGGTACTTACCAGGAATATTATACTATTTTCACGATGTTTCTGTAAACCTTAAAGTGTTCAAAAATTAAAATTTTATTTAAGTCAATTGCAATATATAAGATTAATTGAACCCAAATTGTGGAAAATATAACTTCTGTTATAATGTTCCTTGGAAGCTTCTAAAGACAAGGCCTTTCTTTTCTATTTTTAGTAGAAATTACACGTATTTTCAAGTCAAACTGTTAATATGTGACAATATTTGCAGTACTGAAAGCTTAATAACTTATAGATTCATGGTAACGAAAAGCAAAGCATAGTGTTGTTTTTGGTTTTGGAATACTGTATGAAATATGTAGTCTTTTTTTTTTTTTAAGATGGATTCTCACTCATTTGCCCAGGCTGGAGTGCAGTGGGATGGTCTTAGCTCACTGCAACTTCTGCCTTCTGAGTTCAAGCAATTCTTCTGCCTCAGCCTCCCCAGTAGCTGGGACTACAGGCATGTGCCACCATACCTGGCTAATTTTTTTTTTTTTTTTTTTTTTTTTTTTGTATTTTGAGTAGAGATGGGGTTTCACCATTTTGGCCAGGCTGGTCTCGAATTCCTGACCTCAGGTGATCTGCCCACCTTGGCCTCCAAAATTGCTGGGATTACAGGCATGAGCCACCGTGCCTGGCCAAAACATGTAATCTCTTATTCAAGATTTATAATAACAGTTATGTGATACTCAGTAAGGGATGGTGATCTACATAAAATAAAAGTACAGGCACAGTGGCTTATGCCTGTAATCTCAGCATTTTGGGAGGCCAAGACACGAGGACTACTTGAGTTCAAAACCAGCTTTGTCAGCATAGTGAGACCTCATCTCTACAAAAAAATCAAAAACATTAGCTGGGGGTGGTGTCACACACTGGTAGTCCCAGATATTTGGGAGGATGAGGTAGGAGGATCCTACCTGAGCCTGGAAGACAAAGGCCACTGCACTTCAGCCTGGGTGACAAAGTAGGATCCTATCTCAAAATAGATAGATAGATAAATAGATAGATCAATGTTATTTATCTCAATATTTGAAAGAAAAGTTGAAAAACCTCCGAGCTCAACTAAGAATCAGTTTCTAGAATAAACAGAAGTATAAATCATTATACCTCTTTACTTTAAAAATATTACAGACATTATAAGTATTTTAATAACAAAAAATCAAATACTTTATATATGCTTTGTAATCTGTCCTTTACAAAATCATTTAACCTTTATGACAGGAGCTACTATGGTGCTCATTCCACAGATGAGGTGCTGAGGTTTAGTGAACTGAATAGCTTGTTCACAGACAGCTGGAGACAGAGACTCAGTTTGCCCATACAAAGATAATTTTAACCAATAGCATTTTACAATAGAATATCATAATGCCTATGAATTCTAAAAACATTTTATTCAAATCTCTCTTTTAATATTAGCACCTCTTCAACCTCTTCTTGACTCTACCACCAAAATTATCTTCCTAATCTCTCTTACCCTGTAAATTTCTGTGTGTGTGTGAGTGTGTGTGTGTGTGTGTGTGAGAGAGAGATAGAGACAGGGAAAGAGTGGATTTACCAAAAAATAAGATAGGAAGGTTGTCATAACATCTTCCCTTTTATTTCTCAATTCTGAAGTCCCCATTTTCATCCCTGGGAGAGTTGTTCTAGGATAGGGTAGCTAAAGGAACAGAGAAAATCAGAGTAATGGAATTAGCTAAAAGGGAAAGTGGCGACCTGAAGACCAAACACTAAAGAAGGGGCCAGTGAATGGCAAAGAAAGTGGAGAGCAAAACATGCAGGTAGATAGGGTCCTAGTTAATGAAGGCTCAGAGGCTGGAGGGTAAACCCATGCAAGGGTAAAGTTTAATACAGTGAAAATATAAGTAAGATGGGAGACCTACCACAGAGAACCAACACTTGGCATGTTTCTGATGACAGTGTTTAGATTGCAGTGGTTCTAAAAATTAAGTGATTTTGGAATTGGCATTCCATGTGACTTTAAAAGATAAATGATAAAGTAAATGTTTTATTCAGCTCTCTCTCTCCCTCCCCACCCACCTTCTTCCCTCCATTCTTCTGTTTTTAATGGGGATGTTTAAAATCCAATCTCACATTAATTTTTTCTTAAGTGTAAATAATGGGAAAACTTCACTTCGAGAGGGGACTCCTCAGTAGACCTCCATAATTTCCTGGCTTTTACTGCCAGTTAGTCATCAGGAATAGCCACGGCTAAGAGAGTACCAACTGGGCAAGCCAGTGAATTATACCAGTGCATCTCAGATTTACTGATTTGTTTAACTTTTGTTTTTTGTTCTTTTTTTTTTTCAGAGATAGAATCTCACTATGTTGACCAGGCTGGTCTTGAACTCTTGGCACCCAAGCGATCCTTTTGCCTGGAATCCCAAAGTGTCAGATTTACTGAAGAATATTTCATTGTAATTACTTTTTATACTTTATAGGTCAAGAGCTCTGTTTTAAATACAAAATTTATTGAATATACTTTTTCAAACAAAGTTTCATGTTCTAATCATTGTCTGATTTCAGCATTAAATGAAACACAGTAAAGAAAGTTGGGCTGATGTTGTTGTTGGTGGTTGTTTTTGTATTCTGATTACAGAACTGTATTTTGAGTGGGCTGAACATAGAGTAAATGCATCCTCAGCTGCTGGTCTAGACACTTTTTTTCCATGAGTGAAACTGCACATTGGGGATGGTGGGTCGGGGCTGTGAGTCCAGAGAGTTAAGCAGTAACCCCAAAGATTTTAACTGGGATCCAGAACAGTTTTATCATCGCTCTTCTTTATGTCTATATTTATCTTTAGTAATTGTACCATATGCTGCATTTTCCACTGGTTACATAGGTAAGCCTAGTCCTCCCCACAACATTCTTATACCAATGATGGTGACAATATGCTGTATTTCTTTTGTATCAACTCCTTACTTACTGTAGCTACTCAAATTGTACTAAGACCACTGGTACTAATCTGCAAACTAATTTTGAAGTACCTGGAAGTACAGATTTGAAAACCTTTTATAGCAATCTGACATTGCCACAATATTTTACATTTTACAAAAAATAAAAGTCTTTCACTCTGGGTAGTTTGAAAAGCACCACTGCAGAGAAAATAGTTGACACTTCACAAATGCTTATTTGATTTTCCTGAAGGTGATAAGTAAATTAGATATTCTATAATGTGTTATCTTTAACACAAAAATTATAGTAACTATTTAAACAATTAAATAACAGAAATTCAGATTCATGGTAAAATCAAAGAATATAAACTAAAAATTCCCTATATTTTCTATATTTTCTGAGAAAATATAGAAATAAATATATTTTCTGAGAAAATATAGAAATAAATATATTTTCTGAGAAAATATAGAAATAAATATATTTTCTGAGAAAATATAGAAATAAATATATTTTCTGAGAAAATATAGAAATAAATATATTTTCTGAGAAAATATAGAAATAAATATATTTTCTGAGAAAATATAGAAATAAATATATTTTCTGAGAAAATATAGAAATAAATATATTTTCTGAGAAAATATAGAAATAAATATATTTTCTGAGAAAATATAGAAATAAATATATTTTCTGAGAAAATATAGAAATAAATATATTTTCTGAGAAAATATAGAAATAAATATATTTTCTGAGAAAATATAGAAATAAATATATTTTCTGAGAAAATATAGAAATAAATATATTTTCTGAGAAAATATAGAAATAAATATATTTTCTGAGAAAATATAGAAATAAATATATTTTCTGAGAAAATATAGAAATAAATATATTTTCTGAGAAAATATAGAAATAAATATATTTTCTGAGAAAATATAGAAATAAATATATTTTCTGAGAAAATATAGAAATAAATATATTTTCTGAGAAAATATAGAAATAAATATATTTTCTGAGAAAATATAGAAATAAATATATTTTCTGAGAAAATATAGAAATAAATATATTTTCTGAGAAAATATAGAAATAAATATATTTTCTGAGAAAATATAGAAATAAATATATTTTCTGAGAAAATATAGAAATAAATATATTTTCTGAGAAAATATAGAAATAAATATATTTTCTGAGAAAATATAGAAATAAATATATTTTCTGAGAAAATATAGAAATAAATATATTTTCTGAGAAAATATAGAAATAAATATATTTTCTGAGAAAATATAGAAATAAATATATTTTCTGAGAAAATTAAATTAAATAAATATATTTTCTGAGAAAATATAAATAAAATTTCCCTATATTTTCTGAGCTTGAGTAACTCTTTAACAAAATGTTGACATAGATAAGCACTTCAGCATTCATGGATAAGCATACTTTCATAAAATCTGAAGAAAAATATATTTGATAATTCCAATGCCTGTCTCAGAGCTACTTTTTCTGCTGGTACCTCTGACTGGAATGCTTTCTCTCTCAACTCATACTTTTAAATTCTAGCCCCCTTTCAGGATCCAAATGCTCCATTTTGTAGAACATGTTTATTAAAATAGTTTATACTCTCTTATTGTATTATTATATGATGCCTTAATTCATGGCAACTTGTTAATATGTCATATTTCCTCTTAAGCTTCTTAAGACGAGACCATTTATTATCACTTTGTATATTTTTAATCTTTCCCAGAATAGGTGCTCTATAAATGCTTACTCAGCATTACATCATTAAATAAGGCAACACAATGTAATTTTCACTCTTAATAATGACTGCATTAGCAGGGCAAGGACTCTGAGGTATTTGTCTGACAAGCATTCAAAATTGCTAGCCAATGTTAGAACTAGAAATTTTGGAAAAGGTAGTGAGGTCAAGTCATTGACTGACCTTGGCTTTACTCATACATACTCTAACCAGATGGATACACATCAGAGCCTCAGAGTCTCCGAGTTTAAATGGGCCATAGGCACCACCTAAACTAATAGTCAAACCGGAAAAAGTATACGAGGACACTTGGAAGATGTATTGAGTTGTTAACCTAAAAGTTAAGAGAACTAAGAATCTAAATGGTGGTTGCTTAAGAAAAATACCATCTCACAAAAGAATACTCCTAACCACTACTGCAAAAAACACACTTTTGGGGAAAGTACACCCATATGGTTTGTACACATTCTCAAATATCTAAAAGTGACTTGGGCTTGACATGTAGTTCTGAATGCTTCTGTTAGATTTCCAATTTATCTCTCTTTTGGTACCAGTACCATGCTGTTTTGGTTACTGTAGCCTTGTAGTATAGTTTGAAGTCAGGTAGCATGATGCCTCCAGGTTTGTTCTTTTGGCTTAGGATTGACTTGGCAATGCGGGCTCTTTTTTGGTTCCATATGAACTTTAAAGTAGTTTTTCCCAATTCTGTGAAGAAAGTCTTTGGTAGCTTGATGGGGATGGCATTGAATCTATAAATTACCTTGGGCAGTATGGCCATTTTCACAATGTTGATTCTTCCCATCCATGAGCATGGAATGTTCTTCCATTTGTTTGTGTCCTCTTTTATTTCATTGAGCAGTGGTTTGTAGTTCTCCTCGAAGAGGTCCTTTACGTCTCTTGTGAGTTGGATTCCTAGGTATTTTATTCTCTTTGAAGCAATTGTGAATGGGAGTTCACTCATGATTTGGCTCTCTGTCTGTTATTGGTGTATAAGAATGCTTGTGATTTTTGCACATTGATTTTGTATCCTGAGACTTTGCTGAAGTTGCTGATCAGCTTAAGGAGATTTTGGGCCGAGACAATGGGGTTTTCTAGATATACAATCATGTCATCTGCAAACAGGGACTATTTGACTTCCTCTTTTCCTAATTGAATACCCTTTATTTCTTTCTCCTGCCTGATTGCCCTGGCCAGAACTTCCAACACTATGTTGAATAGGAGTGGCGAGAGAGGGCATCCCTGTCTTATGCCAGTTTTCAAAGGGAATGCTTCTAGTTTTTGCCCATTCAGTATGATATTGGCTGTGGGTTTGTCATAAATAGCTCTTATTATTTTGAGATACGTCCCATCAGAGATATAGACCAATGGAACAGAACAGAGCCCTCAGAAATAATACCACACATGTACAACCATCTGATCTTTGACAAACCTGACAAGAACAAGAAATGGGGAAAGGATTCCCTATTAAATAAATGGTGCTGGGAAAACTGGCTAGCCATATGTAGAAAGCTGAAACTGAATCCCTTCCTGACACCTTATACAAAAATTAATTCAAGATGGACTAAAGACTTAAATGTTAGACCTAAAACCATAAAAACCCTCGAAGAAAACTTAGGCAATATCATTCAGTATATAGGCATGGGCAGAGACTTCATGTCTAAAACACCAAAAGCAATGGCAACAAAAGCCAAAATTGACAAATGGGATCTAATTAAACTAAAGAGCTTCTGCACAGCAAAAGAAACTACCATCAGAGTGAACAGGCAACCTACAAAATGGGAGAAAATTTTTGCAATCTACTCATCTGACAAAGGGCTAATATCCAGAATCTACAAAGAGCTCAAACAAATTTACAAGAAAAAAACAAACAACCCCATCAAAAAGTGGGCAAAGGATATGAACAGACACTTCTCAAAAGAAGACATTTATGCAGCCAACAGACACATGAAAAAATGCTCATCATCACTGGCCATCAGAGAAATGCAAATCAAAACGACAATGAGATACCATCTCACACCAGTTACAATGACGATCATTAAAAAGTCAGGAAACAACAGGTGTTGGAGAGGATGTGGAGAAATAGGATCACTTTTACACTGTTGGTGGGACTGTAAACTAGTTGAACCATTGTGGAAGACAGTGTGGTGATTCCTCAAGGATCTAGGACTAGAAATACCATTTGACCCAGCCATCCCATTACTGGGTATATACCCAAAGGATTAGAAATCATGCTGCTATAAAGACACATGCACACGTATGTTTATTGTGGCACTATTCACAATAGCAAAGACTTGGAACCAACCCAAATGTCCATCAATGATAGATTGGATTAAGAAGATGTGGCACATATACACCATGGAATACTATGCAGCCATAAAGAATGATAAGTTCATGTCCTATTTAGGGACATGCATGAAGCTGGAAACCATCATTCTCAGCAAACTATCACAAGGAAAAAAAACCAAACACCACATGTTCTCACTCATAGGTGGGAATTGAACAATGAGAACACTTGGACACAGGGTGGGGAACATCACACACTGGGTCCTGTTGTGGGCTGGAGGTATGGGGGAGGGATAGCATTAGGAGATATACCTAATGTAAATGACGAGTTAATGGGTGCAGCACACCAACATGGCACATGTATACATATGTAACAAACGTGCACGTCGTGCACATGTACCCTAGAACTTAAAGTATAATAAAAAATATATAAAAAAATAACAAAAAAGTGCTAATTGTAAAAAACAACAAAAAAAGGATTTCAAATTTAGTTTGAACCTTCAATGTATACCTTAAGCAAGTGACTTGAAGGAAATTTGAATGCTGCGTGCCTTCTCCCAGCTCTGCCTCACTGAGGATGGGAACCCAGTGGCACCTGAGACTCCTGGATGTAGTGCCTGGGTGACATTCCTGTGGAGAAAAGCACTTTAGGGCTAGTCTCTAGATGTCTTCTCATGAGTCTTCTGCTTTCACATGAAGCTCTTTAGAAGACAGAAGGAAAAAAAATGTGAGAAGAAATACCTTGCCCTTCCACAAGATAGACCTGTTGTGCAGAGGTGCATACAATTGAGGACAGAGTTCAACATTTTAAATTAAATTTCCAAGTAGTTTCTGTGACTTCATTTAAGAGACCGTTTTTTGAATTCCATGGTTCCAATTTGTGTCTATTTTCCTGTTCACATAAATTTATAGGAATATACATGCCAGCTGTGAGAGATGACTTTATTTCACTGTTGCTCTTATATCCCCCTACAGTTGTCACAAGGACACCGATATCACACAGTGACATGAACCTAGACATATAGTACACTTGGCAGAAGAATTTTCCAGGTCTAGCCCAGCAGTCCATTCAATGATCTAAAATGGTGATACAGAGAAAAATAGAAACACATATGAAACACTATAGTCAAAATACCCTGAAGTAAAAAACAGAATAATTTTGACTGATGCATGACACATGCAAAGCCATATTACACGTGTATGTGCATATGTAAGGATCATATTGTATGATCATATTGTATGATCCTTCTCTATAATCTGTGTTTCTAGGGCATATCTATGTACAACCTCTATTACACAGAATTAGGCTCAGCCAGAAGGGGGCCAAGAAGGCCAACTAGAAGCAGCTATGGTGCATGGCTCTCACAGAAAAGAATGAGAGGGATGAGTAAACACAGCACCTTCAACTGAAATATCCAAGTACTCACATTGGAACTGATCAGGAAAACAGCTCCACCCATGGAGAATGGAAAAAAGCCGGGCAGGGTGACAGCCCACCCAGAAGCGACAAAGAGCCAAGGGGAACCCCTTCGCCTGCGCAGGGAAGTGATGAGTGAATGTGTGAAAATAAACTCCAGGCCAGAGTTTCATATCCAGCCAAACTAAGCTTCATAAGCAAAGGAGAAATAAGCTCCTTTTCAGACAAGCAAATGCTGAGAAAATTTGTTACCACCAGACCAACTTTACAAGAGCTCATGAAGCTCAGAAGTGTCCCACAACTACATGGAAATTGAACAGCCTGCTCCTGAATGACTCCTGGCTAAATAATGAAATTAAGGCAGAAATCAAGAAGTTCTTTGAAACCGATGAGAACAAAGAGACAATGTACCAGAATCTCTGGGACACAGTTGAGGCAATGTTAAGAGGGAAATTATACCTCTAAATGACCTTATTCAAAAGCTAGAAAAATCTCAAGTTAACAACCTAACATCACAACTAAAAGAACTGGAGAACCAAGAGCAAACAAACCTCAAATCTAGAAGACAGGAATCAACCAAAATAAGAGTTGAACTGAAGAAGATAGGGACACACACACACACACACACACACACACACACACACTCAAACATTCAAAAGATCAATGAATCGAGGAGCTGGTTTCTTGAAAAAAAGTAATAAAATAGATTGACCACTAGCTAGACTAATAAGGAAGAAAAGAGAGAAGATTCAAATAAACACAATCAGAAATAATAAGGGTGATATTACCACTGACCCCACAGAAATACAACCATCTGAGAATATTATAAACATCTCTATGCACATAAACTAGAAAATCTAGAAGAAATGGATAAATTCCTGGACACATACACCCTTCCAAGATTGAATCATCGAATCCCTGAATAGACCAATAATGAGTTCTGAAATTGAGGCAATAATAAATAGCCTACCAACCAGAAAAAAAAAAAAACAAAAGCCCAGTACCACACAGATTCACAGCTCAATTCTACCAAATGTACAAAGAAGAGCTGGTACCATTCCTGCTGAAAATATTCCAAAACAATTGAAAAGGAGGGACTCCTTCCTAACATTGTATGAGGCCAACATCATCCTGATACCAAAAACCAGGCACAGATACAACAAAAAAAAGAAAACTTCAGGCCAATATGCTTGATGAACATTGATGCAAAAATCCTCAATAAAATATTGGCAAACCGAATCCAGCAGCACATCAAAAAGCTTATCCACCGTGATCAAGTAGGCTTCATCCCTGGGATGCAAGGTTGGTTCAACATACACAAATCAATAAATGTGATTCATCACATAAACAGAACTAAAGACAAAAGCCACAGGATTATGTCAATAGATGCAGAAAAGGCTTTGATAAAATTTAACAACCTTCATGTTAAAAACTCTCAATAAACTATGTATTGAAGGAACGTACCTCAAAATAATCAGAGCCATATATGACAAACCCACAGCCAATATCATACTGAATGGGCCAAAGCTGGAAGCATTCCCCTTGAAAACTGACACAAAGATGCCCTCTGTCACCACTCCTATTCAATATAGTATTGGAAGTTGTGGCCAGGGCAATTAGGCAAGAGAAAGAAATAAAATGTATTTGAGTAGGAAGAGAGGAAGTCAGACTATCCCTGTTTGACCCCATCATCTCAGCCCAAAAGCTATTTATTTATTTATTTTGGGATGGAGTCTTGCTGTGTCGCTCAGGCTGGAGTGCAGTGGCACAATCTTGGCTCACTGCAACCTCCGCCTCCCGGGTTCAAGCGATTCTCCTGCCTCAGCCTCCTGAGTAGCTGCTACTACAGGTGTGTGCCACGACGTCTGGCTAATTTTTTCTATTTTTAGTAGAGACGGGGTTAGCCACTATGTTAGCCAGGATGGTCTTGGTCTCCTGACCTCATGATCCACCCACCTCGGCCTCCCAAAGTGCTGGGATTACAGGCATGAGCCACCGCGCCCAGCCCCCAAAGTTTCTTAAGCTGATAAGCAACTTCAGCAAAGTCTCAAGTTACAAAATTAATGTGCAAAAATTGTTATAGCATTTCTATACACCAACAACAATCAAGCTGAGAGCCAGATCATGAGTGAGCTCCCACTCACAATTGCTACAAGAAGAATAAGGTACCTAGTAATTCAGGTTACAAGTGAAGTGAAGGACCTTTACAAAGAGAACAACAAACCACTGCTCAAAGGAATCAGAGAGGATACAAATGGAAAAACATTCCATGCTCATGTATAGGAAGAATCAATATTATGAAAACGGCCATACTGCCCAAAATAATTTATTGATCCAATGCTATTCCCATTAAACTACCATGGAAGTTCTTCACAGAAATAGAAAAAAAAATATTTTAAAATTCATGTGGAACCCAAAGAGAGCCTGAAGAGCCAAGGCAATTCTCAGCAAAAAGAAAAATCTGGAGGCATCATGCTCTTCAACTTCAAACTATACTACAGGTCTACAGTAACCAAAGCAGCATGGCACTGGTGCAAGAAAAGACACATAGACCAATGGAACAGAATAGAGAACCCAGAAATAAGACTACACCCCTACAGCAATCTGATATTTCACAAACCCGACAAAAACAAGCAATGGAGAAAGGATTCTCTAATAAATGGTGCTGGGAAAGCTGGCTAGCCATATGTGCAAATTGAAACTGGACTCCAGCCCCACACCTTATATAAAAATCAGCTCAAGATGAATTAAAGACCTAAATGTAAAACCCCAGACTATAAAAATCCTAGAAGAAAGCCTAGGCAATACCACTCGGAACATAGACATGGGCAAAGATTTCATGACAAAGATGCCAAAAGCAATTGCAACGAAAGCCAAAATTGACAAATGGGATCCAATTAAACTAAAGAGCTTCTGCACAGCAAAAGAAACTAACAGCAGAGTAAACGGACAACCTAAAGAATGAGAGAAAAGTTTTGCAAACTATGCATCTAACAAAGGTCTAATATCTAGCATCTGTAAGAAACTTGGCTGGGCATGGTGGCTCACACCTGTAATCACAGCACTGTGGGAGGCCAAGGCAGGAGGATCACCTGAGGTCAGAAGTTCAAGACCAGCCTGGCCAACATGATGAAACCACATCTCTAGTCAAAATATAAACATTAGCTGGGCGTGGTGGCGCATGCCTGTAATCCCAGCTACTCGGGAGGCTGAGGCAGAAGAATTGCTTGAACCCAGGAGGCGGAGGTTGCAGTGAGCCGAGACTGCACCACGGCACTCCAGCCTGGGCAAAAGAGTGAGACTCTATCTCAAAAAAGAAAAGAAAAGAAAAGAAAAGAAAAAATAAATAAAATAAAGTAAAATAAAAAAGAAACTTAAACAAATTCAAAACAACCCCACTAAAAAGTGGGCAAAGGACATGAAAAGACACTTTTCAAAAGAAGACATACATGCAGTCTCACACCAGTCAGAATGGCGATTATTAAAAAGTCCAAAAATAACAGGTGCTGGCAAGGTTATGGAGAAAAAGGAGCACTTTTATACTGTTGATGGGAATATAAATTAGTTCAACCATTGTGGAAAACAGTGTGATGATTCCTCAAAGACCTAGAGAAATAAATAACATTCACCCAAGCAATCTTACTACTGGGTATATAACCAAAGGAATGTAAATCATTCTATTATAAAGACACATGCATGCATACGTCCATTGCAGCACTATTCACAATAGCACAGATGTGGAATCAATCTAAATGCCCATCAGTGATAGACTGGATAAAGAAAATGTGGTATATATACACCACGAAACACTATGCAGTTATAAAAAGTAAGAATAAGATCACGACCTTTGCAGGGACATGGATGGAGCTGGAGGCCACTATCCTTAGCAAAGTAATGCAGGAACAGAAATCCAAATATTATACCAAATGTTCTTACTTATAAGTGGGAGCTAAATGATGAGAACATATGGACGCAAAGAAAGGAACAATGCACACTGGGGCCTACCAGAGGATGGAGGGTGAGGAGGGAGAGCATCAGGAAAAATAACTAATGGATACTAGGTTTAATACCTGGGTGATGAAATAATATGTACAAAAAACTCCTATGACACGTTTACCTATGTAACAAACCTGCACATCCTGCACATGTACCCCTGAATTTAAAATAAAAGTTTAAAAAAAAACAAAGTATTTCAAGATAAATGTGTTCTTATTGAATAAACAATAATTTTGTGAAAAAAGAGGCTCAATTGAAGGTGGCAGAAGAGCTCCCAAATAGCAGTCACCTAAACAAGTTAGTATACTTCTTGCTCACACAAAATTAGACAGAGGCTTGGCCATCCGGGTTTGGTGTGGCAGCTGTGCCTCATGAGCCACTGGGACTCCACACTCCCCCAGCTTTACTTAGGGCATGTCTCATTTACTAATAGTCACATAGAGCTGCTGGAGCTCCAGGAAATGTAAGTGCATCCAAGCTGCAGTAATGAAAGAGGAGTAGAAAGGACAAAAGATACCCTCCTGTAAGGAAAGACCCTGGAAGTCACAGGCAAATAATCGTGCCTTCATCTCACTTTCCCAAATTTAGTTCCATGGTCGCAATGACCTCCAAGGGAGGCTAAGAAACGTAGTGTTTACGTAAATGATAATGTTCTCAGCTGACTGTGTGGCGTTCTAAGGGAAAATGGGATTTAATAAATATTAAATATTTATTATTTAATATTCAATAAATATTAAAAAGAAACTAGGATCCTTTGACACACATAATACTCCTTCTACAACAGTAATAATACCTTTTTAAGGTACTCTTATATTACCTAGAAAAAACTTGGGAAATGCAGACTCTGAACACAATATGAAGAGGTAATTCAAAGTAGAGGAAACTTTAATGGGTTAGAAATATGTGAACAGCAACTCAGAAATATTAGTGACCTAATAAGTGACACAAAATAACACTTTATATTTGTTTATTAACTTTAGAAATTTGGATTACGCCAAACATTAGTGACAATGTGAGGATATGGGCATGTTCATGTTTTACTTCAAGGATGCAGACTCCTTTGGAGATTATTTTCTTAGTACTTAGGGAAAATTATTATGTGTATACTTTACGTCCTGACCATCACATCCTGGGTATATTCCCCTGAGAAGCAGCCACAGAAGTCTATCAGAGGACATTTTCAAAGATCTTATTTGCAACAGTTTATTCTACTTCTAATTGTACTGAATTTAGATGCCCTTTACTTGGAGATTTCATGCATAAGACATGGAACAGCTATTATAAACAAATTCATGATGTAATATGCATATATGAACTATATATTCCACATGAAATATATATTTATGTACATATGTGCACAATACATACTCACAAAGCACCATTGGTAGGCTTAAAATGATGTGCAAATACATTAAGCATATTCTAAGAAGCAGATGGCTATCTAGACATAAATAACTTACGTATATTTAAAAGATACGCACATGGCCGGGTGCAGCGGCTCACACTTGTAATCTCAGCACTTCAGGAGACCGAGGAGGGTGTACCACTTGAGTCCAGGAGTGTAATATGAGCCTCGGCAGCATGGTGAAACCCCGTCTCTACTAAAAATAGAAAAATTAGCCAGGCCTGGTGGCGCCTGCCTGTAGTCCCAGCTACTTTTTGGGGGCTGAGGTGAAAGGATCACTTGAGCCTGTGAAGTTGAGGCTGCAGTGAACTGAGATTGTGCCACTGCATTCCAGCCTGGGTGACAAAGTGAGATGATCCTGTCTCAAAAATAAAAATAAAAGATGCGCACAGAAAGCACAGCGTTATGTAACTTTCAAAGACATCTCCAGGGCCATATATCAAGCACATGACAGTAAAAACCTATGTGGAAAAATTAGAAAATTCAAGTGAGGTAAAAAACGGTGGAAAATAGAGAAAAATGAGAGGTGATTTCCAATGACGAACTGAGATGATGAACTCAATTCAGTGCACTATTTCTTCCACTCTTACACTTTACAGGCTAAGAAGCCATTCCTAGCATTTCACTGGTATAAACTCTTCAAAATGGGATTCTTGTCCTTTGATTATTTTAGGTTGACAAATTTATACCAAAATAGTGGGCTTTGTAAATCGGTGTCTTTATGATAGGTTTCCTTAAATAGTATGTCTTTAAAATATTAAATGGTATCCCTTGTTTGTCTTGTCTTTTCCACAAGCAGATGAAACTTCCTCCCCAACAAGCCGATGGAAGAACTTATGCAGTGTTACTTCAGGGAAGCGACATGGCAGGGTGGAAGTAAAATGGACCTGCACATTTTAAAAAATGTTTTGTTTTGTTTCTTGAAGGGCCCCAGGGGCTTATAAAGGAGAGGAAGGGGGTGGAGTGTGAGGTTGGTAAAAGCAGCGGAAGCTGGCTTGGCATCCTGGAGGAGCAGGAAGAGAGTTCATGTTCCACCTTCCCCTCTTCCCCGCTATTCCACAGGGTCTGGAGGAGAAGAGCAGAGGGGTCTCTGGTTCCCAGGAAAGGGCCTGGGCCAGACTTTCTGATGGAGACAGCTGGGTGGTGAGTGTCCACGCAGACAGGACTGAGGCTTGCCTCACAGAAGATTCTCGCCACTCAAGTGAGGTGCAGAAGCAGCAGCGAGGAAGCACTTTTGAAGGGAACACCTGAGCACAACTCATTCTTTCTTGATGAGGCTTTGCTGCTGAGGAGTTCTTGCTATTAATACTTCTCTTCCTGCCAAAAAAAAACCTGGTTCCTGCACATTTACTGTGAAGGCACGTGATGGCCCTACAGCACCCCCAGAAATCATCAAAATTTGTACCAAAGATCCAGAGCAGAGGTGGTGGGTTGCTGAGTGACTGCTCACAGAGGCCATGTTGGTAGGGTCCTCACAGATGTCAGGGTCTTGCTATTCCTCAGTGAGGAGGAGGGAGATTCCAAAGGGTGGCTATCACCCAGACCACCTCCCCACAATGTTCATGCAGAGGGAATGAGGCAGAAGAGCCACTGCCTGCCTAGCCACTTACCTCTGAGACTTGGTTTTATCCTCTGTGTCCCACTCCAGCACTGATTATTAGCCTCCTGGTGCTCTAGGATACAGCAGAGAGAGTTGGCTGGCTGTACTGGGGAGAATGGGGATGACAAAAGCCTATGGAACCAGGTAATATCGGGTGGCCTTCCATTCAAGTCCTATCTGGTCTCTACTTCCATGAGATTTTAAGAGCAGAAAACACAGGGCTTTTTCTAGGGCCACACACTCCTCAGCCTAGCCTTTGAATGCAGAGCCCAGCTGAGAAGCTAGCAATGCTTCTGACCAAGGCCAGATGCCCAGCTTGGGGCCTCAAGGCTCTCTGTAGCTTCCCAGCTTGTGTACGCACCATTCACATCTGCCACAATAGCCCCACATCACAGCACAAGCCAGGGTTTAGTTTGGTGACAGGCATTATCTGTCCACCTGGGTGGCAGTGTGAAAAAGACTTACTCTGGCTTGTTCTTCCTCACCTGCCACCTATTTTGGAGTGTAGAAGGCCAGAACCCTGTTTTCTATATGTTTTATACAGATGGAAGAAGCCTCATAGACTTAGCTCCCCAAACAGCTCCTTGACACTTACGTGTTCCTTAGGCCTGCCCTGTAGGGTTCTGTAGATCCAGATGAAAAGGCCAGAACAGGCTTACTCAGGACTGGGTGGCTTCATTGTCTGAGGCCATTTTCCTGGTTCCTGAAAGTTATAAATGGTCCTCAGTGCAGGCCTTCCCCAGCCTCGCTGTCCTTCCAGCATCTGGCCATCTTACTTCAGCCATATTTACACTGTCCCACAGCACGTCCTGAAGTCTCAGACCTCACCTTTCTTTCTCTCTGGGGAGAGCCTCTTCTCTACCCACTTGAACCGGAACTCCACGCATGTGCTTACTTAAGGTCTTCAGAAGGAGAGCACCTATCCTGATTGCCAGATTCTAGGGATGTGGACAGCTTTCGCACTGGAGGGTGGTGGCACCTGGGCTGGGTCTGGTTAAAACATGCTGGGCCAGTGTTTGCCATCACTGTAAGGTCACGTGGATATGGCAGAGAAAGACTCCTGTAGCTTTCGCATTTCCCTTCCCTGTCAGCAGGTGGCAAGAGGGCCTAGTGGCCCCTGCATAAATGCATTTACATCAGTGTGTTTGTTTGTGTTTGTGATTTATGTTTGTTTTATATGTACATATAGTTGTTTATATATGTATAAATACATATATGTAATTAAATATATCTATATTTCTTTATGAATAGATGTGTTGCATGGGCCAAGAGCCAACTTCCACTTCACCCTGTGAAATGATGCTGAAAATCAACCCACAAAAGGCAGATGAATACAAGGAGAGGCAGGCAGATTTATTAATGTATATGAGGCATACAAAATATAAGAACTCAAAGGCAAGATGGCTGATGCTTTTATAATAGCTTAAGGTTACAGTAAGAATAGGTGCTTGGATAGTGGCATCTATACATCGGACTTCACATGCCAGGTCATTTCTTCTTCTGTTGTTTGAGAAACTTGTGCCTAGGGCTCTCTCTCTGTAGCCTCCAGATTGCACATGGGCCATTCACATCCACCATGGTGACTGGCCTCACCCCACAAGCTAGGCCCTATTTAGGTGACAGGCATCATCCATCCACCGGGGGTGGCAGGGTTCAACTGTCTCCCACTGACCTGGTTTTCTTCTCCTGCCCTTTACATTTGAGTGCACAAGAGTTTGTCAAAGTCAGCCTCTTGTTTTCCCTGCTTCTTATGTTTATGGCAAAGACCCTGGAGCCTGGTACTCTGTGTGCCTCCAGTTTGATGTTCTTCAGGGCTGCCCTGTAGGACCCTCCAGATCCAAATGAAACCAACCAGAACAGACTTACCCAGGACCATGTAGCTGTCACCATCTGAGGCCACTTACCTGGCCCCCAAAAGGCCCTAATGGCCCTCAGTGCAGTTCCGCCCTGGCCTGGTACTCTCTCTGCCCCCTACCATCTGATGCCATCCACACTTGTACTGCCCTGGCACATCCTGAGGGTTCAGACCTAGCCGTTTTTCCTCTCCGCCTTGGATTTTCAAAAGAAGAGTACCTGTCCTGATCGAAAAGTTTGGCTAAAGTAGACAGCTTTCACATTACAGGGTGATGGGCCTTGGGCCAGCTCTGATTAAAGACACCGTCCTGGTGTTTGCCGTCAGGATAGGGCCTGGAAACTGGCAGGAGAAGACTCTTGTGACCATTTTGGATCCCTTCACTGACAGTAGGTGATAAAAGGACCCTCTGGCCCCCACTCTTAATGTAACTGCGTTTGTGTTATGTATGTGTTTCCATTTGTGCTCTTTTAAAATTATGTCTGTACGTATATTAATATATTATGTAGTTACACACATACACACACACACACACACACACACACACACACATATATTCTGCACAACTCCAGTCTCAACTCAGTTATCCCTCTTCTGTATGTCCAAGTTCTCCTGTGGGCATCTGCAAGTGATGGCATACTCTTTCTCAATTGACTCGTGGCCAGTCTCAGAACGGTGGGTCCATATGTTACGGATACCCATTTATGAATGGCCTATACCTATAGACAGCTGGCCTGCTCTTTCCAGGCCCCTTACTAAGAGTATTGTGGAAAACCTTAGAGCTTTTGAAAAGTAATTGGACTTTTAGCTAGAAGAAATGAAGAAATTGCCCAGAATATCATCAGTTAGAGGAAGCTCTCTGTGCCTAGATTTTCTGACATGAGATAATAGCCAATATGGCTGATCCCAACCCATAATTGTATGCTCTTGACAGCTTCTGTTTTTTTGTTTTTTTTTTTAAATCAGTTGTTGCTCTCTGGAATTCCAATGATGAGTTCAACTTAGTTAACATCTCCTTTCTAAATGTGAGGGTTAAGGAGTTGGTGGTAATTCATATAATAATTAGTTAGAATCAAATTACTTTCTTTTGGAATAAAATAAGTCAGGCCAGCCACTCTGAAAGAAGGTGAGTTTTGGGTTGGAGTCAGAAAGTCCATGCTTTTGGGGGATGACTCCTTTGGGAAAGGGGATAGAGTAAAACCAGTCAAGAGAGATAAGGTGAAGGGTTCAAGGCAGCTCTATATGGAGGACAAGGGTAGGGACAAGAGGTAGTAAGTAAGAGGAGAAAGATGAACTTTTGGTTTTTCAAAATATTCCTAGTCACTGTCCTAATGTTGATACCAATGGTACATTCATAGCATGGGATATTCTGCAGCCGTTAAAGAAGTAAGGTAGATTTATGGGTAAAAAGAAAGTGTACCAAGACAAGGATGCCTTCTCTCACCACTCCTATTCAACATAGTATTGGAAATTCTGGCCAGGACAATCAGGCAAGAGAAAGAAATAAAGAGTATTCAAATAGGAAGAGAGGAAGGCAAACTATCCCTGTTTGCAGATGACATGTCCTATATTTAGAAAACCCCATCATCTCAGCCCAAAAGCTTCTTAAGCTGATAAGCAACTTCAGCAAAGTCTCAACTTACAAAATCAATGCACAAAAATCTCTAGCATTCCTTTATACCAACAACAGGCAAGCAGAGAGCCAAACCATAAATGAAGTCCCATTCACAATTGACACAAAAAGAATAAAATACCTAGGAATACAGATAACAAGGGAAGTGAAGGACCTCCGTAAGGAGAACTACAAACCACTGCTCAAGGAAATCAGAGAGGAAACAAACAAATGGAAAAACATTTTATGCTCATAGATAAGAAGAATCAATATCATGAAAATGACCATACTGCACAAAGTAATTTATAGATTCAATGCTGTTCCCATTAAACTACCATTGACATTCTTCAAAGAATTAGAAAAGACTATTTTAAAATTCATACAGAACCAAAAAACAAAACAAAACAAAACAAAATAGCCCGAATAGCGAAGACAATCCTAACAGAAGCAACAAAGCTGGAGGCATCATGCTACCCAGCTCCAAACTATACTACAGAGCCACAGTGACCAAAACAGCATGGTATTAGTATAAAAACAAACACATAGACCAATGGAACAAAATAGAGAACTCAGAAATAAGACCACACACCTACAACCATCTGATCTTCAACAATCCTGACAAAAACAAGCAATGGGGAAAGGACTCCCTATTTAATAAATGGTGCTGGGAGAACTGGCTAGCTATATGTGGGAAATTGTAACCCCCTTCCTTACACCTTATACAAAAATCAACTCCAGATGAATTAAAGACTGAAATGTAAAACCCAAAACTGTGAAAACCCTAGAAGAAAATCTAGGCAATTCCATTTAGGACATAGGCATGGGCAAAGATTTCATGACAAAAATACCAAAAACAATTGCAACAAAAGCAAAAACTGACAAATGGGATCTAATTAAACTTAAGAGCTTCTGCACAGCAATACAAACTATCATCAGAGTGAACAGACAACCTACAGAATGGGGAAAAAATTTTGCAATCTTTCCACCTGACGAAGGTGTAATTTCCAGGGTCTACAAGGAACCTAAACCAATTTACAAGGAAAAAAATATTAAAAATGGGCAAACGACATGAATGGATACTTCTCAAAAGAAGACATTTATGCAGCCAACGAACATATGAAGAAAAGCTCAACGTCACTGATCATTTGAGAAATGCAAATTAAAAACCACAATGAGATACCATCTCATGCCAAGTCAGAATGGCAATTATTAAAACGTCCAGAAACAACAGATGCTGGAGAGGTTGCAATGAAAAAGGAATGCTTTTATACGTGTTGGTGGGAGTGCAAATTAGTTCAACCATTATGGAAGACAGTATGGCCATTCCTCAAAGATCTAGAAGCAGAAATATCATTTAACCCAGCAATTCCATTACTAGGTATATACCCAAAGCAATATAAATCATTCTATTATAAAGATACATGAACGCGTATGTTCATTGCAGCACTATTCCTAATAGCAAGGACATGGAATCAACCCAAATGCCCATCAATAATAGACTGGATAAAGAAAATGTGTTACATATGCCCCATGGAATACTATGCAGCCATAAAAAGGAACAAGATCATGACCTTTGCAGGGACGTGGTGGGAGCTGGAAGCCATTATCCACAGCAAACTAATTCAGGAACAGAAAACCAAATACCTCATGTTCTCATGTATAAGTGGGAGCTGAACGATGAGAACACAAGGACATATGGGCGGGAAACAACACACACTGGTGCCTTCACGGGGGTGGGGGAAGGGAGAGCATCAGGAAAAACAGCTAATAGATGCTGGGCTTAATACCTAGGTAATGGGTTGATCTATACAGCAAACCACTATGACACACGTTTACCTATGTAACAAACCTGCACATTCCGCACGTGTACCTCTGAACTTAAAATAGTTGAAAAAAAAGTACACAACAGACTGCATGCTTCCATTTCTGCCTATAATTTGAAAGGTGATATATGCATGCATACGTTTGAGTATATGCAGAGAGTATTTCTGGAAGAAATGTAATAAACAGTGACTTTGTCTCTTTGAAAAGAGCCTGAGGATATGGGTCTGAGATGGGATTTTTTTTTTTCCAGGAGCACATTTTTAATTTGTATGTACTTTACTTATAAATTAAAACAAAAAAACTAGTTGAAGGTTTTCTAGGATTACTCTTACCTCTGAGAGAGGTGGTGTAGAGAAGGGGACTTAGGGAGTCTAAGGAGAAAAGAAACAGATAATCCCTTTGTCCTTCTTTCTTCCAAGAAAACTCAGGGCTTGTGTATCCCCGGACTCCTGTGGTTTTGGCACCTCAGCTGGACTATTGTCCAGTAAGCTCTTCTGGGCTGACCTGGAACTGAACTACCATTTGTAAACTCTTTCTACGGGGGAAACGCAACAGTGTTCCAGAGAACATACTAAACCAAACGGCCTCCACTCATTCTTTCTCAATTTCTTGTCTATTAGCTTCCTTAAGAAAAGAAAAAAAAAAAAAAGACTTCAGATTGAACCCGGGAGGCCTGAGCCATCCATATTCTAACTCATTTCCTCAGAAATGATGAAAACACTATATGCATTTCTGTGCTTGGCTACTGTCTGGATTTTTTGTTTGGTTTATTTCCTTGAGAAGGTACCCACTGTTTTGCGCTTTCTTTTCTGACTAACTTCTGTGGTTTTATTTTGAGGAAAGTTGCTGCTTTTTCCTTGCTTGCATGCCTGGTAGAGAGCTATAGGCATTTGGTACATATCTGTTGACTTGGTAGATTAAGGTGTGGACACCAAAGCAGAGAGGTTACTATAAGTTGTCACGGGTAAGACTTTGGTCTGAGAAGACACGGTAGAAGAGATTTGAATCTAGCACAGTGCTTCTCAATTGTGGCTTTGTTGACATAATTCCTTGCTGAGATATTGAGATAATTCTCTGTTGTGGGCCACTGTCCTGTGTATTACAGGCACTTTGGCAGTATCCCTGGCCCCTACCCACTAAATGCCAATAAGAACTGCTAGTTGTGACCATTTAAAAATATGTCTCTAGGTGGTGCCAAATGTCCCCTAGGAGCAAAACCATCCTGGTTGACAATCACCAATTTAGAGTGATTTTGGATTTGCTATTCGCTGTCCAGAAACTGGTTTCTATATTGACATAATTCTTCAAATCCTGGAAGCCTGGAGGTGTGGCCCAGCTAAAGCTTCTGAAAACTTACGCAGTATCTTTGCGAAGAATTAGAAAAGGTACCGGATGAATTAGAAAAGGGCTAGATGAGGAAGGTTAGGCTGAGTTTCATTCTCTATTTCTCCTCTCCTTTTATTCCTGCTGTGTATATGAGGCTCTCTAAGTCAAGGGTCTTGATGTGTTGATAGAGAACAGATTCTTGGAGCCAGTACCCAGGTAGAAGGATGAAATGCAGACTTGATGGCTTTACCATTAAATCAGCTGTAGTACAGTCACTTCCAAATAGTGTATCAGCAAAACATTTCTCATTCATATGGATGAGCAGATTGTCCTTCCTAAGAATGCATTCATTTAACAAATGTTTATTGAGGACCTACTATGTACTGGGAGGAAAAATGCTTCCCTCTACCTCTTCATCCCTTTCTTTCTGCCTAAAGTATTCTATTTCTGTGTGTTTGGTATTATTTCATTTTACATTCTTCGGAATCTGTCTTACTAGCACAAATTCTTCTTTCCCCTCCCCCTTAATTTACTTGATTTCTGAAGGGTCAATTGCAATTAAAAGGAAGAGGAGTGATGAGAGGGATGGCTTGAGTTTTCAGAATGTTCCTTAGCTGTATGTCAGGGCTCCACGAGTGCACACCATGCTGGGCTGCATTCTGGAGGCCCTCCTTGGCTCTGACTGTATTTATAAGTTATCCTACACTGTGCTAGCACATCAGCTGCCAAGGCTGTTTGTAGAATCTGCCTCCCCAGAGGTCTTCAGAAAGAGAAAAGGATGCCAATCTCCATGACGGTTTCAGTGCAGTCCTGCTGATTAGAAGGAACAGGCTAGATTTTTCTGTAAAGGTTTCCTTCAGTCTTGAGTGCTCTTAGATGGATGAGTTTGCTTTTTGGTGCAGGAGGGAGAGATGAAAACTGACACTCTATGAACTTCCTGGCATATCACTGCACACATCCTGTGTATTTATATTTATGTATTTACTTATTTTGAGATGGAGTCTTTCTCTGTCACCCAGGCTGGAGTGCAGTGGTGCGAACTCAGCTCACTGCAACCTCTGCCTCCCAGGTTCAAGCGATTCTCCTGCCTCAGCCTCCTGAGGAGCTGGAATTATAGGAGCCTGCCACCACATCCAGCTAATTTTTGTATTTTTAGTAGAAACAGGGTTTCGCCATATTGGCCAGGCTGGTCGTGAACTCCTGACCTCAAGTGATCTGCCTGCCTCAGCCTCCCAAACTGCTGGGATTACAGGTGTGAGCCACTGCTCCTGGCCCATCCCAGATAGAGAGTAAAACATACTGTTTTCATGCTTTTAATGTTTTCAAAGTACTTAGCTGTGCCGTGTGAGGGAGGTAGGGCCTTTCTTTAGGTCCCTATGGCACAGAGGAGTCAGCGAGGCACAGAAGCATTTAATTATCAGTTAAAGTGACAGCCTGGCTTGACACAGAGCAGAGATGGTGTTCCTGGATGTCTGCCCTCCAAGTGCATGCTCTTTTCTCTTGACCCTGTTACTTCTTTGTGTTCGTGCTTTTTGCTCTGTCTCATAGAGTTCAGACATTTGATTTGGAGCCATAATATTTTAGAGCTATAACAATTTGGGGAGCATATTTAGTATAAGTCTGTCCCATGCAACTTTTATACCAGGCATCCTATATTTTATCTGGCAATCCTGGCCCCAGGGCAACCCTGTGTGAGAAACTCGTAGGTCCATTTTACATGTGAGGGAACTGAGGCTCAAAGAGGTTAAACAACTTTCCCACGGTAACACCTGAGATGAAATGGCAGGCAGCTGACTCCAAAGCCCCCCAACATGGCCTTTGCTTGTCTGGGAGATGGAGCTCCAGGTGGAACTGGTAAAGGGGGTGAATCCATTGGCTGGGAGATGTCATGAGTTTGAGACTGTATTGGGAGCACCTGGCACATGGTGGCCATCAACCAATTTTTAGTCTCTCTCTCCCTTCCTTCCCCTGCATCAAATTGGAAATTCCCTTCAGACCCTCACACAGCGAGGCCTCTACAGACACGTTGAACCTGCCACCCTCGTAGGAAAGCAGAAGGAAGAAGGATGATGTTGGAGAAGATCCCTGCCATTTGATTTATTATGACAGCCTGAGGCCTCAGAGAGCTCAGAGCAAAGAGACCCTGGAATGCAGCCCCAGATCCCTGGAAGAGACTTTACAGGTGTCACGTGGGAGAGTGGAGAGTGACGGGGATGGTCTCAAAGAACAGGAGCAGAGATTATCAGAGACACCACAAACTTGAAAAGTCAGGATGAGTAGGACTTGGGGAGAAAAAAGATCTTACCTTTACAATAGCTTCAAGGACCACAAATTTAAGGGCTCTCCAGAGGCTTTAGGACAGAGAGAGTTGAGGAAGTGCCGGTCCAGGATACGACCCTTTTAAAAGTGTGCCCGTGGTGTCACTGCTGTGGGCAGCGGTGGTGATGTCAATGTTTGCTCTTCTCGGGCTCCCTCCATGACACTGAAAAGACGGAAGTGCTTTTACCTGTCCAGAAGGAGGGGCAGCTGAAAGAAGGAGGGAAGAGGGTGGTCCAGTGCAGGTGCAGCCTGTTTGGAACCTTCTGTGCCTGCACTGGACCACCCTCTTCCCTCTCTCCTTCCTTCGGCTGCCCCTCCTTCTGGACGGGTAAAAGCTTCTCCTGTCTCCTCCTGGACTTTCTCATAGCTATAGGCTTCCATATTCCCCACCTCTATGATTCAGAGGAGTTCAGCTCAGCCACGTCTGTGCCAGAGCTTTGATGCCCCACCTATCAGCCACACAAAGGGCCCTGCCATGAATAAGGCCTCCCTCACTGAGGATCCTTAATTTTTTAAAATAATGAAGCCTCTGCCATAAAGTCAGTGTCCTGGCTGCCAGCCACCAGGCAGAACCTACTAGACTTCTCCAAAATAGATACTGGGGCCTCCTTCCTCAACCATGGTCAAGGCCTAAGCTTCCTTCTCAAAGGCAGGCAGTCCTAGGCTTTAGGGCAAGAAGTGCTTCCTACATGCAAGGTGCTCTGGGGAAGGGCTGCGTGTGGCGGCCATGTGTGCAGGTCTTCAGGATTTCAGCTGAGCCACCTTTTCTTGCAGTTTAAGAAGAAAACAGCCAGCCATTCCCTCCTTGTAATAAATGCCTCCGCATATTTGAAGACAGAGTTAGGTCATTCTTGAGCTTTCTCATCTCCAAACAAAACAACTGTGGCCCCTGTAACCTTACCTTGGCAAATTATAAGGCCCATATGCAGAGAAAAAGCAAAACAAAACCATCTGATGGGGAAGGCCTCCTATCTCTGACCAAGTGTCTGTTTTGAAATGCGGTCTGCACTCGAGTCTTTAATTACATGTAAATTCAGTAGCTTCAAGCGTCTGAGCCAGTGGGGGACCAGGTGCTGCTCATCAGGCCCCTTGGATGTGTTCAGGCTGCAATGCTGGGTGACAGCGCTTGGCAGAGGCTAGGATTTCTTCTCTTCAGATTCATTTTGGGGCATAAAAAGGGGGCATCCGTGAGTGACCCAGGAGCAGTCAGCTGACCTTCCTGCCAGGTCCCCTGAGGGTAGGATGGGCCCCAAGAGCCTCCAGAGAGCTGGCAGCCTGCCAAGAAGGCTGCCCTTGGCCTCCACAGAAGCCAGCAAGAGTGGCTTCCAGATGTCCCTGGTGGAGGCTGGCAGCCTCGTCCTGCAGCCAGTGTCTTCCAGGGGAGGCTTCCTGATGCTGCTAACTCAGAGACAGCTGCCCTGCTGAGCGCCTGCCCTCACTGGGGGTGCTGTGATCACATCAAGTTTCTTCCCATGGTTCTTTCCAAGCTCCTTCCCATATTTGTAGTGTGTTATCTTGGTGATACAGACAAGAGTCAAGGAAATACTGGGTGGAAGAGGGCAGTTCCCCAGCAAACGCCCCCACCCTCAAGTCTGGAAACCCGCAGCCCTAAATGGGAACAGGCATTTGTACTTTCATGCCCAAATGTGGGATCCTCCCCCATGACCCAAACACCTCCCACCAGGGCCCACCTCCAACACTGGGGATCCCATTTCAATATGAGATTTGGAGGGAACAAATATCTAAACTGTATCAACCAAGGTTAGTGCGTTTCTCTGCCCTCCAGTTTTGCCTGCCATGAGCAGCTTTCCTATGAGCCAGCTGTCCTTTTGGTCTCCAGGGTCACTTTCTTTTTTTCAAAGCCCAGTGTTCAGATATTCAGCTGAGCTTCGGGACTGGGGAGTCACAGGACAAGCTCACGTACATGCTTAAGCAAATGCAGTAAATTTTTTAAATAAAGAAAAAGTCATTTAGGCAGTGCCATTCATTCTGTGTGCCACCCTAGATATACCACAGGGTGGATGCGGAGTGGAGGGTAGAGGAGGGTGCATCCCTTGCTCTATCTGCGCCTGTCCTTCCTACAGGCTGCTCAGACCAGGAGCACCTGGATTTGCCCCAGTGGGACTCACCTTTGAGAGACATAGTTTTGGCCAAAATAGCTGTTCAGTGCAAGTCTTCCACTGGTGCCCAACCAAAGGGAAAGCAACCTTTTCCAACAATGAAGAAGAAATTGGTTGTGTCTGCTTTTCAATAGCAAGGGAGTGAATCTCAAACACGGTGCCTCCATTAAGGTGTTCAATAATTTCTACTACATGACAAATGTGCTTTGGGAATGTGAAAGGAAACTAAATCTTGGGACCTCAAAGTCACTAAGCTAAAGGGACAAGTCAAGCTTGGAACTGCTTAGGGCAAACCTACTTCCCATTCTGTTCAAAGTCATCTCTCTGAGGCTCACCTGAGACAAATGCATATCTAATTGCTTCCTCTGCCCTATTGTTGATGTAAAAATGCAGATTCACTGAGCCAGACTAAATTGTGTATTCAGTGGAAGGTTGATCGAGTATGCAAAATAATGAAACCTTTTGTCTCTTATCTACTTCTGACCTGGAAGCCCCAACTTTGAGTTGTCCCACCCTACCAGACCAAACCAATGTACATGTGACACATATTGATTGATGGCTCGTGTCTCCCTCAAATGTGTAAAAGCAAGCTGTACCCTGACCTCCTTGGGTGCATGTCGTCAGGACCTCCTGAGGCTGTGTCACAGGAGCATCCTTAACTTTGGCAAAGTAAACTTCTTAAATTGACTGAGCCCTGTCTCAGGTATTTAGAGTTCACAGGAATGATTTCAGACACCCCAGGGAGAGGTGCCTCTACTGCGCGGCTCCTGGCCTGGTCTCAGACTAAACCGTAAGCTCCCTCATTTTTGTATCCCCAGTGCCCGAAACTGTGCCTGGCACTCGAGGGTCCATGATATGTATTTTTGGCTTTGTTGAATAGTTTAATTAACTCATTAGTGATGCAAAGTTCTAACTGCATATTTACAGATATTTATGTGTGCACCACATTATGGGTGGTGAGAAGTAGGAATTCAAAGAGACAAAATCATACTTTCTCTCCTCGAAATTCTTGTAAAGCTACCAAGAAGACAAGACATAGACACACTAAATATAAATAAAATACAAAAGGATGTACCCTGACATGCAAATATGTGTTCACAGAAACAAAGTTCTTCTTACCAAATTCCTGTTGTCTAAAGCAGTTTTTCCTAAAGCGCGTTCTTCAGAATACCAGTTTCTCAGGGTGCCAATGTGAGGAAAAGCTTTGGTGGTCAGATGAGTTCAGGGCTGGGTTAGGCTGATTTCTTTACCAGAGGGCTTCTTGAAGACTTAAAGAAATCTGTATTGAGATATAATTTGTATGGCATAAAGTTCACCCACTTTAAGTAAACAACTCGTTGGCTTTTACTATAGAGTTGTGTAGCCATCACCACAATGTCACTGCAGAATGTTTCCATCACCACCCAAAACACCTCACGCTGTTTGCAGCCATTTCCCATCCTCTTCCTTCCTAGCCCCTGACAACCACTAATTTACCTTCTTCTTCTATAGATTTGCCTATTCTGGGCATTTCATAGAGATGGAATAATTTACTGTGGGACCTTTTGTGACTGGCTTCTTTCATTTAACTTAATGTTTTCAAGGTTCATCCACGTTGTTGCATGTATGCACTGATGGACATTTGGGTTGTTTCCACTTTTTGGCTATCATAAATAACATTGTTATAAGAATTCATGTGCAAGTTTTATTTGACTATATGTTTTCAGTTCTCTTGGGTCTATAGAGAAGAGTGGAATTCCTGGGTCATACTGTGAATCTATTAAACCTCTTTTCTTTATAAATTACTCTGTGTCAGGTATTTCTTCATAGCAGCGTGGAAATGAACTAATACAGTAAATTGGTATCAAGGTAGTGGGGGATTGCTATAAGATACCTGAGAATGTGGAAGCGACTTTAGAACTGGGTAATGGGCAGAGGTTGGAACAGTTTGGAGGACTCAGAAGACAGAAAGATGTGGCAAAGTTCAGAACTTCCCAGAGACTTGTTGAGGGGCTCTGATCAAAATGCTGATAGTGATATGGACCATGAAGTCCAGGATGAGGTGGTCTTAGATGGAGATGAGAAATTTATTGGGAACTTGAATAAACATGATTCTTGCTATGCTTTAGCAAAGAGACTGGCAGCATTTTGTCCCTGCCCTAAATATCTGTGGAACTTTGAACCTGAGAGACCTAATTTAAGGTATCTGGCCAAATAAATTTCAAAGCAGCAAAACCTTCAAGTGATGACTTGGGTGCCCTTTAAAGCCTTCAGTTTTATGCACTTACAAAGTTATGGTTTGGAATTGGAACTTACGTTTAAAAGGGAAGCAGAGCGTAAAAGTTCAGAAAAATTACCCGGAAGGAGTTAAACCCCATGGCTGCTTCATGAAGCAGGAAAGGTGGATAAAAAAGACAGAGAAAAGATGCAAAATACACAATCTATAATTTAAAAAGGGAAAATTATTACAGAGCCCAGGATAGCAAACACATAAAAGTAGAATACAATGAAATAAATTATGGCAACTATTTTCACTAAACTAAAAGGAACTCTATAATGAAAACTTTTCTATAAGGAAAATTTCCATCTTATGTTTCGTTTACTGGAACCAACCTTGTGAAAATTACACAAACTTCAAGAGAATTAAAAAGAAGGAAATGCTTCCAGAATTATTATATGTGGTCACAATAAACTTCATTTCCAAAACGAATAAAAGCATTAGAAACAAAAATTAATTCCTGCATCTGACATGAACACAGATATAAAAAGCATAAAAAGCACATATATGTGTAATGTGTAGTTCATATATATATATACATATTTGAAATATCTATCTATCTATATAGGTATTTATAGATATCTAAATATATCTATATCTGTATATATGTAAATGTACATATATGTGTGTTAATGCACATATATGTATATATGAATGCATATCTGTATATAGCTACATATGTATGTAGCCCTATATTGAATTATGTATGCCTATAAAATTGAATGTCAGTATATTTCTATCTATTTAATAAACAGGTGTAGCAAGCCACATTACAGCTCTTATGCTTAAAACTCAGGTAAATTTTAATAATAGCAATTTCTGAGTGATGGTCATAAAACGAAAGGTATGACAGGCTTAGTTAACTAATTTTAGAAAAAAATTTATATTGTTTTATTTAAATGTTTTATTTTCCTTTTTTCTTTTAATTTGGAGACAAGGATTTGCTGTGTTTCCCAAGCTGAAGAGTAGTGGCAATTCACAGGTGAAAACTTTTCTTCACTTTTGGAATAAGTTTTTATTTTGCTTGGAATTTTAGCTTCAATAAATAATAAGTGTACATGAAAAAGCCGCTACTTTGATCTAATCTATGAGAATTATTTAAATTCTCATCCAATAGAAGACAAAATCAAAGTAAAAAGAAAATTGGGCTCTTGCCAGAGAGACACAGCTCTTTACTCTTAGGTCTGAGGCAATCTCCCAGACATTCTTGCTCACACAGTTGCAGTCCACTGCAAGAATAGAAGATGTGAGGACAGCATTACTCAGTTGCACCTTGAGCTCCCTGACTACATATAGTTAACTATCTTTATTGAGGATAATAATAGTTAAAATAAATCACATTGATTTTTAAATGTACAGTTTTTATGAATTTTTGCAAATAAATAATCCTTCTAACCACCTCCAAAGTCAAGATATAAAGTATTTTCACAACCCCAAAAAGCTCTTCCTGAGCAAGTTACGTGATCAACTTGCTCTCTACCCCATAGATTAGGCAACTTTTGGCCCATTTTGAAAGGTCTACTCATGGCTCTTCCACCATGACTTTGTCTCTAATCCTCTGTTCTGTTTTTTCTAAGGTCTGATGATTTGTTCAAACCCATAGACAATGTCATTGAATGGCTGATCTCCCTCTGCAAAATGAACAAGGATATAACACTTGCACTTTGCTCACTGTTATGATTTTTACTCTCCAGGCCATCCTTGACTGTGAGAATGATGTGACATCAGCCCAGCATCCATGGATAGAACTCTGTCCAGAATAGCATCATTGTAGACATACAAAGAATGAGGACTTACCTAGGAGACAAGGATATAATTTTTAACATTAGGGAAAATCATCTCCATTCATACTCTTTGGCACCTCAAGTAAGTTAGAAAAATATTTTAAGGTGACACATGAATTTGGTGAGTGTTTTAGAAATACATCAAATTTCAAGGACATTCCTATAGCCAGAGCAGGTACTATATCTGGTTCTAGAAACCAACTATTTTGATGAGGAATAAATAGAATTATCTTAAGAGATTTAATTTATTAAAACATTTTGTAAATATGCATATGTTTCTCATATATATATGTAAATGGCCTTATTTAGACATGAATATATGCATATGGAACTACACGCACCCAACTATTTATCAAATAAATATATATATATGTACCTACATTAATGTTTATATATATATATGTGGAGTTTCCATAAATAAGGTAAATTTTACACTTTTTATTTATATATAATTTTTTAAATTTCTTTTTAAATTTCTCATTGGTAGCTTTATAAATACATTACCAAATATTTATACTTCTGCCACTAATTATAATAAGATACATCCTATATGGGTGAATGTGTAAGTATTACATTGGTCACTTTTTTTGCACAATGATGATTGATAACCAACTACTTAAAAGTCAGTGTATTACATCAAGTTTTATCGTGTTTCTGGATGATCATTTTAGTATTAACATGACTCTTCAAGACAGGGCTCAGCTGGGTGGTTTTGCTGCAGGGAGCAGAGCTTGTCTCTAACCTATGGATTGTGTTCATCTGAGGTCAAGGCTAAAGGGCAGTATCTACCCAGGCACCATATTCTGATGAAGGCAGCAGGAGTGGGCAACCTCCCCAAACCAAGTTGAAATGGTGAATGAAGTCTAATAATTTTGAACACAGATACACACAATTTTAAGTTATTCTTTCACCTTGGTAATTATTATGGTTCCTACAAACTTTTCCTCCATTTAAACATCAAAGCATTTTATTATTCCATGGACAGATCATTATGTTTCTCCAACTTTACAATCTTCCAATTGTTTTCAAATGTCATGTTGCATGGATTAGAAAATAAAGCTGGGTGTGGCTGCAACATGTGGCTTTCCATTGAAATTTTTAAAAATAGCCTCATTGCCATAATAGTATACAGAAGTTTGCTCTTGTCACCCAGGCTGGAGGGCAGTGACATGATCTTGGGTCACTGTAACCTCCACCTCCTGGGTCCAAGCGATTCTCCTGCCTCAGCCTCCCTGGTAGCTGGGGCCAATGGTGCCCACCACCACGGTATCTCTTTAGCTGAAACAAATATCACATAGAACATAGCTTCTTAAACCTTTTATAGGTCACCTGTTATCAACTACCATGGCTAAACAAAGGTTCTCATTCAGTGAACTGAAGGTCGTTCTGCTATTTAGCATATGTATCATGCTCTCAGTGTGCTAATGATCCTGCTGGATTCTGGATACATGTTGAGTAGCAAAGAATTTTCATAATTTAAAAAAGGTTACACCAATGTTCAGGTTTTTCTGTTGTTTTGGTTTCTTTGTTAAGAAATATTTTTCATTTGTTTGTAAAATGATTGTTATGTATGTCATACAATTTCCTGATTTTTAAGCTGTGTCTATGACTTAATAAAGTTATGTTGCTATGTGACAAGTGCAAGTATATTCAAATGTATTCTGAGGCCATGCATAACTGGCAAAAGTTTTCACTATTTTGTGAAAATACTGACCATGTTGGGCTTTCAGCTGTCAGTTCCTCATTATCACCATCACTTCTGAAAGCGCATTCTTCAGAACCACCTTTCCCTCTATACTTTCCTGTAGAGTTGTTCACTGAGGGGTCCTTCCACGAGATTTGGAAGTCAGAAGAGAATGATTCAATGCTCATTGACACCTGCAGACAGACAAGTGGACTTAGTTGAGACCTAGAGAATCACCTAGAGACATACTGCAGGAGGCTGAGAGCATCAGCACCTGCACTCTGGGCTTCTCAGACAGATCCAAGGACCATGTGGCTAGGCAGCTCACACCTGCAGGGTAGGGTGCACCCTGGTTTCTGCAGGAGCACCAGAGAATCATGTCTCTAGTATCTGCTTCCGTGACTAACATCAACCAGGCCTTGAAAAGCTGTAGTTTAGACACTGATTTCATAAATTAAAACGATTCCTGCTTGGAAGGGCTAGAGTGGCTTCTCTTTTGCTACAAGAATTCCAATCATCCCATAACAGACTCCTCAGGTGGTTAAATCTCTTTATTAAATCAGGACTCGCATTTCATGTCTTTGCTTCTGGGGATGAGGAGGAAAGAGAGTGGGTGCAAAGGAGCCACCTCATCACAATTTACCAAAATTTCCAGACGACCTTCAAAACTTGGCTGCATCTGGAAAACAACTCAGCAGATTGAGGCACTAGGAGGGGCATCTAGGGCAACCCGGCCTCACTCATCTGCTATCCTAGCAGTTGATGTTATGACTTGTCACACTGGGGGAGGGAAAATGCTCTCTTGTTGACATTAATAAGTTGCAAAATCTTCAGGCTGCAGGCTGCTGACGGTGAGAGTGAAATCTCTTCCATATCCGCTGCCACTGAACTGAGATGGCATCGCCCTCTGCAAACTGGATGCCCTATAGGTCAGGAACTTAGGTGCTTTCCCTGGTTTCTGCTGATACCAATTTAAATAGTTGTAAATGCTTTGACTAGCCTGGCAAGAGACGGTGGCTCTGTCTCCTACAGATGCAGACAGGGAGGATGGAGGCTGAGTCATCTGGATGTCACATCTGGCATCTCAGGTTGGAAATACAAAAACAAATATTTACACTTTTCACCATGTTATGCGAGGATTTCCCTGAAGAGCCAGGCTGTACTGAGCACACTGGGTGGCTAACTTCCCAGTGTTCTCCTTCTTTACCTGGGAGACAGAGCAGCAGGAAGGCCAGGAGCTGAGCGGGGATCCTCATGTTCATGCTGTGTCCTGACTGCAACTGACTCCTGCACAGGGTGTGACCAGCCTATTAAGAAGTCTTCAGGGCAGGGGGCTGCGCTCTAGGACACACAAATCAGCAGGGGATGGGGCAGGCTGGGCACAGCCACGGGGCTGGCTCATCTCGGTAACTCAGCAAAGGGGCAGTGTCCGCAGGGTCCCAGGTCAGACCAGGCCTGACAGATTTGCCTGGAGGGAATGTATTTCTCTCTACATCCGTTGTTTCGACAAGAGATATTTTGGGAGAAAAAAGTCAAAATTTAATTCAAACCTAGGGACTACATGGAGTCATATATTTTAGAGTTGTATCGGGAGTATATAGGAGAGTATGACCATTTGTAGGGAATGTCTGATAATGTCTTAGAGAATGGGGCTATCAGGTCTTCAAGTTATTTAAGTGGACATTGTGGGAGTGACAATCCCTTTGTTATACTAACAACACCTCTGTGATTGTCACGTTGCTCCCATTGTTTCATGTGGGAAAAAAGTCTTTGTCAGAAGCATATTTAAATATTCAAAGGTATTTTGTAGTGACCTGAAACATTTGTTATTACCAGTCTATTTTCAAGCCATTCCCTGCAGATGCACAATAATGATGCTGTGATTCCTCAATGCCTGTGCCACTCACAGATCTTCCATAATCCAGAGCTATAGGTCTCTGTAATAACCAGGGACTAAATGGACAGCACCTCCGTCTTGCTGACCCATATGATCAATTGTCTCCACAGGAAGAAGAACAAGGTAACTTACCATTGCTAATGCTCTGAGCTGCCTTTCCCACCGGAATGTTCCCAGGTGTTCAGGTACAGCTCCCAAAAAACTGGGCTTTCTGGAAAGCAGGGGAGGGAGAGGCCCTGGGGAAAGGCCAAGTCAGTGAACACTTTCTCTTCAGTGAGGGCAGCAGCTACTCAGTGCATGTCTCTGCCCTGCACCATCGATGCCACTTTCCTCTTTGACTCTTTAGCAGTATGTGGGGACATCATCCTTACCCAGACGCCAGCCTCCTTGCCTCACTTCCAGGAGAGAGAATCTGCATCTCCTGCCAAGCCACCGCCCATGTACGTGAAGAAATACTTGGGATCTGGATAAAACTTGGAAACAGATTTGAACCCCTATACCTCACATGTCTGCCTCTGCCCAGGCATCCCAGCCTGGTTGTGCAGCAAGGGAAGTGGAATCAACTACATCGACATGAGAAGACTAGAACCTGGGGAGTCCAGGGAGCATTACTCACGCATCACTAAGAGTGAGCAGACCACAGTGGTATAGCCTGTACCCAGATCTCCTGCTGCTTTCCAGGGGCCTGAATTTCAAGGGAAATTACTGGCAAACTGCTTGCTAAGATTTAGGTTCAGAGAGAAGAAGCTCTGGATTGAAATACACACATTTTTTTTGTGCGGGGAGGTGAATGTAGCAGTCACTCTTGCTACCCTTTGCCTTTCCCCTTTGCTGTACTTCTGCTGACTCCCCATGGCCATATCTGTTCCTCACTGCTCTATGTCAAACTGGAGAAGGCAGCCCTGCCTGCACACATGGCCTTTCACAGCACCTGGAATGAGCATCCTCTCAGAAAGCCCTCAATCAGTGAGGACAGGAGAGGTGTATATACCCCAGCTCCCTCTCTTCTCAGCTGGAATAATACTGAGACATTTTCCCCTGTTTCCACGTGGGCTTGAGCTCCAGCCATCCTCAGCGGTAGCTCTTTGCTGAGGAGACTTTTGGAGTCCCTCCTTTCTTTCCTCCTTCACTGCCTTGTTTCCTCCCCGTGTTTCCTGTGCATTATAAACATGCTGCCTGCATAGGCATCATTATCCCTGAAAGAGCCAACCTAAGAAAGCAGAAAAACATTCTTTCTTGGACGGTATGGTCTGAATTCTTGTCAAATCTTTTTTTTAACGCATAGGGATATTTAGAAAATTTAGGAAACACCTGAATTATCTTGGAATGGTCACCCTCCGTTCTTCAAAATGGCTCTATCTTGTCATTTTTTAGTGTCAGTTTTAACAAGACACACAGGCATTTCACTGTGAAGAGGGCTAGCAGCAGAATACTTCTTATGTGTAAAAGCTCTTGGATAAATCCTTTAAACTCTCATACTCTCTGGGTATGTGATTAGCTCTTGTGTTCTCTGGAGATGACAAAAGTAGGGGGCTATTTGTTCATTTGTTTTCACATTAGGAGAAGAAATCAGATTGATAGGACACATTTTGAGAGGGAAGAGCCGGCTCAGGGAGATGAGGATGGTAGAAAAGAAGCAAAGTGTTCAGGGCAATGCGAGATGTGCTCCTGCCCTCAAATCTGAAAGAAAGACATTTAAATTTTAAAGACTTGGAGGAAGTTTTGCTATGTGGACAAAACTGCAGAAAGGCCTGAGTTTATAATTGTGGTAATCATGGCAAGGTTCAGAGGTAGCAAGGCGCTTGCTGAGAATTCCACACCACCCTTCCGGCTTTGTCTCTTCTCTGAGTTTAAAAGCCATTCATTCCTCCATGGAACAAATGTGGCCATGTGGAAGCGACATATTTAAGCTGGGTTCCAAGCTCAGCCCTGATAATTGCTGGCCATGTATCTTTGGGCAAACCACCCCTGTGCTCTGATGAACAGTTTACTCACCTGTGAAAAGTAGCACCAAGGATATCAAGGGCTGTCCTGAAGGTTTCTCTAGTTGATGCACCAGGAAATGTATCTATGCATATATATGTATGAAAAGACTACTTAGGGCCCCTTTTCTGCATCCTTGAATATCTTAGAATGAAGATTCTAGATAAGATATTACTACCCAGATGTCATGCTCTACTAAGAATTATCAACATTTATTATATAATTAACAGATGCTCCAGTATACACCGTGGGGTTTCCTGTACGCTATTTCCTCATAAAATCTTCTAATATGTGTAACATTAGAGAATCGAACGTGGAGATTCCCAATCATTATACTACCTTTAGGCTGGATTTATTCTAAGCCCCATTTGTATTAGTATTTTTGGGCTGCTATAACAAATTACCAAAACTTTGGTAGCTTAAAGAAATAGAAATATATTCTCTTATAGTTCTGGAGGCCAGAAGTCCAGCATCAGTTTCAGCAGCCAGGAGCAGGCTGTCATCAGACAAAGCTGCTCCAGGGTCTCCAGGGGCAAGTCTATTTTTTTTTACTTCTCTTAGCTTTTGTTGGTTTAAGCTTTCATTGGCTTGAGTCCAAATCATTTCAATCTCTGTTGCTGTCTTCAGATGGCCTTCTCTTCTGCAGGATTTTTAAAAATGACATTTAACAAAGACAGGCCCCTTTAGGGCCCACCTGGTCAATACAGGATAATCTGCCTGTTTTATAATCCTTAATTTCATGTGCAAAGGCTCTTTTCCTGTGAAAGGTACCTGTATAGTTTCCATGGAATACAGCCTGATCATTTGAGCACCATACTCAGCACTAAACCATTATAGAATGACTCTTCAGTGTTGGTACTATACACACATCACACGCTCTTCTCTCTCTCTCTCCTCCTCTCGTTCCCTCTTTCTTCCTTCTGATTATAAATCTCCTCACTTCCCTAAGCGTATCCAGTGCCACCTATGTCTAGGTTAGAGCAGCACACATAGGAGGGCCTGCATAGGTATCATTGTCCCTGAAATGTTGTGGTTTGGCTTAGAGACCTGCTCTATCCCTCATTATCACTCAGAAAGAAGGACACAGCCAAAGATAGTCCTCAGCCATCTGGGGAGAAGCTGTCTTCACAGAGGACAGTCAGGGGCTATCATTCTCTGGACCTCTGCTTATCTTCAGATGCCTGTGGTCCTCAGCCCTCAGTGAGGGTCTGTGTGGCCCCTGATTCGAGTAGGATCCAACAGGATCCTTATCAGAATATCTGATTCACAGAAGGCAGCGAGTGTAAGGTAGGAGATCATCAGGACTTGTGTTCTGAGCACCGATCCCAACATTGGTCATGACAACGCTGACTGGAACAGGATCTCGACAAAAGAGGATGCGCTACAGAAACTGGCCCAAACCAGCTAGAACCAAGATGGTGACAAAAACGACCTCTAGAGCACAGTGTGAGTGGATCTTCCCCCGGGGGCTCCCGTCAGACAGAGTGGCAGCCATGGCTCAGTGCTGCATGATCATAGTATGAAACCCCCCCCCCACGGTCTTTTCACAGCCCCCCTCTGACTGCAGTGATGTGGGATTTCTCTGTCCAACTTTCATGGCTCAAGCAACTTCTGGGACTCTGTTCACAATGGGAGGTCATGAAGGTAGTTAGGCTGTTGATGGCCAGAGTGACGTCTGTCCAGACTCACCCCCTTGACCCAGGCGGGCATCGTGTCCAGGGGGCAGTGGGAGCCAGCAGGAGATCAGCGTCAGCCCTTATTTCCTGTGGAGCTAGGCTAGGACACTGTTATTTCCGTGACTGGCTCTGCTGGTGACAGTGACCCTGTCTCCTGGAACACAGGGAGGGGCCTGGAGATGAGCACCGCACAATATCCCAACTGTCACATAAGTGGGGAACAATTATGAACATCCCCAAGTGTTAATTCTAAATAACTACTTCATTCAGTTTGACTGAATTCTGATGAACAAGCAAAATGGGCGACAGACTTCATCTTGAAGGATGTTTAATGCAAAGAAACTGCATTAAATTCATGTTTAATACACAGAACTGAAACTGAAGGTGAAGCCCGAGTTCTCCCTCTTCACCAGAGAATTGGAAAAGCAGGAGGAAGAGGAGCAACACCAGGTCCCCACGTCCACGAGGGTCTCCTGAGGCTGATCCTGCTCAGAGAGAGTGGGAAAAGTGGATGAGTCAGCTTGCATTGCCACACCAAAAAAACTGGATTGGATGGCAGAAACCACAGAATTTAATTTTCATATTTCTGGTGCCTGGAATAGCCCAGATCGATGTCCAGCAGGGTTTGCTTTCTGGTAAAGACCTTCTTCCTGGTTTGCAGATGCCACCTTCTCACGGTGTCTTCACACAGCCTTTCCATAGAGCGGAAGGCAATTAGAGAGAGAAGGGAGAAAGGAGAGCTCTCTGAATCTTATAAAAACACGAATTTGCCAGGCGCAGTGGCTCACGCCTGTAATCGCAGCACTTTGGGAGGCCGAGGCGGGCAGATCATGAGGTCAGGAGATCGAGACCATCCTGGCTAACGCGGTGAAACCCCGCCTCCACTAAAAATACAAAAAATTAGCCGGGAGTGGTGGCGGGCACCTGTAATCCCAGCTACTCGGGAGGCTGAGGCAGGAGAATGGTGTGAACCCGGGAGACGGAGCTTGCAGTGAGCTGAGATGGCGCCACTGCACTCCAGCCTGGGCGACAGAGCGAGACTCTGCCTCAAAAACAAACAAGCAAACAAACAAAACAAAGCAAAAACAACAAAACACGAATTCTACTGGATCAGGGACCCCCCTTATGACCTCAATTACATCTTTAGAGGTCCTAATTTCTACAGTCATATTGAAATTAGGGTTTCAACATGAATCTGAGGGCACAATTCAGTCCATAGCAGGTGGGACACAGCCGGGGCCTTGCTTCCAGTCTCAGAGAATGGGGCAGGTTCCCACAACTCAGCACATGGGTGGCTCCTCCCCGGTGCCCAGGTCACAAGAAAGACCCGCCTCTACCTTTCGGGCTCCCTGTTGAGAATGGGACACCAGCACTCCTACTTTCCCAGTGTTCCTGAGACCATGGTGTTGTCTTTTGTTTATTGTGGAGTGTTTTTGCCATCTTCAGACAGGTCTTTGACATAGCAACTTATCGGACATTTGATTCTGTGATTGTGAAAATTAATTGATTAATTAGTCATAAGTAAAAAATTAAACAATACATTGAATCAGAAAAAAGGAGGGCCAGATGAAGAGCTTAAAAGGAATCTGAGTATCTTAAAAAGACGTATTCCTTTCAAACAAGAACAGTTAGAGTCACGGATTTTTTAACAAATGACTTTTTAGCAGCAATGATGAAATAGTAAATGACAACTTCAAATAGGCTACCACATATGGAAGTTTCTTGTCAAAGAATATCTTCAAGAATCATGTAAACACATTTTCAGATTAAAACAAACAAACAATGAACGTGGGTTTACCAGCAGACCCGCTCAATGGAAAATTTCTCAAATCTGTGACTGAGTCAAAAGTACATTTGTCCCTGATGGAAAGCTAGAGGTTTTATTTGTTTCTGTATTTATTTTTGATCCTTAGAAGAAAACAGCTTTCTCTCCATTCAGTTCCACCTCATGCTGTTGAGGATGACCATGGGGGCAGTGACTGTGAGGAAGGAGGAAGGCTGTGCTCTCAGGGTGGTCGTGCCTCCTGTCCACCTGAGTGACCTCATGGAGCAGAGCCACCCACACCACCAAGGCCACGTGCCTGCCTCTGCACTGCCATGGCACAGACACAGAAACCTTGTCACATTTAGTCCACCATATTTTGAGGTTTCTTTGTAATAAATTTAATTATGCTCTGATTCTCCTTGTGTCTCTCTCCTTTCAGATTTGGAATCATTTACTTTTCACCATTTTGACTTGAGAATATAGACCTTTGGGATATCAGCATCAGGTAGGTTGTACATTTGTTTGCTTTTCCTAAGAATATATCTAACCGCCTTGAATGGGTTTTGATTTTATCTTCTGTCTCACAGAAAAGCAGAAACTCAAGGTGACTAGGTGCTGTCAATCACAGGAGGGCTAACGTGACAACGGAATTGCTGTATCTCCTGCTGTTGCTACTTACATCTTATTTTCTTTTACTGCGTTCTGTAATAACATTTAGGCTCAAAGAAACATTAATTAGTATTTTTGAATAACATATTAAGTGCTTATGTTTCTTAATTTGAGGGCTATGGTCTACTAAACATCTATATACATTTTGCCATGCAACTTTTCAACCCAACAGAAATGACACATGGGAATTTTAATTGCACTTCCTGTGGAATCCGTTATCTTGACATAAATCATCTCAAGTATAATTTAAGCTGTTAGCCTGCATCAGATTCAATGAGCCTTTTGTGTCTCTACACAGTGTTTTCACATGTAAAAGACATCACTCATTACTCGGGTTCATGTAAATTTATTTGGCAGAACAATCAGATCACGGAAGCAGGCAAGTGGTAACACAAGTGAAATACATGTTAGAAACGACTGGTTTGGGGATAGTTTTATACATGGTAACAGGTGGTCATATTGGGAAATTGCTGTCTTCCCACTTTCCAAACTTGCTCCTTTACCACTCACACGAAACTGCCCTCTCTAGTATTATGGTGAAGAAAGCACTATTGCTTTTTTAACGGAAAGCATTTGTTAGGTTTAAAAGTTCCATGGCAAAATGTATACAGATATGTATCAGACCGCAGCCCTCATATTAAGAAAGCATATAAATTTAGAACATTATTGTCAATAGAATCTATTTATTTATTTATTATTTTAATTTTAATTTTATTATTATTATACTTTAAGTTTTAGGGTACATGTGTACAATGTGCAGGTTTGTTACATATGTATACATGTGCCATGTTGGTGTGCTGCACCCATTAAGACACATGCACACGTATGTTTATTACGGCGCTATTCACAATAGCAAAGACTTGGAACCAACCCAAATGTCCAACAAAGATAGACTGGATAAAGAAAATGTGGCACATATACACCATGGAATACTATGCAGCCATAAAAAATGAAGAGTTCATGTCCTTTGTAGGGACATGGATGAAGCTGGAAACCATCATTCTCAGCAAACTCTGGCAAGGACAAAAAACCAAACACCGCATGCTCTCACTCATAGGTGGGAATTGAACAATGAGAACACATGGACACAGGGTGGGGCACATCACACTCCGGGGACTGTTGTGGGGTGGGGGGAGGGATGAAGGATGGCATTAGGAGACATACCTAATGCTAAATGACGAGTTAATAGAATCTATTAAGGGCATAATTTTTCTATGCATTTACAACTAAAATAGACGATTCAGATTTATTTTCAGGAAAAAAATAGGGTCATGTAAAAATAATGCATTTATTCATTCTTCGAATGATTTTCTTATGACAACATAGTACTAGATATTTCCTCTCTAAAGTACTATGTCAGTAAAATACTTTTAAAATTCTAAGAATTTGAGAAGAAAATAAAAATCTCATGCAATTCTGCATTGTTCCTGTGATATGTTATATAAACTTTATGTTTTCCTCCTGAGTTATTTTGTTTATTTTCAAATCCCACTTTTGGAATTGTAAGAACTCCATTTTCAGTCAGCAAAAGGTAATTGAGGTAAATCAAACTATTTCGGGATTAGGATTTATATTTCCCCTGGATTTTAAAAATCTATAAGTAGTAAAAAACAATCAGACATTATAACTAATTATTCTTAGCCATACTCCCGTGAAAATAGCTGGTGCAGAATGCTTTCTCCACCATAGTACTAGGGAGGGCAGGTTCGTGTGAGTGGTAAAGGAGAGAGAAAGTTTGGAAAGTGGGAAGATAGCAATTTCTCAACATGAACAACTGTTACCATGTATAAAACTATCCCCAGACCAGTCGTTTGCAACATGTTTTTCACTTCTGTTACCACTAATCTGCATCCATGATCTGATTGTTCTGCAAATAAATGGACTCAACAAATGTGGGCCAGACAAGGAGGGTGAAGATGAGCTTCATTCACTCTTCCTTCATCAGAGCTGGCTGTTCCCAGAGCAGGTGGCTACATGTGGCAGCTGATGGAGCCTTAACATGTGGGACTGAGGTGCAGCTGAGGCTTTCATGGGCCAGAGTCCTCAGCAGCAAACTCTGTCCTGAATTCTCCAACAGCCTCCTCTTCTGCAGACTGAGAGACCCTGCTGAGCTGCTCCCCAGACAAGCAGTGCATGTGAGCAGCTGGGACACCCCAGAAGGGAGGTTTCTCTATGGGGCTGTACCACTGTGGGAGGAAGCTGCAGAGCCTGCATGCAGTAATAAACCCCAACATCTTCAGCTCCACCCGGCTGATTTTCAGTGTGAAATCAGTGCCTGACCCACTGCCATTGAACCTGTCTGGGACTCCAGAGGCCCGGTTTGAAACAAAATAGATCAGGAGCTGTGGAGACTGGCCTGGCTTCTGCAGGAACCAATACGAATAGGTGTATCCATCACTGGACAAGAGGCTCTGACTAGACCTACAGGATATGGGGGTGGCTCTCTAGAGGCGACAGGCCAGGAGAGTGGAGTCTGGGCCATCACAGTATCACCACTGGATCCTGAAATAATAACAGAGAAGTGCAAGTTTGTATAGACACATTATGAGCAGCTTTCATGATTTCTCTATGATACTGATTTACAGTTACATATATTTTCAAGTTTTGATTTATATCATGGAAAGTAGACTTTCTAAAATGAACCCATTATTTACCAGCCAGCAGGGAACTCTTTATTTTCAAGATCTTAATCAGAGGTCATTGTTCCTTGGAGGTGAATCCTGATTATTCTTAAGACAAAAATATGAATTCTCTTTCCTGGAGCATAGACCATGTGCCTCTAACACATGGTTGAAATAAATATGGGAAGCTATGGAGCTCCCAGAACTCACCTTCCAACCCCATTTTCCCACCTCATATTTTTTCTATCTTGAGCATTAGCCGCCCCAGGAGCTGAGCAGGGAGCCTCATTGTGAGATGGACTGAGGAGTCCTGATCTGTCGAGGCAAGGTTAGAGCTGAGCTTTTACCTCAGACTCACAAGGGAAGGTCCTCCCCTAGGGTGCAATATGCAAATCACCTGGTGGGTGCAGCAGTGTGGAAAGGGTCAGTGGTGGAGGGGGTATGTCTCTACTGTGAACAATGTGACATAAAATGTTCAATGGAGCAAAACAAACATAGTTCAAGTCAAGTATGCCTGTAGCAGTTGAGGATGGGACACACTAGGGTCTCCTCCCAGTGATGTGACTGAGCATCCCTGCAGCCATGACGACAGCAGGAAACCTTAGCGGCTGGTCCAGTGAGGATGTGGCAGCCAACACTGGAGGGTCTGTAGGGCTTGAGCACCCCAAGGAGTTAGGAAGGAAGAGGCTCTGGAAGGTGCCCTGGAGAGACCTGGCCCCTGTTCACACAGAAGAGGAGCATGTACCTGTGACTGAGGCCTCATGTCCTCTTCCTCAAAGACTCTCCAGGCAACTGCCTGAGCCCACCTGACTCGACTCTCTGTGGACACATCCCCTGGCACCGCAGCCTCTCCTTCCACGCTGAGAGGCGGAGCTTCCTTGAGAGCTTTATGTTTGGGGCCATCACACTGTGCAGGGTCCCAGTGAGTGTTCTGCTCACAGGAGGATGTGCAGCATCTCCAGGCTCCAAAGTAGTGTTTGTGATGGTGAAATCCCTAGAATTTTGGTTAGATGTGAGTCCCTGCTTGTGAATACCTTCTACAGACATGTCATTCTTTGTTTTGCAAGATATTTTCTATGAAGCATCCTTTCTTTGTTTTTGAACCTTTTTTTGGTTAGGAATGTAATTTAAATTGCACTACCTTTAGTCTCCACACTAGTGATTATGGGAGTGAGACCAGTAGATTTTGGGTTGGATGTGTGTTCTCACTCATGAATGGAAAACTACTCTAAAGACTTGTCATTCTTTGTACGTGTGACAAATTACTTGCTATATTTCATGATTTCCTTTTTTTTTGACATTTCTGCTTGGAAATACAATTTTAAATTCATTCACAATGGGATCCATCATCTTAGAATAGACAATAATTTCTGATGTGATTCATTTTTTTAACCAGAAAAAAAGATATTTTGTCCTTTTGATACGAACATTACTTTAATCATATCACCTCACGGCAGTAACAGACATGCTCTTGAATAATTCATAAATATTTTTGGAGCATTATTTTAAGTGACTATATGCAAATCATACATTTTTCTATACCATTACTGTTAGAATATGGAAATCAGATTTATTTTTAGGCAATGACCACATTGTGTAAAAATAATACATTTACTTATTTCAAAACCTTTTATTGTTTTTTATGACAACTTAATATCAAAATTGTCATTTATCAAAACCTGCTGGATTACGTCTTGCTGGGCCTTCTGCTCAGCATGTCAGTGCTTCTGACATCTCCCAGACCCAGACGGTGGTCTCTGCTAGACCTCCTCTAAGGATAGAATAAGTTTCAGAAGCTCTGCTTGGCTGCTGTGATTTCACTAAGACTGAGTGACATGACCTCAGGTCTCCTTGTACAGGGACTTCACTAACCCTTTGGTGATTACACACCTAAAGCCCTACTCACGACATTACTTTCCTGTGAGACTCCCAGTGGCACAGGCTCCGCCCAGGAAGCCACGCAGCAGTGCCTTCAACTCTGTGATTCTTCGCAAGAAACATATTTGGCTCCTTTGTGGGTCCACATCAACTGCCATCACCACCACCATCCACATCCCACCCACCGTAAACCAAGGGCAGTTTAATTGAACAATAGCCGACCTCTCCTGTACCCCTAAGGCCCCTATTCCTGCAGTCTGTCCAATCTTGAATTCTGAACTTTGGGAAATAAAAAAGTTTCCATCATCCTTTATTTTCCCAGTGATCCATGGAAAATACTACATCTTTAGTATACTACATCTTCCAGGATTTGCTTTTTATTTCTAAAACCAGCTTTTGGAGTTTCAAGAACTCCATTTTTCTATCAGTGAGAGATAATTGTAATTAAAAAAAGGTTCAGTATTAGTATCTTGTATCTGCTATGAAATTACAAAATCTATTTGACGCTCACTACCAAGATTTCACTGACTGTCCTCAGCCAGCTCCCTCTGAGGAGAACTAGTGGAGAATGCTGTCTCTCCTGTCTTACGGAGTGGGCAATGAGTGCTAAATAGAAGAAGCGGAAGTTAAAACAAACTAGGAAAATGCCAATTTTAAATATAACCAAATATTTTCTTGAAAATATGGCCGGGTGCGCTGGCTCATGCCGTAATGCCAGCACTCTGGTAGGCTAAGCCCAGTGGATCACTTGAGGTCAGGAGTTGGAGACCAGCCTGGCCAACATGGTGAAACCCCGTCTCTACTAATAATACAAAAATTAGCTGGGCATGTTGGCGAGAGCCTGTAATCTCAGCTACTTGAGAGATGAGGCAGGAGAATCGCTTGAAACTGGGAGGCAGAGGTTGCAGTGAGCTGCGATCATTGCTCCACTGCACTCCAGCCTGGGCGATAGAGGGAGACTCTGTCTCAAAAAAAATCTATATCAATCCATATCTATGTCTATGTCTATATTTATATCTATATCTCTATCTATATCTATCTATCTATCTATCTATCTATCTATCTATCTATCTATCTATCTATCCCAAACTGTTAAACCCTAAGATGTATTCAGTGTGTCTTGCCAGAAATGATCAATTGTCTGGCTGTTTTGCTGAATAAATTTAATAAACAACTGTAGGCAAGGAGGGAGGATGAAGATGAGCTTCCATTCTCCTTTCCCTTTCATCCTGATTTTTAACTCACAGGGCCCTAGAACCTCCTCATACCCCTGTTACTTATGACTGTCAAGGCTGTGTCAGGTGACAGGTACATCAGCAAGAGCGGGAATTGGGCCCGATGGCTCATGCCTCTAATCTCAGCACTTTGGGAGGCCGAATTGGGTGGATGACTTGAGCCCAGGATCTCAAGAGCAGCCTGGACAACATGGCGAAACCCCGTGACTACCAAAACTATATACAAAAATTAATCAGGCTTGGTGGCATGCCCCCTGTGATTCCAGCTACTCCGTAGGCTGTGGTAGGAAAATCACTTGAGCTTGGGATTTCACGGTTGCAATGAGCCATAATCACACCGCTGCACTTCATGCTGGGTAACAGAGTGAGACCCTGTCTTGAAAACATAAAGAAGTAAACAAACAGGTAGTGCTTGAGGTACAGCTGAGGATTCATGGCCCAGAGTCCTCAACAGCAAACCTGCCCCTGAGTTCTCCAACAGCCTCCCCTTTTGCAGACTCAGAGACCCTGCTGAGCTGCTCCCCAGACAAGCAGCACATGTGGGCAGCTGGGCAATCCCAGCAGAGAGGTTTCTGTTCCAGGATGTAGCACTGTGGGGGACCAGTGTGTAGCTTGCATGCAGTAATATAAACCCCAACATCCGCAGCCTCCACCGGGCTGATTTTCAGTGTGAAATCAATGCCCGACCCACTGCCACTGAACCTGTCTGGGACCCCAGAAAACCGGTTAGAAACCTTGCAGATTAGACACTGTGGAGGCTGGCCTGGCTTCTGCAGCTACCAATGTAAATAGGTGTTTCCATTACTATGCAGGAGGCTGCGACTAGACCTGCAGGAGATGGAGGCCGGCTCTCCGGGGGTGATGGACAGGGAGAGTGGAGTCTGGGTCAACAGAATGTCCCCACTAGATCCTGGAATGATGACAGAAAAGGGCAAAGTTATGTACAAATATTGTGCATCATGTTCATAATTTTCCATTTATTATTTCAGCCTGTATAATTTCTTTGCAATTTCAGGAATATCCAATTTCAAAAAGAACTCAACAGATGCAAGGCACAAAGTGGTCTCCCATACCATCATCCTCTTTCTAAGACTTGTGTTTCTTCAGGGCACATATCCTTCCTTCTAAAATCTTCCTCCCTCTCAGAGATCAGTACATCATATGCCTCATGCTGCAGAAAAAGACCTGCATATCTAACACGTGGACTGAACACACATGGGAGACATTGGGCCCCCAGAGCTCACCCTCCCACCCCATTCTCCTCCCTCATCTCCCTGCTGTCCTTACCGGGGACCCGGAGCATTAGCAGCCCCAGGAGCTGAGCAGGGAGCCTCATCGTGAGAAGGTGCCCTGAGGAGTCCTGATCAGTCAAGGCAAGGTTAGAGCTGAGCTTTTATCTCAGACTCACAATGGAAGGTCCTCCCTAGGGGACAATATGCAAATCCCCTGATGGGTGCAGTGGGGTGGAAAGAGCCAAGGGGATGGTGGGAGCCTCTCTTGAGGGCAAAATGACTTAAATATTGTCTCTGTTTAGAGAGAAACCAATAGAGATAAAATCTGTGCTGCATGAGTAGGATAAATTCCCTTTTCTCTTTGTCTTCTCTCTTAGATTTCTCGTTACTTAGAATTTCCCAGGTGCATTTCTCACTTCTCCTTAGCAAGGTTAAGATTCCGTAAACATATGATGATTCTTATTTTTAAATTCATATTGGATTCAGGGTGCAGGATTGGCTTCTTACACTTTTTAATTGATATAAAACACTCACAAAGGATGGAAATGTTAAATATGCAACTAAGTTTTACGTATGTTCGCCATCCAGATGAATCTCTAGAATATTTCAAATTCTCCAGATTCATCCCTTGTGCACCTTCCCAGGCATCAACTGCTCCCCCATCCCAATCAAGGTAACTGGTATTCAGATATTCATTATAATAATTTGGTTTTCCCTGTGCTACAATCTCATATAAATAGAAGTGAACACGTTTGTTTGGCTGTCTCTTGCTTCTTTCTTGTTTCTTTATTATTTTTGAAGTCTTCTTTTCTCGCTGTGCGTTCAAGCTACGATCTGCTGTGATTTCCTGTGATTTTTGAAGAATTTCCTCTTGAATTTTTTATAGAGCACATCTCTGCAAGTAATCATTTCTCTTCATTTTTTAATAAAGAAATGTTTTTACTTTACCTTTATTTTTGAAACATGTTTTAACTGGATATTGAACCCTTTGCTGAGTCCCCCGAACCTGGCATTTAAATATGTAATCCCGCTGTCTTCTAGCCTCTATCAGTCTTGTGAACAGTTAGCCAATTATTCTATTATTGTTTTTCTGGTAAAATGAGCCCGTTTTTTCTTGATACAATTGAGATTTTCTCTTTGTCTGGTTCAGCGTTTTAACTATAATATGTATAGTTGTAGTTTATCCTGAGTGGTTACACTATCTGTTAAATAATATAATAATTATATAATATGTATAGTTATATAATATGTATAGTTGTAGTTTATCCTGAATGGTTACACTACCATTTAGGATAATGCATGGCATTTATCCTGAATAAGTTTCATTATTTTTTCAGTGATTTTTGTCTTGATCTTATAGACCAACGTCTTTTATTACTCTTGATGTATTTGCCATTATTTCTCAGCACTCTCAAGTATGCCATCTCCCAGTGATCATTTCTGTGTGGTTTTTCTCTGCATTTCACTCCACTGTGTGGCTGTATATTGTTTTATGTCTTAGGCAATTTCCACAGCAGCCACAGGGCCAGGCTGCTGGTGCACTTGGAGTGACAGTGCAGTTGGAGTGTCAGCAAATCTGGGCATGGGCCTGGGCTGGTCCACATGGAGGTGGCTCGGTGTCTGAGTTGCCAGCCACGGATGAGGCCCTGGAGCCTGGGTTTAGGGCAATGAAGCCCCATCCTAGGCAGCACAGAAGGGGCTGCTTCTTGAGAGAGTGTGGGAGGAGGGTTTCACAGCATCTTCCTCTCTGGGGTGATATGATTATAGCTGCAGGTTACCTTAATGCCAAAAGCACCAGTGTCCTCTGGAGCAGGCTGCTGTAATCCTCAACAATGAATCCTAATGGGCATCCACTGGGAATGTTGTAGGGTCGGGGCTGCCTGGGGGTTTACTTAGGTCATTAGCTGCAAAGGCTGCAGCGTCCTCCACAGAGCAGGCCATGGGGAGTGCAGTGACCCTGCCTCCTGGCTGATAACAATTGCCTCCTGCTTCTTTCATTTTAGAGGTCTCAGGACTCTCAGGCATGCCGTCTTCTGGCGATGCTTTCTGTATGGTTATTCTGGGCGTTTTTTCTAATTGTGTTCCTGCACATTCTTAACTGGGCTCTTGAACACTCCAAGGGCTATTTTCCATCTTGGATAGCTGTCCCATTGTTGGTCTTGCTTTTGTTTTTGTGTTTGTATTTTTTGGGGTAGGCAGGCGAAGGCTGGTGTCTCCTAGTCAGTCATCTTGCTGATATCACTCCCCTAGGACATCATTTTGATGATGCGGTAACACTATCATGGAATAATACTTGGGCATGTTGAGGTAAGAATTAGAGTGTTCAGCATGTGGGAGGAACGTGAATTGCTTTGGTCACAGGGTGGACTGATGCCTGTTGTATTCTCCAACAAGGCTGTGACAAGATCTCCTATCCTACATTTTTTTCTAACAGGGTGATCTTGACTCTCCTCCCATTGAACCTACTGCCTTATGCTTCCTTCTGTTGAATTTTGGTAGGCATGCAACTGTGTAGAAGCAATGCTGTTTGTCTTCTGAGGCTATAAGAGGTCATCGAGGCTGCATAACTTCTGCCTGCTCCTCCTCTGGAAGTTTCAAGTAAACCAAGCAGCCACATGAATTGGCAAACAACTCCAGCTGAGAACCTTACGTCTAATGTCATCCACCTTTGAGATGACGCCTACCCTAGCCACTCACTGACTGCATCCTTAGGAAAGCCTGGCAGGAACCTTGTGGAGCCCAGGAAACATCCAGAACCATAGAGATGATAGGCAGTTGATTGCAGTTTTCATGTGTTATTAAGTTGGTGGGTAGTTTGTTTCGTGTGTATTAATAGTACCCAGAATACCAACTTACAGAAGGAATATGGAAGTAGAAAGTCAACTATTGATAGTAGATGAATCTGGGTCCAATTTATATTTCTTACAGTGTTTTTCCAACTTGTCACTGTTTGATATTATGGTAAAATAAAAAGTTATAAAGAGTATGTGCAAATGTACAAAAGGTTACTGAGAGAGAATCAAGGAGACTCAATAAGCGAAAGGTTTTACCATGTTCTTGTATTAGGAAACTTAATATTGTCAATATAATAACTCTCTCCAAATTAATTGAATACTGTGACAATCAAAATCCTGTGAATTTTGTTGAAATTTAAAAGCTGTTTCTAACTTAGATGGGCATTCGAAGAGGCAGAAAACAACAACAACAACAAAAAAAAAACAAAAAAACAACCATGGTAATCTTACATAATAAGAACAAGATTGGAAGATTAACACTTCCCAGTATTGAAGCTTATATTAAGCAACAGGAATGAAAACAGTATGGTATCGGTGAAGGCTGAGACAGATAACCCTGTGCAATGAGTCAGAGAATCTAAAACCAGATCTGCATGTATATATAGTCACTCAATTTACAATAAAAGTGCTACAGCAATTGTCTCAAACCATTTGTACAAAAAAAAATAAACACTTTAGATTGGATAATTACAAACAACATAAATTTATTTTTTTCATGGTTATAAAGGCTGTGAATTCCAAGGTCAACATGCTGGCAATCTCAGTGTCTGGTGAGGACTGTTCCTGCTTCCAAGATTGCACCCTGTGGCTGTGTTGTCACATGTTGGAGGTGGAAAGGCAAAAGTGGCAAGTCTGTGTAAAGCCACCTTATTAGACAGGAATCTCACTCACCAGTGCTGAGCCCTCATGACCTAATCACCTCCCAAAGGGTCTACTTTCTAATACTGTTGCCTTGAGATTCAGTTTTAACAGGAACTTTGGAGGTGACGCAGACATTCAGGCCATAGCAGTGATGTAGTAGAAAAAAATTCTAATAACTGAATTATATTGGATCAATTAGATATCCATATTACATCAAAATAAATCTTAACCTCTTCATTTTACTTCTACACTGATACAAATATCAACTCTAAATTAGAAACTGAAATGTGAAAGGCAAAAGAAGAAAGCTTTTAGAAAATAGTATAAAAAGATATTTCATGAATATGCATGTAGGAAAGATTTCTTGAAGAGAATATGCAAAGCACTAAGCATGAAAGAAAAGACTAATAAATTAGTTTGCATTAACATATTTTTGTAGCTTTAAAGAAATAAATGACAAAATGTTATTTGATACATACATATAAAAGAAATAAACTGCATTAGGAGATAGGAATGTGCGATTGTGGATAACCTCAAATGAGATATAAGTTATTGCCCCAACTTGCATTTTGTGAGTTAGAGTCACAGGAGCTTATCACATTGCTACTAATCACCAAATGAATGACTGAGTTTCGAATAAATAAACAACAAATAGCCATAGATGAAACTGCGTCATGATCAAGACGTTATAATTAACAGATTATCATTGTTGAGTATTATTAATTGAAATAAACAAATGTAATTGCTTGATTTTTAAAAGATTAGAGAGAAAAAAACAAAATTAAATACCCTGCCAATTTTCAAAGAAAATTTCTACAAAATATTTTATGTAATCAATAGAATGAAGAAAAAATATCAGGACCCGGATGAAAATGGAACGAACATATTTCTTCATACTCATTTCACTCAGATGTAACGAGTGAAAAGGTAATCTATCAACACTGCTGATACATGAGAAAATAAAAATCTAAATGTACTTGTTTAAAAAAGCAACTAAGGGGCGGGACCATAGCAACCAGAACTGGCCCTGCCAATGAGCAAATAAGTAATATAAAAGTTGGAAGAACAGTCTCAGTTCATGAAGTAGAGGTATATGAGATTAAATAAAGAAAAGAAAGAGTGAAACAGACAGAAAAACAGGATTGAAAGTCAAGCCCAATAAGGAAATATTTCCCTATATACTAGTCATTAGAACAGGGGTGATAAAGAGAAACATAATTTAAAATATTTATGCCTCTGTTATATATTCATGAGTGCAAATTTAACAGACTCGGAAATCTAGGCAAAATTAGGTAGCAAACACACAGGTGATTTTTACATGTTAAAAAATCAGGATCCAATAAAAAACCAAAATCTAAGGGAGGTTCTTTCTTCAGAGATAAAAATCAGGCTTGCTTCAGCAATGTAGTTTACAAACTCTGTTCCCAGAGAACAATGTAGTGATAGCTACATAACCACAAAAAGTCATTATGCCCATGCTTGCGAACTAAGGAAATGATCAAATATGAAGGAAATGTGCAATTTTGAAAATACACACCAACATAAATTTCATGACCATGTAAAAAAATAGAAAATCTTGAAAGATTTATTTTGATTCATCAAGAGTTTAAGCAGCATGCTCCAGTAAAGGAAGCTGTGCCTTGTGATTTTAAAAGGCTGTTGGTGGCTGGGAGCAGTGGCTCACACCTGTAATCCCAGCACTTTGGGAGGCCAAGGCAGGTGCATCACTTGAGGCCAGGAGTTTGAGACCAGCCTGGCCAACATGGTGAAATCCCGTCTCTACTAAAAATACAAAAATTAGCCGGTCTTGGTGGTGGGTGCCTGTAGTCCCAGCTACTTAGGAGGCTGAGGCAGGAGAATCGTTTGAACCCAGGAGGTCAAGGTTGCAGTGAGCCAAGATGGTGCCACTGTGCTCCAGCCTGGGAGACAGAGCAAGACTCCATCTCAAGAATAAAAATAAAAATAATAAATAAAAAAATAAAAATAAAAGGCTGTTAGTAAAACCTTTGGGTTTGGTAAACACATTGAAGTGCTGGCAGGTGGCTGCCTAGAGAGGACATGGAAGCTTTGCACCATCTCACCCCGTCTCAACCTACCCCGTCATCTTGCCATATGCATCTCTTCAGTTAGGCACTTCCTGAGTTGCATGCTTTATAACAAACCAGGAAATGTAACAAACAAAACAAAACAAAACAATCTTGCTGGAAGGAATCTTGCTTGATTAGTAGAAATGATTAAACCAAGAATCTAAGTCAGTTGAAAATTCACTTACAAATGCAAGTCACTGTATAGGAATAATTCTTGAAATATAAGGTATGTAATATGATACCACATAATTATAATCTAAAAAATCTAAATAAGAATGATAACATTCCTTATGCAAAAACATAAAGCAGAGTCAGGGTGAAGACAATAAAAGGAGCAGTTTTGCTGTTACGCTAATTAAGTATATGGTGAAAATTAATCACCAATTTTTTCTTGACTTTGGAAATACAGAATTGTAGATTCATGTAGGCTTAATAAAATTAAAGTATGCATATATCATTTTCTTCGTGATTATCTTTAAAGGAAAATTTAAGACAAATAAAATAAACTATATTAAAATATGAGTAAAACAAAAACACAAAGTGTGAAAACAAAATCATAAAAAACACCACAGTGGCATTAATACCAACACTTCTGGATTCCACACTGTTGTGAAGGCCTGAGTAAAACCTGTATTCACTCCCCAAGGGAAGAGAATCCATGTTAAATCAGGACAACTGAAGCACTAATATTCTCTTAACAAAACTCCTCTCATCAGACTAACCACTGACCAGATGTTCAGGAGGGACTAATTGCTCTCTCTCCCCCATGATAAAAAATGCTGTCTGACAGCAGAACAGTTGGCGGAAAATAAAATGCAAATATTTTAAACTCAATTTGTGAAGGGCAGTAAATAAATATCTCACAAGACATGGTAAGGATGTTAAGGGCTTCCACCCTGGTCTTGGGGTCCCAACCTGGTTCCATCTCCCTGGATCTGGAACTCATTTCACTGTCACCATCAACACCATGGAGGCTGAGGAGGCTGCAACGTCTTCCTCTCAGCAGGAGGATGAGTTTCCTGAAACAGAGACACAGGCCTGAAGGCAACTTCCTGTGTTTACTTTAAGACTGTAGATGCGCGTGCAAAACGTATTTTCTTTGCATTTTGATCCTTCGTATATTTTCCCTTTGTTTTGGTTAGAACTCACTCACAGTGGTTGTTTATTAATAAAATATTTTTTCCTGTTATATGAGATTCATGGGATTTATTCAACCAGGCATAAAAAAAAATCTGCCTTCTTGAGGTTCTTCTACTTTATGTGAGGAGTTTCGACAGCCAATGAAACAGTTAACTAGTAAAAGGAGTAGACATTAGTGTCCCAGTAACTTCAAATTGGGGGTTCTTGTCCAGAAGTTTAGGAGCCCAGAAACCTAAAGATAGGCACACAGCATAAAGACAAGGCATTCCTTCTCAATTTCTTGTTCCTCCCACAGGAAGTTCTCATTTTTCCTTATTCAGCTCCCCATTTTAATTTTGTTTTGTTTTTCCTAGCTTGTGTCTTGAGCAAATTCCTCCTTCTGTGACCCAACTTCCCCGTGTGGTTCTCAGCCTGTACCGTCCTCTCAATAACTCTGGGAGTGAGTTGGCATCTACAAGGCAGAAATTGGAGACCCTCATTTATGAAGAGCGGGAAAAATTAAAAGAGTAATGAATGAGCGTCTCTGAGCTACCTCAGATTTATTTTTTACACCCTCAAATATTTCAGCTGTTCTCAATACTCATTCACTAAGAGATTCTTTCTTCTTATTACACAGGCTAATGTTACGGCCACTTTGGGAAACGGTCTGGCAGTTTCTCAAATGGTAAAACATGCAATTGCCATATAATCCAGCAATTCCACTTATAGGATTATACACCCCCAAATGAAAACGTTTGTCTACACAAAAAAGTGTATGAATGCCCGTAGCAGTGATACTCAAAGAGACAAAAACTAGAAAAAAACCAAATATCCATTAACTGATACATGGAAAAGCAAAATATGGTATGTATATGCAATAGAATATTATTAGGTCATAAAAAGAAATTAAGTACTCACAGACATGACAACATAGAAATACTCGGCATACCTTTTGGTCGGTGAACTAAGCCAGTCACAAAAGACTACATGTAGTCTGAATGTATTTATGAGAAATGTCCACAAGAGGCAAATTTTAAAAATGTAGAAAGTAGACTCTTGTTTGCCTGAGGAGTTGGGCAAAATCCAAGTGACTTCTAATAGGCACAGGGTTTCTTAAGGCTGATGGAAACGTTCTGTAAGTGATTCATGTTATAAACCCCGAATATCTGAGACAAGTCTCAGTTAATTTAGAAAGTTTTTTTTTCCCAAGGTTAAGGAAATGAGCCTGTGACACAACCTCTGGTCCTAATGACATGTACCCAAGGTAGTTGAGGCACAGCTTGGTTTTACACATTATAGGGAGACATGAGACGTCAGTCAATATATGTAAGATGTATATTGGTTCCGTCCAGAAAGGCGGGACAACTCAAGCAGGGAAGGGGCTTCCAGGTCAGAGGTAGGTAAGACAAACAGTTGCATTCTTTTGAATTTCTGATTAGCGCTTCCAAAGAGGCAATAAGATATGAATTAATCTCAGTGAGCAGAGGGATGATTTGAATAGAATGGGAGGCAGATTGGCCCTAAGAATTTCCCAGCTTGACTAATCCCTTCAGCTTAGTGATTTTTGGGCCCCATGGTTATTTTCCTTTCACAATGTGATTATTGCATAACTCTGTGAATATACTAACACAATTAAATTGTTCAATTTAAATTGAGGAAACATATGGTGTATCAATTATATCACCAGAAAGAGGCTCATTTTAACCGTAAGATTCTAAGAGCAAAGAGAAGTTGGGCAAGAAACATGAAGACTGTATGCAAAAGATCTATTTATTGGGTGTGCCTGGGACCCATTGTTCTGAGAAAAGGTTTGCAAATATTGATATGATCCAACTTTAGAACTAGTGACTGACAGGTTTGTCTTTAAATGGGGTCACCAGAATTCTCCGTGAGGCTCTTCTTCAAGGTGAATGACGATGAACAACTCTCATCACGTATCTACTTGAATTTTACTCATCTCATTTCTATGAATGATATAGCAAGTAGGAAAAAGACTATGTTTTAGTTTCACCTTTCAATGAGTAAAATTGCCAGAGGCTTCAGTGCAGTCTTGGGGGTAGAAAATACTTTGAAGCAAATTGTTCTTGTTCTGTGAATATTACCTAATTTGTTTCATAAATTTAGAGGCACTAAGAATCATTGTTAAGTACGATTCATTTTCAGTACATAGGAATTTCAATTTTTTGCAGTACCAGAAAGACAGGGTGGTGATTCATGTGTCCCTGAGGTCATTTAGACTTTGTGAAACTTGTACGTGGAACCTCTTATATGTGGTGAGATGGACTTATACCTAACATGTGAAAATGAATCTATGATATTATGAAATATAATTTGATGAGATCTTTAAAAAATTCATTTGAAGTTGATTAGTTGAAATGACATTATGCTTTTATAGATTAATTTATTTAATATTTTTGTAGGGTAAATCCCACATATAAAAAACATAACATATTCATAGTATGTACATTTACAAGTCATAAGTGCACAACTTAATGACTTTTCAGACTGAACACACATGGGTGACCACCAAACATACCATGAAACAGAACATCGGCAGTCCACAATTACCCATCTCCCTTCTTATAGTCCTGGCCAGAGAGCCCTAAATTCACACTGGTGCCCTGTGCCCTCCTTTGAAACCATTCCACTCTCAAGACCCTGGCATGCTAGGCCTGTGATGGGAGTGGTAGCCTGATAAATCTCCTAAATGCCTTCAGGGACATTCTTCATTGTCTTGATGAATAGTATCTGGCATCCTTACATGCCCACTATTTTCTGTATCAAAAGTTCACTTGGCCACATCCTTGGTTGTACTCCCTCAAAAAAGCTTTTTCATTCTTCACGATCTGGCGAGACTGAGAAATTTTCCAGTCTTTAAGTTCTGCTTTCCTTTTGATTTTCTTTAATTCATATCTCTCTTGTCACCTTTTATGGTAAGCAGTCAAGAGAAGCCGTGTTGCACCCTCAACACTTTGCTTAGAGATTTATTCTGCCAAACATTCCATTTCATCACTCTTAGGTTCTGCCTTCTACAAAACACTGGGACACAAACACAATTCTGCCAAGTTCTTTACCACTTTATGACAAGAAATGTCTTTCCCCTACTTTCCAGTAGCGTGTTCCTCATTCACCTCTATTCCCCAAAGTAATGCCCTTTATTGTCCATATTTCTGCCAACATTCTCTTCTCATCCATTAGACAGTCTCTAAGGAGACTGAGGCTTTCTCTACAGCTCTGCTCTTCCTCTAAGCCCTCACCAGAGTCACCCTTTGTGGTCTGTTCGTGGCAATACAGGCTTTGCCAGCGCACACTTCCAAACTCTTCCATCATCTACCCATAGCCACTTCCACATTTTAGGAGTTGTGACAGCAGCACCACACTTCTTAGTAGCAATTCCTGTCTTAGTCCATTCTTGCTGCTATAACAAAATACTTAGACTGGGAAATTTAAAAACGTTAGAATTTTATTTCTCATAGGTCTGGAGATGGAAGTTCAATATCAAGGCACTAGAATATTTGGTGTCTGGTGAGGGCCTATTCCTTGTAGATGCTCCCTTCTCTGCATCCTCACATGGAAGAAATGTAAAAAATAATCTAGCAGGCTTTTTTGTGCACTTTGATAAGGGTGCTCATCTCATTTATAAGGGGAGAATGAGATATTTCCTTGTTGCATGAGGCATGAGAAGTATATTTTTCAAGCATCCACACCTGTGAGTCTGATCAAATGTTGTTGGCAATAAAATTGTTCTGAAACCTGGCTGTGCAGCTGAGTCTGAGGAAAAAATCAAGAATCACAATAAAATGTTTGCGGCAATTTACTCCTTACGACTTCCAAATTTTCAAAGAGAGGTAATAATGTTAAAAACCCAGGGGTCACCAAAGCAGTTGTCCACAAAAGCAGCAGCTGGCTTGATCAAAAGAAAAAAAAAATACCTATGGTGTTTGGAAAGGTTTTGTTTCATGCTGAATGAACGTTGTGGGACACACACTGCTATACTGATAAAGTGATAAAGTGCCAAATCTTCAGGCTCCGGCTTGCTGATGGTTCTCCCATGGAGGACCTACTTCCCCATGTCTTGGATCTAGGCTGGGCTCTGGCCTTGTTTTGGCCAGTAGAATGTGGTAAAAGGAAGTCTGTGCCCAAGAGCTCAGACCTTGCAGCTTTCACCTCCCGCTTGGAGTGTAAACTCATCTAACCTATTAGTAGAGGTCACAGAGTGGAGACCCAGGTGCCAAGCAACCACCAGCACCAATGGCTAAATGTAGGTAAAGCGGTTAGTGACATAAAGAGACATTGGGGGATGGTGAGCAGTGGAAATGGTCAGTAGGAAGAAGTATTTCATCTGATATTTATCTGATATTGTTCAGAATTGCCCATGCGTGTTTCTAACAAGAAGCACTTTTTAAAAAAAAAAAGACCTTTTTTTGGTGGCAAGACACATTTTTTTTGTCTTAAAATCTTATAGACAGAGACTCTGTGGTCCTCAGGGTGGCTGATAACAGATTCACGGCTGTGGACACCTCTGCCTCCTGGTTAGCCCTGGACACCTGTGCCTCAGTTTCCTACTGAGAGTTAGGCAAAACACCTCACCACGTCACAATGTAATTTCCAAAACTCACTGAGGTCATTATCGCTGTGTCCAGGGTTAAGGCCCCTGCATGGTCTGCAGTGGGAAATGTACTCACCTTGAAAGCCCAGCACCAGGAGGCAGACGAGCAGGGCCAGGAAGCGCATCTTGGAGGGTCCAGGAAAACTGCTGCTTCTGGATCTAAGGGCGAGGAGAATGTGGTTGGGCTGGTCATTCAAGTCTGGGTTTCTCCAGAAGCGGGGCCCAATAAGCACAGGTTTCCCTGGAGTCGATTTGCATGTCTGATGACCTGAACTCAGCTACTCGGGAGGCTGAGGCAGGAGAATGGCGTGAACCCGGGAGGCGGAGCTGGCAGTGAGCCGAGATCGCGCCACTGCACTCCAGTCTGGGCGACAGAGCGAGACTCTGCCGCAATAAATAAATAAATAAATAAATAAATATATAAAGTGCACAATAAATGTAATGCACTTGAATCATCTGGAAACCATCCCCACCCCCCAGTTTGTGGAAAAATAGTCTTTCACAAAACTGATCCCTGGTGCCAAAAAGATTGGGGACCTCTGCTCAACATGCTTGTGCAAAACACCATCTGGCTGAGTGTAGGTGACTGGTGAGGCAGGAGGACAGGGATTAAATTCTGTAGCCACAGGGAAGCTCTACCCTCAGGCTGAGCCAATGGCCTTTCCCGACCTGACCACCTGGGCAGGGGCTGCTCAGTGCAGACAGGAGGAGGCAGGTGGTCTCTGCAGCTGGAAGCCCAGTGCCTGCCCCAGCTGCTTTGCATGTCCCTCCCGGTTGCCCTGCTGATCAGAACCCTTATCAATGCCTGGATAAGAGCTCAGGGGAAGAGCTGCTCAGTTAGGACCCATAGGGAACCACGGAAGCCCCAGCTCAGCCTCTCTGTCTCTTGTTACTCTGGGTGTCAAATGAGGGGGACATGGTGAGGGGAGAAGGAAATGGTGCTGCATATCAGTGAAACTCTCTCAACCTTGTGGGTTCCTCTGACCTGGCACCACTGCTGAGCAAGGATCCTAATTAAAATTCAGTGTAGCAGTGATTCTGGCTGTACTGGGAAGACACTGGGTTTGATGCAGCTTATATAGGTGACTTGTTTGTTTTATTCCAATGTCAGAATACTGGAGAAATTACGTTGACCAATCTCCCACCTCTCTGTCTTTGTCTCCAGGGCAAAGAGCCTCCCTCATCTGCAGGATCATTCAGAGCACTGGCTGCTCTGACTGACCAGCAGAAACCTGGGCAGGATCCCCAGCTGCTCAAGCATGGTGCATTCACCAGGGCCACTGACATCCCAGTGGGGCTCAGTAGCTGTGAATCTGGGATGTACTTTACTCTCACCAACAGTAACCTGGAACCTGAAGATTTTGCACTTGATTACTCTTATCTGTATAGTAGTTGGAATTTCACAGTTATTCAACATAAAACAAAACCTTTCAAAACACCATAGGTACTTTTTTTTCCCTCAAACAAGCTGCTTCCTTCATGAGTAGCTGCTTTAGTGGCCCCTCAGTTGTAGTATCTTTGCCTTTATTTGGAAACTTTGAAGTTCTGAGGAGTAATTTACTCTGAACTTATTTTATTTTAATGTTTCTTAATTTTGATTCCTTTATTTTAATTCCCAAATTTTTCTCAGACTTAGTTGCACAGCAGGCTTTTAGACCAATTTTATTGTCAACAACATTTGATCAGACTCATAAGAGTGAGTGCTTAAAAAGACATACTTCTCATGCTTCATGCAACAAGGCAACAACAACAAAAAAACAAAAAAATGAGAAGTGAAAAGAAAGAATTAAAACTATCATGATTCATAAATAAAAAGATTATGTACAGAGAAAATTGCAAATTATGTTACAGAGAAAGTAGTTATGACCTGAATGTTTGTGTTCTTCCAAATTTCATGTTGAAACTTAATCCTTAAAGCAATATTAAGAGTTGGGCCTTCAAGAGATAATTAGTTCATGAGGGGGTCTCGCTTCGTGAATGAGAGAAGTGCCCTAATAAAAGTGCACAAGAAAGCTTGCTAGATTATTTTTTGCATTTCTTCCACCTGAGGCTGCAGAGAAGGGAGCATCTATGAGGAATAGGCCCTCACCAGACACCAAATATTCCAGTACCTTGATCTTGGACTTCTCATCTCCAGAACTATGAGAAATAAAATTCTATTGTTTGTAAATTACCCAGTCTAAGTATTTTGCTATAGCAGCAAGAATTGGCTAAGACAGGAATTGCTACTGAGAAGTGGGGTGCTGCTCTCACAACCCCTACACAACCCCTAATGTAGAAATGGCTATGGGTAGAGGCTGGAAGAGTTTGGAAGTGTGCGCTGTCAAAGCCTGTATTGCCACGAACAGACCACAAAGGGTGACTCTGGTGAGGGCTTAGAGGAAGAGCAGAGCTGTAGAGAAAGCCTCAGTCTCCTTAGAGACTGTCTAATGGTTGCGAAGAGAATGTTGGCAGAAATATGGACAATAAAGGACATTATTTTGAGGAATGGAGGGGAATGAGGAACATGCTATTGGAAACTAGTGGAAAGACATTTCTTGTCATAAAGTGGTAAAGAATTTGGCAGAATTGTGTTTGTGTCCCAGTGTTTTGTGGAAGGCAGAACCTAAGAGTGATGAAGTGGGACGTTTGGCAGAAGAAATCTCTAAGCAGCATGGCTTCTCTTGACTGCTTACAATAAAAGGTGAGAATAAAGAGATGAATTAAAGACACAATTTATAATTAAAAGGGAAGCAGAACTTAAAGTTTTGAAAATCTCTCAGCCTGGCCAGATTATAAAGAATGAAAAAGCTTGTCTGAGGGAGAACATCAAGGATGTGGCCAAGTGAACATTTGATAAAGAGAATCATAGGGATTTAAGAACTGCAGATGCTATTCATGAAGACAATGTAAGAATGATCCTGAAGAAAATTTACCAGGCTGCCACTCCCATCATAGGCCCAGCATGCCAGGGTCTTGAGAGTGGAACAGTTTCAAAGGAGGGCACAGGGTACCTGTGTGATTTGGGGGCTCTCTGCCCAGGACTATAAGAAGGGAGGTGGGTACTTGGGGACTGCCAATGTTATGTTTCATGGTATGGTTGGTGGTCATTCAGGTGTGTTCACGCTGAAAATTCATTAAATAGTTCATATATGATTTGTGAGTGTACATACAATATATGTGTTATGGTTTGTGGATGTATATGTATATGTGAGATTTTCTCTACCAAAAATTTACTAAATAATCTATAAAGCATAATCTCATTTCAACTAATTAACCACAAATGAACTTTTTTCTGCAGTCCCATCAAATTATATTTAGTAATAATATGGGTTCATTTTCACATGTCATATATAAGCCCATCTCATCCAATGTAAGAGGTTCTTGGGTAACCACAAGTTCCACAACATCTTAATGACCCCAGGGACACATGAATCACCACTCTCTTTTTTGTCCTGGAAAGCATTGAAATTCCAGCCTACTGAAAATCAATGAACTAATAATGGTTCTTAGAAAAGCTTCCAAGTAGTTAGTGCTGGATTCCAGGGAGGGTGGCAAGAGGTTGGGTCCCAGCACGAAGGAAGCCAAAGTGATTCCTGGGAAAGGCTGTGGGTGTGAGAAGGAACTTAGAACTCAGACCTGTGGCCATAGTCTTAGGATACCAAGAGTTGACAATAACACAAATGGGGCTCCAGGACAACCCAGAACAAGAGTGTTATAGTCAATTGTCATCTTGCTTATCTTTCTCATGCTATGCAGCAAAAGATAGGTAGAAGTTTCTATGATGGAAATGAGGCAAGAAAATAGGGTCTGGAGGCAGGGAACATACGGCCGATTCACACTTCAGCTATGATAGGAAATATTCTCTCCATAGGGCTTACACCAAGTAAATGACTTTGTAACTTTACTCCCTCCTCTTCATTTACATGGGGCATATACCAAGTAACCAATGGAATCCTCTAGAGGGTATTTAAACCCCAAAAAATTCTGTAATGGGGCCCTTGAGCCCCTATACTCAGGCCCTCTCCCACACTGTGGAGTGTACTTTCATTTTCAATAAATCCCTTCCTTGCTTTGTTTGTGCATTTTGTCCAATTCTTTGCTCAAAATGCCAAGAACCTGGCCACCATGCACTGGTAACAGAAGCAACGTGCATGAAACCTCACTGTCTTTAGTGATGTACTTGTTAGATGTAGAATAAATATTGAAGAATTTGATTTGACATCAGGGTGATCACAGCTTTGAGTCATTGATTAAAAACAGGTTGTCACACCAGACTAGCTGCTAACTTGATCTGAGTGTAGTCTGAATAACTCATATTTCACCAAACTTCTGAGGAGCTGGTGAATTCTAAAATCAGGATCTTAACAGATTTTTGACATTTGGCTAACTTCAATGTCATCGGGCTGAGGTTCTCCTGGTAATCTGGTCTCTACCAGCTTTTTGGGTAAGTACTCCAAGATGAAGAATTTGATTTGAAATTGACACCTGACTAGTAATATCTTACATGACCTCTATCTATGTATTTATTGATTTACAATTTTGTCTATAACTTCTGATTTACTGAAGTTTACCCCTGCTTTTAAAAACCCTTACCTGTAAGGCATAAGGGAGGTCAAGACTTAAGCATTAGATGCCTGGTCCTCTTTGCTAGCTGCCCTGCCTTCCTGTCTTCTGCTGCAAACTCAGTATGGATAACCGGTTTTGCTGCACAAAGTCAGTCAAATACCTTGTGGATCCATAACACAAGCTCTGTTTATAGTAGCATTAATACATTCATAAGGGCAGAGCCCTCATGATTGAACACTTCCCATTAGACCCCACCTCTCAATTCTCTTGCATTGGGGATTAAGTTAACAGCAGATAGACTTGAGGGGACACAGTGAAATCATGGCACCATCCAAGGGAAGGCTCATTCTAAGCCCCGTGGTCTGCCATGCGTGCAGGCAGAGCTGCCTTTCTCAGAGAGAGCAGTGAGGGGCAGAGATGGCCATGGGGAATCAGCAGAATCGCAATGAAAGGGAAAGGCATGGGATGCAGAGAGGGACTGCTCCAACCATTTAGAAAAAAGCACCTGTACTTTCCACCTGGAGCTGTATCCCTCTAGAATGGTGTTTCCTGGCAGGTCAGTTGCAACTGAAGGAATCTGGGAAGTAACATCTCAAGATAAGCTACATTGGTAGGGCGACTACTTCAAACTGAAGTTGTTTAGAAAAGAGCAAATGCACAAAAGGGCTTTTCCTAAATCGCCCTTATCTTCCTAAAGGCAGATCCTCCAGAAACAAGCCAATTGTCATTAAAACCCTCTCTGGGAATGTTTTTCTACCAGAGAATATTAACATGCACTAGAAATTAAATCCAGAAGAAATTTGAAGTTGACTTCATCCAGGCAGGGTTTTACGTATTCTTTTGAGGATCCATTTCTTTTCTTGAGTCATTTACTCTCCCTAGGTTGCCGACACTCCCCACTTCCCTCTCCCCTGTGAAGGATATATAAGCACCTAGACCTCACTGAGTTATCTGGGTAATCCCTCTTCTGTGATTTTTTTCCAAGCATGCAAAATAAATGTATTTGCCTGTTTCTAGTATAATTTGTCTTTTTTTCTATATTTTCAGCAAACGTTTAGAGGGCAAAAGAAACTTTTCCCTCTACACAAGATATTTCCCTTAAAACCCAAGCCTATGAATAGGCAGCATGAGGGTGTGTGCACAGGCTACACCACAGTAATTTGGCCATTCTTAACTCAAGCATCATTAATACGCCCCAGAACCACAGGCTGCAGCCCACTGATGCTGATGTAGTTGAATCCACTTCCTCTGCTGCTGAACCAGGCTGAGATGCCCTGGACCACATTGGAGATGTGATATAATGTGTACAAATCTGTGTCCAGTTTTATCCAGATCCAAGTGATTTCTTCATGTACTTGGCCATTTGCTTCTTAGGAGATGGACATTCTCTCTTCTGGATATGAGACAGGAGGCTGGCATCTGAGTTACGGTGATGTCCCTACTTACTGCTAAAGAGTAAAAGAGGAAAATGGCATTGATTGTGCAAGGCAGGGACATGCACCAAGTAGCAGTTGCCCTCAATAAGAGAGAGGCTTCAATGTCCTGGTCTTTCCCAAGGTCTCACCCTCACCTGCTCTCCAGGAATTCAGGTTCCAGAGAAGCTGCACCTGAGCCCCAAGGAACCTGCTGGCGGGGAGTGCAGCTCAGAGCATTACCCAGGGGATATGATCTTGGTCTTCATACTTTTAAGATAATTGATCCTTGGATAATTTCAAGTTTATCCTAATCCAGGCTCCTAAAATTGAAAGAAGAATTAAGTGTCTTATTTTGAAGTAATCAGATCTGGCATCACTAGTCAGCCCTTCATGTTGAGGAATCTTGGGAAATAATACCCGATGACAGAAAAGGGGGTTGAATATGGAGGTCCCCACACCAAAAATAAAATGCAACCCATAAAATCCCCAGCATTAAAGAGGTCTACTTACTTGCATTATGGTGGATCTGTGAGTGAAACATACTTTGAGGACTTACAATATAATCTTTGTGTACCTACAGTGAATTGCTTGACCTTATAGTAATAATGAGAATGGCTTAAGGTCATTACAAAACATTTTCAAATATGTTTAGCATTATCTTGATAAATTTTCTTTTTTTTTTAAGAAGGAACAATTTTACACCCCCTCCCTTTCAGAGTATATTGAAGACCTCATGATCCCACCTTCTAAAACTTTACTATGTGTTTCTGAAAGGGAAGAATATTCACCTATGTAATTGCCATACACCAATGGAATACATTACTCCCTCAAGTAATCAGGAGTATTTCAAATTTTGACAAGTATCAAGAAAAGGTTCTTCATTACAAAATGGCCTTCAGGAAAAAACAGCTTCATTACAGACAAATCTGGGCTGCCCTGGTCTGACCTGGGACCCTGGGGACACTTCCCCTGTGCTGAGTTACTGAGATGAGCCAGCCCTGCAGCTGTGCCCAGCCTGCCCCATCCCCTGCTGATTTGCATGTCCTACAGCACAGGCCCCTGCCCTGAAGACTTCTTAATTGACTGGTCACACTCTGTGCAGAAGTCAGTCCCAGTCAGGACACAGCATGGACATGAGGGTCCCCGCTCAGCTCCTGGGGCTCCTGCTGCTCTGGCTCTGAGGTAAGGAAGGAGAACACTAGGAATTTACTCAGCCAGTGTGCTCAGTACTGTCTGGGTCTTCAGGAAGGGCTTCTTACAACATGATTGATTGTGTGGAAATTTGTTTTTATGTTTCCAATCTCAGGTGCCAGATGTGCCATCCAGATGACCCAGCCTCCATCCTCCCTGTCTGCATCTGTAGGAGACAGTGTCACCATCACTTGCCGGGCGAGTCAGAGTTTTACCAATCAGTTAGCCTGGTATCAGCAGAAACCAGGGAAAGCTCCTAAGCTCCTGATATATAGGGTATCCAGTTTGCAAACGGGGGTTCCATCTCTGTTCAGTGGTAGTGAATCTGGGACAGATTTCACTCTAACCATCAGCAGCCTGCAGCCTGATGATGTTGCAACTTACTACTGTCAACAGTAACTCCCACAGTGTTACAAGTCATAACATAAACCATCAAGGGAAGCAGATGTATGAGGGTGGGCTGCCACGGATGCTTCTCCTGGTGCCTCCATCTGCAGAGAGCATTTTTCAAATTGCAGCCATGCTTTGGACATCACTGGAAAGTTTTGGCAGAAGGAGCCATGAAGCTTCCTCTATACCTTAACAGTCTTTCCTTCTCCGCATCCTCAGCAGCACAGACATGGCAATGCCTCTCCTGATTTTATTAGGAAAAGATATGATTACACCTGAGTCTGAGTTATTGTGTGAGTTGGAATTAATAGCACAAAGGAGAAGCCACTCTTGGAATTCCAAGTAGGATTTTTTTTTTTCTAAATACAGAGAATGAGAATCTAAACTACAGCCTTTAAAAGGCTTGGGGGCAAAGATCCAAATACTAGAAAAAAAAGGATTCTCTTGATCTCCACATAAATCCAGAATGCATCTGCCACAGAAGGTATAATTGCCAATCATGTGGTCCTCAGACATGTCTGGGAAGCCCAGGTTTATGGGTGTTGATGCTCTGCCTGGAAGACTTGTCTGATCTTCTAGGGCATCTGCTTATAACTGACCAGTCAAGGTCCTATTCCATAGAGAGCTAACACAAGTGGATGATCCAGATTTTACATCCACACCTTTTCTGCATGGATGGTGCAGTCTGTCTTCACTCGCAGGCTTTCCCCTTCACTGTACTTCTGCTGACCCCTCATGGCCATGTCTGTGCCTCACTGCTGTCGCTGGAGTTGGGGAAGCAGCTCTGCCTGCACATGTGGCAGACCTCAGGGCCTGAAATGAGCATCCCCTAGAACAGTCCTCAATCAGTGAGAAAAGGTGAGGTATATAAATACCCCAGCTCCCTCACCTTTCAGGTGGAATAGCCCAGAGACGTTTTCTTGTGTTTCCCCTTGGGCTCGAGCTCTAGTGGTCCTCATGGGTAGCTGCTTGCTGATGGGCCTTTCACCATCCATCATCTCTTCCCTCTCTCACGTTCCACCTTCTGTCTCAGGGTTTCCTGCCGCTTGTAATTAAGGTACTTCCATGAGAATCCTTGTTGTTAGAAACTTAACCTAAGACTATAGGCAAATCCTCAATTGTGGTGGTGTCTGCTGTCAAATTCTTGCCACTTCTCCTTTTATAATTGACAGAGCAGAAGCATCGTCATCTTGGACAAACACCACCATCTAAAGTTCCAGCTCCCTTTCTAACCTCATGCATTTCAAGGAAATCACTTCTCTGGTTCAGGTCATCAGACATGCAAACTCACTCCAAGACAGTAAAACACAGATAAGACAGCTTGGGTACAGGAGCAGGGAAAGTTTCTTGGTAACCACCAAACTTCACATTCATATACTGGGCCCCAGTAAAATGGTGGGCCCTAATAAGCACATTCCTTTCCCTTTTGGTACACTAAGAAAGGGATGCTAAAAGCAGACTTGGGGGGTATGCCCGCAGCTGCAGGAAGATGCATGGGAACAGACACAAAAACTCTGCCTCCCAGATAGGCAAGACAAAGAGACACAGAAACATTCCAAGCCTGTGATAAGCTCTCCTGCCCTGAACCCTTAACTATTCTTAGTCTGTAAGAGAGAGTGCTCCTGACCTAACTCGACCAGACACCCCTCTCAGGCTTATTCTCCAAAATAAACCTGTCTTTCACTGTTGAGCCACTTTTCGTGTTTCTTTCTTCCTTCTTTAACTCTTACAATAGTGAGTAGAGAACTTCAGAAAATTTAAAAAAACATTTAATTTTCCTCTACCAATCTCTCGTAGATTCTGATTAAGTACCAATTCCTTTCTTCTGGGTCACAAAATCAGAGGAGCCTCTAACAAATACCCCACACTCTGATGTCTGCATTAGAGCAGCAGCAGAAGAAGAATCCCCCAGCCCAGGAAACCCCCAGACCAGAGGGCCCTGACTCAGATCCCTCCAGCTCTCACTTTATAAAGCTGTTGGCTGCTCCCTGATCTCTCCTTCTCCCAGCCACCTGACACTGGATTCTTCCTTAGGGGAGGACAGTTGAGGGGTGATAAGGGGGATTGGTAGGCTGTAAAGCACTCTGCCTCTCCCATCCCCATTAAAAAGTTTACATGTGCTAATCTCTGGAACCAGTGAAGGTTGCCTTATACGGCAAAAGGATCTTGACAAATATGATGAAGCATCTTAAGATAGAAAGACTATCTTGGAGTATATCGTGGGCTCCTTGTAATCATTATTGTCCTCATAAGAGGGAAGGAGGAAGGTCAAATTTGGGGAGATGTGACTATGGAGGGAGAGGCTGAGTGATGTGAGGGAAAGGCCATGATGAAGGAGAGACAGCAGCATTTAAAAGCTGGAGAAGGCAAGGAAACAAGCTCTTCCCCATGGTGTCCACAGGGAAGCTTGATTTTATCCCAGAGAGACCTGTGTGAGATTGCTCCCTTCCAGAATCATAAGAGAATAAGCCCATGCTATTTGAAGCCAGTAAGGATATGGTGATTTTTTTACAGCAGCTACAGGAAACTCACACATGGGGAGAGAATGGCATTTGTCTTTCTGAGGGGATAGTTTCTCTCTGATCTCCCAACCCTTTCCAGCTTGTCAGCCTTTGGAGTCAATTTGGACAAGAGACAGAGTATAGTTTACTATGAGGAGAGCTAGCACCAGAATTCCTCTTAGGGAGAAAACCTCCTGGGTAAGTCCTTCAATTAACTTTTGTACATTCTGGGTATCTGTGAGAGCCTAGAGGTCAGATTTCACTGCTACTGAGAGGTTGGGGTTTCATAGTAGGAGAACAAATTAGATCTGTGACACAGTCTGAGAGGGAAGGACAGGGTCAGAGATGGAAATGAGTAGAAGAGGGGAGGAAGGGTCAGGACAAGGCAAGATGTGCTTCTGCCTCCACGTCTGAAATAAAGCTGTTCAGAGTTGTAAAAGCTTGGAGAAAGTTGCATTTTATAGAAGAAACTGCAGAAGAGGCTCAGCTTAATGTTAGGGTTCACATGGTATGGGGCAGAGGCGGCAGGGACCTATGAATTTCACAGCATCCTGTGAAAATGTCTCTTCTCCCATTTTACAGGCTGTGGGATCCATCTGTGGATAGAACAGACTTGATGTCAGACACACCTGGATTCAAATCCCACTCTAGCACTTGCTGACCATAAGACTTTGGTGAAACCACCCATGCCCTCTAATGATAGATTTTCTCATCTGTGAAATGGAGCACTACAGATATCAAGGGCTGTCCTGAGGGTTTAACCAGATGATATGCCATGAAATGTAACTGTTCTTTTTAGCGAGAAGTACTCAGTGTTCTGTTTTATGCACCTCTGAATCTCCTAGAATTAAGAGGCTGTGTAAGATATTACTTGCCAGATGTCATTTTCAACTAAAAGTCATCATTATTTATTCTACGACAGGTGCCTCACTATGCGGTATGGGTTTCATGTGCATTTTTTTCACCATAAAATCCTCCACCAATCCATTTACGTATAGCGTTAGAAAGTTGAACAAGAAGATTGCACACAACCATTGCACTTTGGAAAAATCCAGAGCACATTTTGTGTTATTTTGCTAGAACTGCTGTAACAAATGGCCAACAATTTGTTGGCTTAAAACAACAGAAATGCATTCTTTCCTAGTTCTGGAGGGCAGAAGTTTGGAATCAGTTTCACTGCATCGAGACCTGGGCGTTAGCCGCCAGGCTCCTCCAGAGGCTCTAGGGGGAGGCTGCCCTGCCTCTTCCAGCTTCTGGTGGCTGCAGGTTTCCATGGCTGTGGCCACCTCCCTTCAGTCTCTGTCTCTGAGTTCACATTGTCTTCTCTTCTGTTTGGTTAAATCTGTCTCTGCTTCTCTTATAAGGATATTTGTGATTGCACTTAGGGCCCACCTGGTTAATCCAGATAATCTCTCCATCTCAATATCCTTAATTTACATCTACAAATGTGCTCTAAATAGTAAGAAAGACACTCACAAGTTCCAAGGAAGAGGACCTGGCATCTTAGGGACCATATTCAGTGTATTAAACTATTAAAATACCAACTCTTTCTGTTCATACACACACCACAGGCTCTCTCCCCATCTCCCTTTCTTTTCGTTTTTCTCATGATTACAAGTCACTTTACTTCTCTAAGTGAATCCAGTGCCACCTATGTCCAGGTCAGAGGGGCACAACAAGGATGGCCTTGCTCAGGATTTCATAGAGACCTGCTCTATCCCTCATTGTCATGTATGAGAACAGATACAGCCACAGACAGCCCTCAGCCATCTGGGAGAAGCTGCCTCTACGGAGCATAGTCATGGGCTGTGAGTCTCTTGACCTCGGATTGTTTTCAGCTCTCATGGAGGGATTGGTAGCCCCTGACTCAGATAAGCTCCACCTTGGCCTCCCACTTGCTCCTTTTTACTGACTAGGGAAGTATATTTGGTGTGGGCTGAATGAGGTGACAAAATTGTCCAAAGTAAAGAAATGACTATGTCTATAATTTTGTCTCCTTTTTTCTTAGTTGAGTCCGTGAGACATTTTGAAATGTTTTGCAAAGTATATAAGAATCCATTTGCTAGTCATATTTTGACACAGTAGATGGGAGAAATCCCTAATTTAGGAATATAATACCCAATCATCTCTAGAAATTGGGACAGAAGAATCAAATGTTGGCTCATCTGCCCCTCCCCTGGCCTCAGCTACTGCTGACAGCTGTTAGGGAGACTCACTTCCCACCCACTTCTTGCATCCATATCCTAACAGATTCTTGTGATAGAGCAGGCCAGCGGAGCCCAGAGGCTTCCCTATGAACACAGGAGAGCTGAGGGCTCCTAGGATCTCTGCCTTATCTGGGCTCAGAGCAACTTTTAACTTGGCATCTACTTAGAACATAAAGTAGAACAAGCCTCATCTCCATAAAAATAGAATGCTCAGTGTCCTCTCTGCAGACATCTGTCTGGTTCTTGGGTGACCTCTGTCCCAGCCCCTGGGGAGGAGCCCTGTGAACAGAGCAGCATCACTGGCCCCGCTCTGCCCAGCCTCAGTCACTATGAGGCCTGAGGCACAACATCACCTCCACCACCTCCTGGCAGCTGAAGGTAGAATGAGCCTGCCTGCCCTGGGAAGCCCTGGATAAGGGCTCTGGTTCAGGTCATCAGACATGCAAATCGACTCCAAGGAAACCTGTGCTTATTGGGCCCCGCTTCTGGAGAAACCCAGACTTGAATGACCAGCCCAACCACATTCTCCTCGCCCTTAGATCCAGAAGCAGCAGTTTTCCTGGACCCTCCAAGATGCGCTTCCTGGCCCTGCTCGTCTGCCTCCTGGTGCTGGGCTTTCAAGGTGAGTACATTTCCCACTGCAGACCATGCAGGGGCCTTAACCCTGGACACAGCGATAATGACCTCAGTGAGTTTTGGAAATTACATTGTGACGTGGTGAGGTGTTTTGCCTAACTCTCAGTAGGAAACTGAGGCACAGGTGTCCAGGGCTAACCAGGAGGCAGAGGTGTCCACAGCCGTGAATCTGTTATCAGCCACCCTGAGGACCACAGAGTCTCTGTCTATAAGATTTTAAGACAAAAAAAATGTGTCTTGCCACCAAAAAAAGGTCTTTTTTTTTTAAAAAGTGCTTCTTGTTAGAAACACGCATGGGCAATTCTGAACAATATCAGATAAATATCAGATGAAATACTTCTTCCTACTGACCATTTCCACTGCTCACCATCCCCCAATGTCTCTTTATGTCACTAACCGCTTTACCTACATTTAGCCATTGGTGCTGGTGGTTGCTTGGCACCTGGGTCTCCACTCTGTGACCTCTACTAATAGGTTAGATGAGTTTACACTCCAAGCGGGAGGTGAAAGCTGCAAGGTCTGAGCTCTTGGGCACAGACTTCCTTTTACCACATTCTACTGGCCAAAACAAGGCCAGAGCCCAGCCTAGATCCAAGACATGGGGAAGTAGGTCCTCCATGGGAGAACCATCAGCAAGCCGGAGCCTGAAGATTTGGCACTTTATCACTTTATCAGTATAGCAGTGTGTGTCCCACAACGTTCATTCAGCATGAAACAAAACCTTTCCAAACACCATAGGTATTTTTTTTTTCTTTTGATCAAGCCAGCTGCTGCTTTTGTGGACAACTGCTTTGGTGACCCCTGGGTTTTTAACATTATTACCTCTCTTTGAAAATTTGGAAGTCGTAAGGAGTAAATTGCCGCAAACATTTTATTGTGATTCTTGATTTTTTCCTCAGACTCAGCTGCACAGCCAGGTTTCAGAACAATTTTATTGCCAACAACATTTGATCAGACTCACAGGTGTGGATGCTTGAAAAATATACTTCTCATGCCTCATGCAACAAGGAAATATCTCATTCTCCCCTTATAAATGAGATGAGCACCCTTATCAAAGTGCACAAAAAAGCCTGCTAGATTATTTTTTACATTTCTTCCATGTGAGGATGCAGAGAAGGGAGCATCTACAAGGAATAGGCCCTCACCAGACACCAAATATTCTAGTGCCTTGATATTGAACTTCCATCTCCAGACCTATGAGAAATAAAATTCTAACGTTTTTAAATTTCCCAGTCTAAGTATTTTGTTATAGCAGCAAGAATGGACTAAGACAGGAATTGCTACTAAGAAGTGTGGTGCTGCTGTCACAACTCCTAAAATGTGGAAGTGGCTATGGGTAGATGATGGAAGAGTTTGGAAGTGTGCGCTGGCAAAGCCTGTATTGCCACGAACAGACCACAAAGGGTGACTCTGGTGAGGGCTTAGAGGAAGAGCAGAGCTGTAGAGAAAGCCTCAGTCTCCTTAGAGACTGTCTAATGGATGAGAAGAGAATGTTGGCAGAAATATGGACAATAAAGGGCATTACTTTGGGGAATAGAGGTGAATGAGGAACACGCTACTGGAAAGTAGGGGAAAGACATTTCTTGTCATAAAGTGGTAAAGAACTTGGCAGAATTGTGTTTGTGTCCCAGTGTTTTGTAGAAGGCAGAACCTAAGAGTGATGAAATGGAATGTTTGGCAGAATAAATCTCTAAGCAAAGTGTTGAGGGTGCAACACGGCTTCTCTTGACTGCTTACCATAAAAGGTGACAAGAGAGATATGAATTAAAGAAAATCAAAAGGAAAGCAGAACTTAAAGACTGGAAAATTTCTCAGTCTCGCCAGATCGTGAAGAATGAAAAAGCTTTTTTGAGGGAGTACAACCAAGGATGTGGCCAAGTGAACTTTTGATACAGAAAATAGTGGGCATGTAAGGATGCCAGATACTATTCATCAAGACAATGAAGAATGTCCCTGAAGGCATTTAGGAGATTTATCAGGCTACCACTCCCATCACAGGCCTAGCATGCCAGGGTCTTGAGAGTGGAATGGTTTCAAAGGAGGGCACAGGGCACCAGTGTGAATTTAGGGCTCTCTGGCCAGGACTATAAGAAGGGAGATGGGTAATTGTGGACTGCCGATGTTCTGTTTCATGGTATGTTTGGTGGTCACCCATGTGTGTTCAGTCTGAAAAGTCATTAAGTTGTGCACTTATGACTTGTAAATGTACATACTATGAATATGTTATGTTTTTTATATGTGGGATTTACCCTACAAAAATATTAAATAAATTAATCTATAAAAGCATAATGTCATTTCAACTAATCAACTTCAAATGAATTTTTTAAAGATCTCATCAAATTATATTTCATAATATCATAGATTCATTTTCACATGTTAGGTATAAGTCCATCTCACCACATATAAGAGGTTCCACGTACAAGTTTCACAAAGTCTAAATGACCTCAGGGACACATGAATCACCACCCTGTCTTTCTGGTACTGCAAAAAATTGAAATTCCTATGTACTGAAAATGAATCGTACTTAACAATGATTCTTAGTGCCTCTAAATTTATGAAACAAATTAGGTAATATTCACAGAACAAGAACAATTTGCTTCAAAGTATTTTCTACCCCCAAGACTGCACTGAAGCCTCTGGCAATTTTACTCATTGAAAGGTGAAACTAAAACATAGTCTTTTTCCTACTTGCTATATCATTCATAGAAATGAGATGAGTAAAATTCAAGTAGATACGTGATGAGAGTTGTTCATCGTCATTCACCTTGAAGAAGAGCCTCACGGAGAATTCTGGTGACCCCATTTAAAGACAAACCTGTCAGTCACTAGTTCTAAAGTTGGATCATATCAATATTTGCAAACCTTTTCTCAGAACAATGGGTCCCAGGCACACCCAATAAATAGATCTTTTGCATACAGTCTTCATGTTTCTTGCCCAACTTCTCTTTGCTCTTAGAATCTTACGGTTAAAATGAGCCTCTTTCTGGTGATATAATTGATACACCATATGTTTCCTCAATTTAAATTGAACAATTTAATTGTGTTAGTATATTCACAGAGTTATGCAATAATCACATTGTGAAAGGAAAATAACCATGGGGCCCAAAAATCACTAAGCTGAAGGGATTAGTCAAGCTGGGAAATTCTTAGGGCCAATCTGCCTCCCATTCTATTCAAATCATCCCTCTGCTCACTGAGATTAATTCATATCTTATTGCCTCTTTGGAAGCGCTAATCAGAAATTCAAAAGAATGCAACTGTTTGTCTTACCTACCTCTGACCTGGAAGCCCCTTCCCTGCTTGAGTTGTCCCGCCTTTCTGGACGGAACCAATATACATCTTACATATATTGACTGACGTCTCATGTCTCCCTATAATGTGTAAAACCAAGCTGTGCCTCAACTACCTTGGGTACATGTCATTAGGACCAGAGGTTGTGTCACAGGCTCATTTCCTTAACCTTGGGAAAAAAAAACTTTCTAAATTAACTGAGACTTGTCTCAGATATTCGGGGTTTATAACATGAATCACTTACAGAACGTTTCCATCAGCCTTAAGAAACCCTGTGCCTATTAGAAGTCACTTGGATTTTGCCCAACTCCTCAGGCAAACAAGAGTCTACTTTCTACATTTTTAAAATTTGCCTCTTGTGGACATTTCTCATAAATACATTCAGACTACATGTAGTCTTTTGTGACTGGCTTAGTTCACCGACCAAAAGGTATGCCGAGTATTTCTATGTTGTCATGTCTGTGAGTACTTAATTTCTTTTTATGACCTAATAATATTCTATTGCATATACATACCATATTTTGCTTTTCCATGTATCAGTTAATGGATATTTGGTTTTTTTCTAGTTTTTGTCTCTTTGAGTATCACTGCTACGGGCATTCATACACTTTTTTGTGTAGACAAACGTTTTCATTTGGGGGTGTATAATCCTATAAGTGGAATTGCTGGATTATATGGCAATTGCATGTTTTACCATTTGAGAAACTGCCAGACCGTTTCCCAAAGTGGCCGTAACATTAGCCTGTGTAATAAGAAGAAAGAATCTCTTAGTGAATGAGTATTGAGAACAGCTGAAATATTTGAGGGTGTAAAAAATAAATCTGAGGTAGCTCAGAGACGCTCATTCATTACTCTTTTAATTTTTCCCGCTCTTCATAAATGAGGGTCTCCAATTTCTGCCTTGTAGATGCCAACTCACTCCCAGAGTTATTGAGAGGACGGTACAGGCTGAGAACCACACGGGGAAGTTGGGTCACAGAAGGAGGAATTTGCTCAAGACACAAGCTAGGAAAAACAAAACAAAATTAAAATGGGGAGCTGAATAAGGAAAAATGAGAACTTCCTGTGGGAGGAACAAGAAATTGAGAAGGAATGCCTTGTCTTTATGCTGTGTGCCTATCTTTAGGTTTCTGGGCTCCTAAACTTCTGGACAAGAACCCCCAATTTGAAGTTACTGGGACACTAATGTCTACTCCTTTTACTAGTTAACTGTTTCATTGGCTGTCGAAACTCCTCACATAAAGTAGAAGAACCTCAAGAAGGCAGATTTTTTTTTATGCCTGGTTGAATAAATCCCATGAATCTCATATAACAGGAAAAAATATTTTATTAATAAACAACCACTGTGAGTGAGTTCTAACCAAAACAAAGGGAAAATATACGAAGGATCAAAATGCAAAGAAAATACGTTTTGCACGCGCATCTACAGTCTTAAAGTAAACACAGGAAGTTGCCTTCAGGCCTGTGTCTCTGTTTCAGGAAACTCATCCTCCTGCTGAGAGGAAGACGTTGCAGCCTCCTCAGCCTCCATGGTGTTGATGGTGACAGTGAAATGAGTTCCAGATCCAGGGAGATGGAACCAGGTTGGGACCCCAAGACCAGGGTGGAAGCCCTTAACATCCTTACCATGTCTTGTGAGATATTTATTTACTGCCCTTCACAAATTGAGTTTAAAATATTTGCATTTTATTTTCCGCCAACTGTTCTGCTGTCAGACAGCATTTTTTATCATGGGGGAGAGAGAGCAATTAGTCCCTCCTGAACATCTGGTCAGTGGTTAGTCTGATGAGAGGAGTTTTGTTAAGAGAATATTAGTGCTTCAGTTGTCCTGATTTAACATGGATTCTCTTCCCTTGGGGAGTGAATACAGGTTTTACTCAGGCCTTCACAACAGTGTGGAATCCAGAAGTGTTGGTATTAATGCCACTGTGGTGTTTTTTATGATTTTGTTTTCACACTTTGTGTTTTTGTTTTACTCATATTTTAATATAGTTTATTTTATTTGTCTTAAATTTTCCTTTAAAGATAATCACGAAGAAAATGATATATGCATACTTTAATTTTATTAAGCCTACATGAATCTACAATTCTGTATTTCCAAAGTCAAGAAAAAATTGGTGATTAATTTTCACCATATACTTAATTAGCGTAACAGCAAAACTGCTCCTTTTATTGTCTTCACCCTGACTCTGCTTTATGTTTTTGCATAAGGAATGTTATCATTCTTATTTAGATTTTTTAGATTATAATTATGTGGTATCATATTACATACCTTATATTTCAAGAATTATTCCTATACAGTGACTTGCATTTGTAAGTGAATTTTCAACTGACTTAGATTCTTGGTTTAATCATTTCTACTAATCAAGCAAGATTCCTTCCAGCAAGATTGTTTTGTTTTGTTTTGTTTGTTACATTTCCTGGTTTGTTATAAAGCATGCAACTCAGGAAGTGCCTAACTGAAGAGATGCATATGGCAAGATGACGGGGTAGGTTGAGACGGGGTGAGATGGTGCAAAGCTTCCATGTCCTCTCTAGGCAGCCACCTGCCAGCACTTCAATGTGTTTACCAAACCCAAAGGTTTTACTAACAGCCTTTTATTTTTATTTTTTTATTTATTATTTTTATTTTTATTCTTGAGATGGAGTCTTGCTCTGTCTCCCAGGCTGGAGCACAGTGGCACCATCTTGGCTCACTGCAACCTTGACCTCCTGGGTTCAAACGATTCTCCTGCCTCAGCCTCCTAAGTAGCTGGGACTACAGGCACCCACCACCAAGACCGGCTAATTTTTGTATTTTTAGTAGAGACGGGATTTCACCATGTTGGCCAGGCTGGTCTCAAACTCCTGGCCTCAAGTGATGCACCTGCCTTGGCCTCCCAAAGTGCTGGGATTACAGGTGTGAGCCACTGCTCCCAGCCACCAACAGCCTTTTAAAATCACAAGGCACAGCTTCCTTTACTGGAGCATGCTGCTTAAACTCTTGATGAATCAAAATAAATCTTTCAAGATTTTCTATTTTTTTACATGGTCATGAAATTTATGTTGGTGTGTATTTTCAAAATTGCACATTTCCTTCATATTTGATCATTTCCTTAGTTCGCAAGCATGGGCATAATGACTTTTTGTGGTTATGTAGCTATCACTACATTGTTCTCTGGGAACAGAGTTTGTAAACTACATTGCTGAAGCAAGCCTGATTTTTATCTCTGAAGAAAGAACCTCCCTTAGATTTTGGTTTTTTATTGGATCCTGATTTTTTAACATGTAAAAATCACCTGTGTGTTTGCTACCTAATTTTGCCTAGATTTCCGAGTCTGTTAAATTTGCACTCATGAATATATAACAGAGGCATAAATATTTTAAATTATGTTTCTCTTTATCACCCCTGTTCTAATGACTAGTATATAGGGAAATATTTCCTTATTGGGCTTGACTTTCAATCCTGTTTTTCTGTCTGTTTCACTCTTTCTTTTCTTTATTTAATCTCATATACCTCTACTTCATGAACTGAGACTGTTCTTCCAACTTTTATATTACTTATTTGCTCATTGGCAGGGCCAGTTCTGGTTGCTATGGTCCCGCCCCTTAGTTGCTTTTTTAAACAAGTACATTTAGATTTTTATTTTCTCATGTATCAGCAGTGTTGATAGATTACCTTTTCACTCGTTACATCTGAGTGAAATGAGTATGAAGAAATATGTTCGTTCCATTTTCATCCGGGTCCTGATATTTTTTCTTCATTCTATTGATTACATAAAATATTTTGTAGAAATTTTCTTTGAAAATTGGCAGGGTATTTAATTTTGTTTTTTTCTCTCTAATCTTTTAAAAATCAAGCAATTACATTTGTTTATTTCAATTAATAATACTCAACAATGATAATCTGTTAATTATAACGTCTTGATCATGACGCAGTTTCATCTATGGCTATTTGTTGTTTATTTATTCGAAACTCAGTCATTCATTTGGTGATTAGTAGCAATGTGATAAGCTCCTGTGACTCTAACTCACAAAATGCAAGTTGGGGCAATAACTTATATCTCATTTGAGGTTATCCACAATCGCACATTCCTATCTCCTAATGCAGTTTATTTCTTTTATATGTATGTATCAAATAACATTTTGTCATTTATTTCTTTAAAGCTACAAAAATATGTTAATGCAAACTAATTTATTAGTCTTTTCTTTCATGCTTAGTGCTTTGCATATTCTCTTCAAGAAATCTTTCCTACATGCATATTCATGAAATATCTTTTTATACTATTTTCTAAAAGCTTTCTTCTTTTGCCTTTCACATTTCAGTTTCTAATTTAGAGTTGATATTTGTATCAGTGTAGAAGTAAAATGAAGAGGTTAAGATTTATTTTGATGTAATATGGATATCTAATTGATCCAATATAATTCAGTTATTAGAATTTTTTTCTACTACATCACTGCTATGGCCTGAATGTCTGCGTCACCTCCAAAGTTCCTGTTAAAACTGAATCTCAAGGCAACAGTATTAGAAAGTAGACCCTTTGGGAGGTGATTAGGTCATGAGGGCTCAGCACTGGTGAGTGAGATTCCTGTCTAATAAGGTGGCTTTACACAGACTTGCCACTTTTGCCTTTCCACCTCCAACATGTGACAACACAGCCACAGGGTGCAATCTTGGAAGCAGGAACAGTCCTCACCAGACACTGAGATTGCCAGCATGTTGACCTTGGAATTCACAGCCTTTATAACCATGAAAAAAATAAATTTATGTTGTTTGTAATTATCCAATCTAAAGTGTTTATTTTTTTTTGTACAAATGGTTTGAGACAATTGCTGTAGCACTTTTATTGTAAATTGAGTGACTATATATACATGCAGATCTGGTTTTAGATTCTCTGACTCATTGCACAGGGTTATCTGTCTCAGCCTTCACCGATACCATACTGTTTTCATTCCTGTTGCTTAATATAAGCTTCAATACTGGGAAGTGTTAATCTTCCAATCTTGTTCTTATTATGTAAGATTACCATGGTTGTTTTTTTGTTTTTTTTTTGTTGTTGTTGTTGTTTTCTGCCTCTTCGAATGCCCATCTAAGTTAGAAACAGCTTTTAAATTTCAACAAAATTCACAGGATTTTGATTGTCACAGTATTCAATTAATTTGGAGAGAGTTATTATATTGACAATATTAAGTTTCCTAATACAAGAACATGGTAAAACCTTTCGCTTATTGAGTCTCCTTGATTCTCTCTCAGTAACCTTTTGTACATTTGCACATACTCTTTATAACTTTTTATTTTACCATAATATCAAACAGTGACAAGTTGGAAAAACACTGTAAGAAATATAAATTGGACCCAGATTCATCTACTATCAATAGTTGACTTTCTACTTCCATATTCCTTCTGTAAGTTGGTATTCTGGGTACTATTAATACACACGAAACAAACTACCCACCAACTTAATAACACATGAAAACTGCAATCAACTGCCTATCATCTCTATGGTTCTGGATGTTTCCTGGGCTCCACAAGGTTCCTGCCAGGCTTTCCTAAGGATGCAGTCAGTGAGTGGCTAGGGTAGGCGTCATCTCAAAGGTGGATGACATTAGACGTAAGGTTCTCAGCTGGAGTTGTTTGCCAATTCATGTGGCTGCTTGGTTTACTTGAAACTTCCAGAGGAGGAGCAGGCAGAAGTTATGCAGCCTCGATGACCTCTTATAGCCTCAGAAGACAAACAGCATTGCTTCTACACAGTTGCATGCCTACCAAAATTCAACAGAAGGAAGCATAAGGCAGTAGGTTCAATGGGAGGAGAGTCAAGATCACCCTGTTAGAAAAAAATGTAGGATAGGAGATCTTGTCACAGCCTTGTTGGAGAATACAACAGGCATCAGTCCACCCTGTGACCAAAGCAATTCACGTTCCTCCCACATGCTGAACACTCTAATTCTTACCTCAACATGCCCAAGTATTATTCCATGATAGTGTTACCGCATCATCAAAATGATGTCCTAGGGGAGTGATATCAGCAAGATGACTGACTAGGAGACACCAGCCTTCGCCTGCCTACCCCAAAAAATACAAACACAAAAACAAAAGCAAGACCAACAATGGGACAGCTATCCAAGATGGAAAATAGCCCTTGGAGTGTTCAAGAGCCCAGTTAAGAATGTGCAGGAACACAATTAGAAAAAACGCCCAGAATAACCATACAGAAAGCATCGCCAGAAGACGGCATGCCTGAGAGTCCTGAGACCTCTAAAATGAAAGAAGCAGGAGGCAATTGTTATCAGCCAGGAGGCAGGGTCACTGCACTCCCCATGGCCTGCTCTGTGGAGGACGCTGCAGCCTTTGCAGCTAATGACCTAAGTAAACCCCCAGGCAGCCCCGACCCTACAACATTCCCAGTGGATGCCCATTAGGATTCATTGTTGAGGATTACAGCAGCCTGCTCCAGAGGACACTGGTGCTTTTGGCATTAAGGTAACCTGCAGCTATAATCATATCACCCCAGAGAGGAAGATGCTGTGAAACCCTCCTCCCACACTCTCTCAAGAAGCAGCCCCTTCTGTGCTGCCTAGGATGGGGCTTCATTGCCCTAAACCCAGGCTCCAGGGCCTCATCCGTGGCTGGCAACTCAGACACCGAGCCACCTCCATGTGGACCAGCCCAGGCCCATGCCCAGATTTGCTGACACTCCAACTGCACTGTCACTCCAAGTGCACCAGCAGCCTGGCCCTGTGGCTGCTGTGGAAATTGCCTAAGACATAAAACAATATACAGCCACACAGTGGAGTGAAATGCAGAGAAAAACCACACAGAAATGATCACTGGGAGATGGCATACTTGAGAGTGCTGAGAAATAATGGCAAATACATCAAGAGTAATAAAAGACGTTGGTCTATAAGATCAAGACAAAAATCACTGAAAAAATAATGAAACTTATTCAGGATAAATGCCATGCATTATCCTAAATGGTAGTGTAACCATTCAGGATAAACTACAACTATACATATTATATAACTATACATATTATATAATTATTATATTATTTAACAGATAGTGTAACCACTCAGGATAAACTACAACTATACATATTATAGTTAAAACGCTGAACCAGACAAAGAGAAAATCTCAATTGTATCAAGAAAAAACGGGCTCATTTTACCAGAAAAACAATAATAGAATAATTGGCTAACTGTTCACAAGACTGATAGAGGCTAGAAGACAGCGGGATTACATATTTAAATGCCAGGTTCGGGGGACTCAGCAAAGGGTTCAATATCCAGTTAAAACATGTTTCAAAAATAAAGGTAAAGTAAAAACATTTCTTTATTAAAAAATGAAGAGAAATGATTACTTGCAGAGATGTGCTCTATAAAAAATTCAAGAGGAAATTCTTCAAAAATCACAGGAAATCACAGCAGATCGTAGCTTGAACGCACAGCGAGAAAAGAAGACTTCAAAAATAATAAAGAAACAAGAAAGAAGCAAGAGACAGCCAAACAAACGTGTTCACTTCTATTTATATGAGATTGTAGCACAGGGAAAACCAAATTATTATAATGAATATCTGAATACCAGTTACCTTGATTGGGATGGGGGAGCAGTTGATGCCTGGGAAGGTGCACAAGGGATGAATCTGGAGAATTTGAAATATTCTAGAGATTCATCTGGATGGCGAACATACGTAAAACTTAGTTGCATATTTAACATTTCCATCCTTTGTGAGTGTTTTATATCAATTAAAAAGTGTAAGAAGCCAATCCTGCACCCTGAATCCAATATGAATTTAAAAATAAGAATCATCATATGTTTACGGAATCTTAACCTTGCTAAGGAGAAGTGAGAAATGCACCTGGGAAATTCTAAGTAACGAGAAATCTAAGAGAGAAGACAAAGAGAAAAGGGAATTTATCCTACTCATGCAGCACAGATTTTATCTCTATTGGTTTCTCTCTAAACAGAGACAATATTTAAGTCATTTTGCCCTCAAGAGAGGCTCCCACCATCCCCTTGGCTCTTTCCACCCCACTGCACCCATCAGGGGATTTGCATATTGTCCCCTAGGGAGGACCTTCCATTGTGAGTCTGAGATAAAAGCTCAGCTCTAACCTTGCCTTGACTGATCAGGACTCCTCAGGGCACCTTCTCACGATGAGGCTCCCTGCTCAGCTCCTGGGGCTGCTAATGCTCCGGGTCCCCGGTAAGGACAGCAGGGAGATGAGGGAGGAGAATGGGGTGGGAGGGTGAGCTCTGGGGGCCCAATGTCTCCCATGTGTGTTCAGTCCACGTGTTAGATATGCAGGTCTTTTTCTGCAGCATGAGGCATATGATGTACTGATCTCTGAGAGGGAGGAAGATTTTAGAAGGAAGGATATGTGCCCTGAAGAAACACAAGTCTTAGAAAGAGGATGATGGTATGGGAGACCACTTTGTGCCTTGCATCTGTTGAGTTCTTTTTGAAATTGGATATTCCTGAAATTGCAAAGAAATTATACAGGCTGAAATAATAAATGGAAAATTATGAACATGATGCACAATATTTGTACATAACTTTGCCCTTTTCTGTCATCATTCCAGGATCTAGTGGGGACATTCTGTTGACCCAGACTCCACTCTCCCTGTCCATCACCCCCGGAGAGCCGGCCTCCATCTCCTGCAGGTCTAGTCGCAGCCTCCTGCATAGTAATGGAAACACCTATTTACATTGGTAGCTGCAGAAGCCAGGCCAGCCTCCACAGTGTCTAATCTGCAAGGTTTCTAACCGGTTTTCTGGGGTCCCAGACAGGTTCAGTGGCAGTGGGTCGGGCATTGATTTCACACTGAAAATCAGCCCGGTGGAGGCTGCGGATGTTGGGGTTTATATTACTGCATGCAAGCTACACACTGGTCCCCCACAGTGCTACATCCTGGAACAGAAACCTCTCTGCTGGGATTGCCCAGCTGCCCACATGTGCTGCTTGTCTGGGGAGCAGCTCAGCAGGGTCTCTGAGTCTGCAAAAGGGGAGGCTGTTGGAGAACTCAGGGGCAGGTTTGCTGTTGAGGACTCTGGGCCATGAATCCTCAGCTGTACCTCAAGCACTACCTGTTTGTTTACTTCTTTATGTTTTCAAGACAGGGTCTCACTCTGTTACCCAGCATGAAGTGCAGCGGTGTGATTATGGCTCATTGCAACCGTGAAATCCCAAGCTCAAGTGATTTTCCTACCACAGCCTACGGAGTAGCTGGAATCACAGGGGGCATGCCACCAAGCCTGATTAATTTTTGTATATAGTTTTGGTAGTCACGGGGTTTCGCCATGTTGTCCAGGCTGCTCTTGAGATCCTGGGCTCAAGTCATCCACCCAATTCGGCCTCCCAAAGTGCTGAGATTAGAGGCATGAGCCATCGGGCCCAATTCCCGCTCTTGCTGATGTACCTGTCACCTGACACAGCCTTGACAGTCATAAGTAACAGGGGTATGAGGAGGTTCTAGGGCCCTGTGAGTTAAAAATCAGGATGAAAGGGAAAGGAGAATGGAAGCTCATCTTCATCCTCCCTCCTTGCCTACAGTTGTTTATTAAATTTATTCAGCAAAACAGCCAGACAATTGATCATTTCTGGCAAGACACACTGAATACATCTTAGGGTTTAACAGTTTGGGATAGATAGATAGATAGATAGATAGATAGATAGATAGATAGATAGATAGATATAGATAGAGATATAGATATAAATATAGACATAGACATAGATATGGATTGATATAGATTTTTTTTGAGACAGAGTCTCCCTCTATCGCCCAGGCTGGAGTGCAGTGGAGCAATGATCGCAGCTCACTGCAACCTCTGCCTCCCAGTTTCAAGCGATTCTCCTGCCTCATCTCTCAAGTAGCTGAGATTACAGGCTCTCGCCAACATGCCCAGCTAATTTTTGTATTATTAGTAGAGACGGGGTTTCACCATGTTGGCCAGGCTGGTCTCCAACTCCTGACCTCAAGTGATCCACTGGGCTTAGCCTACCAGAGTGCTGGCATTACGGCATGAGCCAGCGCACCCGGCCATATTTTCAAGAAAATATTTGGTTATATTTAAAATTGGCATTTTCCTAGTTTGTTTTAACTTCCGCTTCTTCTATTTAGCACTCATTGCCCACTCCGTAAGACAGGAGAGACAGCATTCTCCACTAGTTCTCCTCAGAGGGAGCTGGCTGAGGACAGTCAGTGAAATCTTGGTAGTGAGCGTCAAATAGATTTTGTAATTTCATAGCAGATACAAGATACTAATACTGAACCTTTTTTTAATTACAATTATCTCTCACTGATAGAAAAATGGAGTTCTTGAAACTCCAAAAGCTGGTTTTAGAAATAAAAAGCAAATCCTGGAAGATGTAGTATACTAAAGATGTAGTATTTTCCATGGATCACTGGGAAAATAAAGGATGATGGAAACTTTTTTATTTCCCAAAGTTCAGAATTCAAGATTGGACAGACTGCAGGAATAGGGGCCTTAGGGGTACAGGAGAGGTCGGCTATTGTTCAATTAAACTGCCCTTGGTTTACGGTGGGTGGGATGTGGATGGTGGTGGTGATGGCAGTTGATGTGGACCCACAAAGGAGCCAAATATGTTTCTTGCGAAGAATCACAGAGTTGAAGGCACTGCTGCGTGGCTTCCTGGGCGGAGCCTGTGCCACTGGGAGTCTCACAGGAAAGTAATGTCGTGAGTAGGGCTTTAGGTGTGTAATCACCAAAGGGTTAGTGAAGTCCCTGTACAAGGAGACCTGAGGTCATGTCACTCAGTCTTAGTGAAATCACAGCAGCCAAGCAGAGCTTCTGAAACTTATTCTATCCTTAGAGGAGGTCTAGCAGAGACCACCGTCTGGGTCTGGGAGATGTCAGAAGCACTGACATGCTGAGCAGAAGGCCCAGCAAGACGTAATCCAGCAGGTTTTGATAAATGACAATTTTGATATTAAGTTGTCATAAAAAACAATAAAAGGTTTTGAAATAAGTAAATGTATTATTTTTACACAATGTGGTCATTGCCTAAAAATAAATCTGATTTCCATATTCTAACAGTAATGGTATAGAAAAATGTATGATTTGCATATAGTCACTTAAAATAATGCTCCAAAAATATTTATGAATTATTCAAGAGCATGTCTGTTACTGCCGTGAGGTGATATGATTAAAGTAATGTTCGTATCAAAAGGACAAAATATCTTTTTTTCTGGTTAAAAAAATGAATCACATCAGAAATTATTGTCTATTCTAAGATGATGGATCCCATTGTGAATGAATTTAAAATTGTATTTCCAAGCAGAAATGTCAAAAAAAAAGGAAATCATGAAATATAGCAAGTAATTTGTCACACGTACAAAGAATGACAAGTCTTTAGAGTAGTTTTCCATTCATGAGTGAGAACACACATCCAACCCAAAATCTACTGGTCTCACTCCCATAATCACTAGTGTGGAGACTAAAGGTAGTGCAATTTAAATTACATTCCTAACCAAAAAAAGGTTCAAAAACAAAGAAAGGATGCTTCATAGAAAATATCTTGCAAAACAAAGAATGACATGTCTGTAGAAGGTATTCACAAGCAGGGACTCACATCTAACCAAAATTCTAGGGATTTCACCATCACAAACACTACTTTGGAGCCTGGAGATGCTGCACATCCTCCTGTGAGCAGAACACTCACTGGGACCCTGCACAGTGTGATGGCCCCAAACATAAAGCTCTCAAGGAAGCTCCGCCTCTCAGCGTGGAAGGAGAGGCTGCGGTGCCAGGGGATGTGTCCACAGAGAGTCGAGTCAGGTGGGCTCAGGCAGTTGCCTGGAGAGTCTTTGAGGAAGAGGACATGAGGCCTCAGTCACAGGTACATGCTCCTCTTCTGTGTGAACAGGGGCCAGGTCTCTCCAGGGCACCTTCCAGAGCCTCTTCCTTCCTAACTCCTTGGGGTGCTCAAGCCCTACAGACCCTCCAGTGTTGGCTGCCACATCCTCACTGGACCAGCCGCTAAGGTTTCCTGCTGTCGTCATGGCTGCAGGGATGCTCAGTCACATCACTGGGAGGAGACCCTAGTGTGTCCCATCCTCAACTGCTACAGGCATACTTGACTTGAACTATGTTTGTTTTGCTCCATTGAACATTTTATGTCACATTGTTCACAGTAGAGACATACCCCCTCCACCACTGACCCTTTCCACACTGCTGCACCCACCAGGTGATTTGCATATTGCACCCTAGGGGAGGACCTTCCCTTGTGAGTCTGAGGTAAAAGCTCAGCTCTAACCTTGCCTCGACAGATCAGGACTCCTCAGTCCATCTCACAATGAGGCTCCCTGCTCAGCTCCTGGGGCGGCTAATGCTCAAGATAGAAAAAATATGAGGTGGGAAAATGGGGTTGGAAGGTGAGTTCTGGGAGCTCCATAGCTTCCCATATTTATTTCAACCATGTGTTAGAGGCACATGGTCTATGCTCCAGGAAAGAGAATTCATATTTTTGTCTTAAGAATAATCAGGATTCACCTCCAAGGAACAATGACCTCTGATTAAGATCTTGAAAATAAAGAGTTCCCTGCTGGCTGGTAAATAATGGGTTCATTTTAGAAAGTCTACTTTCCATGATATAAATCAAAACTTGAAAATATATGTAACTGTAAATCAGTATCATAGAGAAATCATGAAAGCTGCTCATAATGTGTCTATACAAACTTGCACTTCTCTGTTATTATTTCAGGATCCAGTGGTGATACTGTGATGGCCCAGACTCCACTCTCCTGGCCTGTCGCCTCTAGAGAGCCACCCCCATATCCTGTAGGTCTAGTCAGAGCCTCTTGTCCAGTGATGGATACACCTATTCGTATTGGTTCCTGCAGAAGCCAGGCCAGTCTCCACAGCTCCTGATCTATTTTGTTTCAAACCGGGCCTCTGGAGTCCCAGACAGGTTCAATGGCAGTGGGTCAGGCACTGATTTCACACTGAAAATCAGCCGGGTGGAGCTGAAGATGTTGGGGTTTATTACTGCATGCAGGCTCTGCAGCTTCCTCCCACAGTGGTACAGCCCCATAGAGAAACCTCCCTTCTGGGGTGTCCCAGCTGCTCACATGCACTGCTTGTCTGGGGAGCAGCTCAGCAGGGTCTCTCAGTCTGCAGAAGAGGAGGCTGTTGGAGAATTCAGGACAGAGTTTGCTGCTGAGGACTCTGGCCCATGAAAGCCTCAGCTGCACCTCAGTCCCACATGTTAAGGCTCCATCAGCTGCCACATGTAGCCACCTGCTCTGGGAACAGCCAGCTCTGATGAAGGAAGAGTGAATGAAGCTCATCTTCACCCTCCTTGTCTGGCCCACATTTGTTGAGTCCATTTATTTGCAGAACAATCAGATCATGGATGCAGATTAGTGGTAACAGAAGTGAAAAACATGTTGCAAACGACTGGTCTGGGGATAGTTTTATACATGGTAACAGTTGTTCATGTTGAGAAATTGCTATCTTCCCACTTTCCAAACTTTCTCTCTCCTTTACCACTCACACGAACCTGCCCTCCCTAGTACTATGGTGGAGAAAGCATTCTGCACCAGCTATTTTCACGGGAGTATGGCTAAGAATAATTAGTTATAATGTCTGATTGTTTTTTACTACTTATAGATTTTTAAAATCCAGGGGAAATATAAATCCTAATCCCGAAATAGTTTGATTTACCTCAATTACCTTTTGCTGACTGAAAATGGAGTTCTTACAATTCCAAAAGTGGGATTTGAAAATAAACAAAATAACTCAGGAGGAAAACATAAAGTTTATATAACATATCACAGGAACAATGCAGAATTGCATGAGATTTTTATTTTCTTCTCAAATTCTTAGAATTTTAAAAGTATTTTACTGACATAGTACTTTAGAGAGGAAATATCTAGTACTATGTTGTCATAAGAAAATCATTCGAAGAATGAATAAATGCATTATTTTTACATGACCCTATTTTTTTCCTGAAAATAAATCTGAATCGTCTATTTTAGTTGTAAATGCATAGAAAAATTATGCCCTTAATAGATTCTATTAACTCGTCATTTAGCATTAGGTATGTCTCCTAATGCCATCCTTCATCCCTCCCCCCACCCCACAACAGTCCCCGGAGTGTGATGTGCCCCACCCTGTGTCCATGTGTTCTCATTGTTCAATTCCCACCTATGAGTGAGAGCATGCGGTGTTTGGTTTTTTGTCCTTGCCAGAGTTTGCTGAGAATGATGGTTTCCAGCTTCATCCATGTCCCTACAAAGGACATGAACTCTTCATTTTTTATGGCTGCATAGTATTCCATGGTGTATATGTGCCACATTTTCTTTATCCAGTCTATCTTTGTTGGACATTTGGGTTGGTTCCAAGTCTTTGCTATTGTGAATAGCGCCGTAATAAACATACGTGTGCATGTGTCTTAATGGGTGCAGCACACCAACATGGCACATGTATACATATGTAACAAACCTGCACATTGTACACATGTACCCTAAAACTTAAAGTATAATAATAATAAAATTAAAATTAAAATAATAAATAAATAAATAGATTCTATTGACAATAATGTTCTAAATTTATATGCTTTCTTAATATGAGGGCTGCGGTCTGATACATATCTGTATACATTTTGCCATGGAACTTTTAAACCTAACAAATGCTTTCCGTTAAAAAAGCAATAGTGCTTTCTTCACCATAATACTAGAGAGGGCAGTTTCGTGTGAGTGGTAAAGGAGCAAGTTTGGAAAGTGGGAAGACAGCAATTTCCCAATATGACCACCTGTTACCATGTATAAAACTATCCCCAAACCAGTCGTTTCTAACATGTATTTCACTTGTGTTACCACTTGCCTGCTTCCGTGATCTGATTGTTCTGCCAAATAAATTTACATGAACCCGAGTAATGAGTGATGTCTTTTACATGTGAAAACACTGTGTAGAGACACAAAAGGCTCATTGAATCTGATGCAGGCTAACAGCTTAAATTATACTTGAGATGATTTATGTCAAGATAACGGATTCCACAGGAAGTGCAATTAAAATTCCCATGTGTCATTTCTGTTGGGTTGAAAAGTTGCATGGCAAAATGTATATAGATGTTTAGTAGACCATAGCCCTCAAATTAAGAAACATAAGCACTTAATATGTTATTCAAAAATACTAATTAATGTTTCTTTGAGCCTAAATGTTATTACAGAACGCAGTAAAAGAAAATAAGATGTAAGTAGCAACAGCAGGAGATACAGCAATTCCGTTGTCACGTTAGCCCTCCTGTGATTGACAGCACCTAGTCACCTTGAGTTTCTGCTTTTCTGTGAGACAGAAGATAAAATCAAAACCCATTCAAGGCGGTTAGATATATTCTTAGGAAAAGCAAACAAATGTACAACCTACCTGATGCTGATATCCCAAAGGTCTATATTCTCAAGTCAAAATGGTGAAAAGTAAATGATTCCAAATCTGAAAGGAGAGAGACACAAGGAGAATCAGAGCATAATTAAATTTATTACAAAGAAACCTCAAAATATGGTGGACTAAATGTGACAAGGTTTCTGTGTCTGTGCCATGGCAGTGCAGAGGCAGGCACGTGGCCTTGGTGGTGTGGGTGGCTCTGCTCCATGAGGTCACTCAGGTGGACAGGAGGCACGACCACCCTGAGAGCACAGCCTTCCTCCTTCCTCACAGTCACTGCCCCCATGGTCATCCTCAACAGCATGAGGTGGAACTGAATGGAGAGAAAGCTGTTTTCTTCTAAGGATCAAAAATAAATACAGAAACAAATAAAACCTCTAGCTTTCCATCAGGGACAAATGTACTTTTGACTCAGTCACAGATTTGAGAAATTTTCCATTGAGCGGGTCTGCTGGTAAACCCACGTTCATTGTTTGTTTGTTTTAATCTGAAAATGTGTTTACATGATTCTTGAAGATATTCTTTGACAAGAAACTTCCATATGTGGTAGCCTATTTGAAGTTGTCATTTACTATTTCATCATTGCTGCTAAAAAGTCATTTGTTAAAAAATCCGTGACTCTAACTGTTCTTGTTTGAAAGGAATACGTCTTTTTAAGATACTCAGATTCCTTTTAAGCTCTTCATCTGGCCCTCCTTTTTTCTGATTCAATGTATTGTTTAATTTTTTACTTATGACTAATTAATCAATTAATTTTCACAATCACAGAATCAAATGTCCGATAAGTTGCTATGTCAAAGACCTGTCTGAAGATGGCAAAAACACTCCACAATAAACAAAAGACAACACCATGGTCTCAGGAACACTGGGAAAGTAGGAGTGCTGGTGTCCCATTCTCAACAGGGAGCCCGAAAGGTAGAGGCGGGTCTTTCTTGTGACCTGGGCACCGGGGAGGAGCCACCCATGTGCTGAGTTGTGGGAACCTGCCCCATTCTCTGAGACTGGAAGCAAGGCCCCGGCTGTGTCCCACCTGCTATGGACTGAATTGTGCCCTCAGATTCATGTTGAAACCCTAATTTCAATATGACTGTAGAAATTAGGACCTCTAAAGATGTAATTGAGGTCATAAGGGGGGTCCCTGATCCAGTAGAATTCGTGTTTTGTTGTTTTTGCTTTGTTTTGTTTGTTTGCTTGTTTGTTTTTGAGGCAGAGTCTCGCTCTGTCGCCCAGGCTGGAGTGCAGTGGCGCCATCTCAGCTCACTGCAAGCTCCGTCTCCCGGGTTCACACCATTCTCCTGCCTCAGCCTCCCGAGTAGCTGGGATTACAGGTGCCCGCCACCACTCCCGGCTAATTTTTTGTATTTTTAGTGGAGGCGGGGTTTCACCGCGTTAGCCAGGATGGTCTCGATCTCCTGACCTCATGATCTGCCCGCCTCGGCCTCCCAAAGTGCTGCGATTACAGGCGTGAGCCACTGCGCCTGGCAAATTCGTGTTTTTATAAGATTCAGAGAGCTCTCCTTTCTCCCTTCTCTCTCTAATTGCCTTCCGCTCTATGGAAAGGCTGTGTGAAGACACCGTGAGAAGGTGGCATCTGCAAACCAGGAAGAAGGTCTTTACCAGAAAGCAAACCCTGCTGGACATCGATCTGGGCTATTCCAGGCACCAGAAATATGAAAATTAAATTCTGTGGTTTCTGCCATCCAATCCAGTTTTTTTGGTGTGGCAATGCAAGCTGACTCATCCACTTTTCCCACTCTCTCTGAGCAGGATCAGCCTCAGGAGACCCTCGTGGACGTGGGGACCTGGTGTTGCTCCTCTTCCTCCTGCTTTTCCAATTCTCTGGTGAAGAGGGAGAACTCGGGCTTCACCTTCAGTTTCAGTTCTGTGTATTAAACATGAATTTAATGCAGTTTCTTTGCATTAAACATCCTTCAAGATGAAGTCTGTCGCCCATTTTGCTTGTTCATCAGAATTCAGTCAAACTGAATGAAGTAGTTATTTAGAATTAACACTTGGGGATGTTCATAATTGTTCCCCACTTATGTGACAGTTGGGATATTGTGCGGTGCTCATCTCCAGGCCCCTCCCTGTGTTCCAGGAGACAGGGTCACTGTCACCAGCAGAGCCAGTCACGGAAATAACAGTGTCCTAGCCTAGCTCCACAGGAAATAAGGGCTGACGCTGATCTCCTGCTGGCTCCCACTGCCCCCTGGACACGATGCCCGCCTGGGTCAAGGGGGTGAGTCTGGACAGACGTCACTCTGGCCATCAACAGCCTAACTACCTTCATGACCTCCCATTGTGAACAGAGTCCCAGAAGTTGCTTGAGCCATGAAAGTTGGACAGAGAAATCCCACATCACTGCAGTCAGAGGGGGGCTGTGAAAAGACCGTGGGGGGGGGTTTCATACTATGATCATGCAGCACTGAGCCATGGCTGCCACTCTGTCTGACGGGAGCCCCCGGGGGAAGATCCACTCACACTGTGCTCTAGAGGTCGTTTTTGTCACCATCTTGGTTCTAGCTGGTTTGGGCCAGTTTCTGTAGCGCATCCTCTTTTGTCGAGATCCTGTTCCAGTCAGCGTTGTCATGACCAATGTTGGGATCGGTGCTCAGAACACAAGTCCTGATGATCTCCTACCTTACACTCGCTGCCTTCTGTGAATCAGATATTCTGATAAGGATCCTGTTGGATCCTACTCGAATCAGGGGCCACACAGACCCTCACTGAGGGCTGAGGACCACAGGCATCTGAAGATAAGCAGAGGTCCAGAGAATGATAGCCCCTGACTGTCCTCTGTGAAGACAGCTTCTCCCCAGATGGCTGAGGACTATCTTTGGCTGTGTCCTTCTTTCTGAGTGATAATGAGGGATAGAGCAGGTCTCTAAGCCAAACCACAACATTTCAGGGACAATGATACCTATGCAGGCCCTCCTATGTGTGCTGCTCTAACCTAGACATAGGTGGCACTGGATACGCTTAGGGAAGTGAGGAGATTTATAATCAGAAGGAAGAAAGAGGGAACGAGAGGAGGAGAGAGAGAGAGAAGAGCGTGTGATGTGTGTATAGTACCAACACTGAAGAGTCATTCTATAATGGTTTAGTGCTGAGTATGGTGCTCAAATGATCAGGCTGTATTCCATGGAAACTATACAGGTACCTTTCACAGGAAAAGAGCCTTTGCACATGAAATTAAGGATTATAAAACAGGCAGATTATCCTGTATTGACCAGGTGGGCCCTAAAGGGGCCTGTCTTTGTTAAATGTCATTTTTAAAAATCCTGCAGAAGAGAAGGCCATCTGAAGACAGCAACAGAGATTGAAATGATTTGGACTCAAGCCAATGAAAGCTTAAACCAACAAAAGCTAAGAGAAGTAAAAAAAAATAGACTTGCCCCTGGAGACCCTGGAGCAGCTTTGTCTGATGACAGCCTGCTCCTGGCTGCTGAAACTGATGCTGGACTTCTGGCCTCCAGAACTATAAGAGAATATATTTCTATTTCTTTAAGCTACCAAAGTTTTGGTAATTTGTTATAGCAGCCCAAAAATACTAATACAAATGGGGCTTAGAATAAATCCAGCCTAAAGGTAGTATAATGATTGGGAATCTCCACGTTCGATTCTCTAATGTTACACATATTAGAAGATTTTATGAGGAAATAGCGTACAGGAAACCCCACGGTGTATACTGGAGCATCTGTTAATTATATAATAAATGTTGATAATTCTTAGTAGAGCATGACATCTGGGTAGTAATATCTTATCTAGAATCTTCATTCTAAGATATTCAAGGATGCAGAAAAGGGGCCCTAAGTAGTCTTTTCATACATATATATGCATAGATACATTTCCTGGTGCATCAACTAGAGAAACCTTCAGGACAGCCCTTGATATCCTTGGTGCTACTTTTCACAGGTGAGTAAACTGTTCATCAGAGCACAGGGGTGGTTTGCCCAAAGATACATGGCCAGCAATTATCAGGGCTGAGCTTGGAACCCAGCTTAAATATGTCGCTTCCACATGGCCACATTTGTTCCATGGAGGAATGAATGGCTTTTAAACTCAGAGAAGAGACAAAGCCGGAAGGGTGGTGTGGAATTCTCAGCAAGCGCCTTGCTACCTCTGAACCTTGCCATGATTACCACAATTATAAACTCAGGCCTTTCTGCAGTTTTGTCCACATAGCAAAACTTCCTCCAAGTCTTTAAAATTTAAATGTCTTTCTTTCAGATTTGAGGGCAGGAGCACATCTCGCATTGCCCTGAACACTTTGCTTCTTTTCTACCATCCTCATCTCCCTGAGCCGGCTCTTCCCTCTCAAAATGTGTCCTATCAATCTGATTTCTTCTCCTAATGTGAAAACAAATGAACAAATAGCCCCCTACTTTTGTCATCTCCAGAGAACACAAGAGCTAATCACATACCCAGAGAGTATGAGAGTTTAAAGGATTTATCCAAGAGCTTTTACACATAAGAAGTATTCTGCTGCTAGCCCTCTTCACAGTGAAATGCCTGTGTGTCTTGTTAAAACTGACACTAAAAAATGACAAGATAGAGCCATTTTGAAGAACGGAGGGTGACCATTCCAAGATAATTCAGGTGTTTCCTAAATTTTCTAAATATCCCTATGCGTTAAAAAAAAGATTTGACAAGAATTCAGACCATACCGTCCAAGAAAGAATGTTTTTCTGCTTTCTTAGGTTGGCTCTTTCAGGGATAATGATGCCTATGCAGGCAGCATGTTTATAATGCACAGGAAACACGGGGAGGAAACAAGGCAGTGAAGGAGGAAAGAAAGGAGGGACTCCAAAAGTCTCCTCAGCAAAGAGCTACCGCTGAGGATGGCTGGAGCTCAAGCCCACGTGGAAACAGGGGAAAATGTCTCAGTATTATTCCAGCTGAGAAGAGAGGGAGCTGGGGTATATACACCTCTCCTGTCCTCACTGATTGAGGGCTTTCTGAGAGGATGCTCATTCCAGGTGCTGTGAAAGGCCATGTGTGCAGGCAGGGCTGCCTTCTCCAGTTTGACATAGAGCAGTGAGGAACAGATATGGCCATGGGGAGTCAGCAGAAGTACAGCAAAGGGGAAAGGCAAAGGGTAGCAAGAGTGACTGCTACATTCACCTCCCCGCACAAAAAAAATGTGTGTATTTCAATCCAGAGCTTCTTCTCTCTGAACCTAAATCTTAGCAAGCAGTTTGCCAGTAATTTCCCTTGAAATTCAGGCCCCTGGAAAGCAGCAGGAGATCTGGGTACAGGCTATACCACTGTGGTCTGCTCACTCTTAGTGATGCGTGAGTAATGCTCCCTGGACTCCCCAGGTTCTAGTCTTCTCATGTCGATGTAGTTGATTCCACTTCCCTTGCTGCACAACCAGGCTGGGATGCCTGGGCAGAGGCAGACATGTGAGGTATAGGGGTTCAAATCTGTTTCCAAGTTTTATCCAGATCCCAAGTATTTCTTCACGTACATGGGCGGTGGCTTGGCAGGAGATGCAGATTCTCTCTCCTGGAAGTGAGGCAAGGAGGCTGGCGTCTGGGTAAGGATGATGTCCCCACATACTGCTAAAGAGTCAAAGAGGAAAGTGGCATCGATGGTGCAGGGCAGAGACATGCACTGAGTAGCTGCTGCCCTCACTGAAGAGAAAGTGTTCACTGACTTGGCCTTTCCCCAGGGCCTCTCCCTCCCCTGCTTTCCAGAAAGCCCAGTTTTTTGGGAGCTGTACCTGAACACCTGGGAACATTCCGGTGGGAAAGGCAGCTCAGAGCATTAGCAATGGTAAGTTACCTTGTTCTTCTTCCTGTGGAGACAATTGATCATATGGGTCAGCAAGACGGAGGTGCTGTCCATTTAGTCCCTGGTTATTACAGAGACCTATAGCTCTGGATTATGGAAGATCTGTGAGTGGCACAGGCATTGAGGAATCACAGCATCATTATTGTGCATCTGCAGGGAATGGCTTGAAAATAGACTGGTAATAACAAATGTTTCAGGTCACTACAAAATACCTTTGAATATTTAAATATGCTTCTGACAAAGACTTTTTTCCCACATGAAACAATGGGAGCAACGTGACAATCACAGAGGTGTTGTTAGTATAACAAAGGGATTGTCACTCCCACAATGTCCACTTAAATAACTTGAAGACCTGATAGCCCCATTCTCTAAGACATTATCAGACATTCCCTACAAATGGTCATACTCTCCTATATACTCCCGATACAACTCTAAAATATATGACTCCATGTAGTCCCTAGGTTTGAATTAAATTTTGACTTTTTTCTCCCAAAATATCTCTTGTCGAAACAACGGATGTAGAGAGAAATACATTCCCTCCAGGCAAATCTGTCAGGCCTGGTCTGACCTGGGACCCTGCGGACACTGCCCCTTTGCTGAGTTACCGAGATGAGCCAGCCCCGTGGCTGTGCCCAGCCTGCCCCATCCCCTGCTGATTTGTGTGTCCTAGAGCGCAGCCCCCTGCCCTGAAGACTTCTTAATAGGCTGGTCACACCCTGTGCAGGAGTCAGTTGCAGTCAGGACACAGCATGAACATGAGGATCCCCGCTCAGCTCCTGGCCTTCCTGCTGCTCTGTCTCCCAGGTAAAGAAGGAGAACACTGGGAAGTTAGCCACCCAGTGTGCTCAGTACAGCCTGGCTCTTCAGGGAAATCCTCGCATAACATGGTGAAAAGTGTAAATATTTGTTTTTGTATTTCCAACCTGAGATGCCAGATGTGACATCCAGATGACTCAGCCTCCATCCTCCCTGTCTGCATCTGTAGGAGACAGAGCCACCGTCTCTTGCCAGGCTAGTCAAAGCATTTACAACTATTTAAATTGGTATCAGCAGAAACCAGGGAAAGCACCTAAGTTCCTGACCTATAGGGCATCCAGTTTGCAGAGGGCGATGCCATCTCAGTTCAGTGGCAGCGGATATGGAAGAGATTTCACTCTCACCGTCAGCAGCCTGCAGCCTGAAGATTTTGCAACTTATTAATGTCAACAAGAGAGCATTTTCCCTCCCCCAGTGTGACAAGTCATAACATCAACTGCTAGGATAGCAGATGAGTGAGGCCGGGTTGCCCTAGATGCCCCTCCTAGTGCCTCAATCTGCTGAGTTGTTTTCCAGATGCAGCCAAGTTTTGAAGGTCGTCTGGAAATTTTGGTAAATTGTGATGAGGTGGCTCCTTTGCACCCACTCTCTTTCCTCCTCATCCCCAGAAGCAAAGACATGAAATGCGAGTCCTGATTTAATAAAGAGATTTAACCACCTGAGGAGTCTGTTATGGGATGATTGGAATTCTTGTAGCAAAAGAGAAGCCACTCTAGCCCTTCCAAGCAGGAATCGTTTTAATTTATGAAATCAGTGTCTAAACTACAGCTTTTCAAGGCCTGGTTGATGTTAGTCACGGAAGCAGATACTAGAGACATGATTCTCTGGTGCTCCTGCAGAAACCAGGGTGCACCCTACCCTGCAGGTGTGAGCTGCCTAGCCACATGGTCCTTGGATCTGTCTGAGAAGCCCAGAGTGCAGGTGCTGATGCTCTCAGCCTCCTGCAGTATGTCTCTAGGTGATTCTCTAGGTCTCAACTAAGTCCACTTGTCTGTCTGCAGGTGTCAATGAGCATTGAATCATTCTCTTCTGACTTCCAAATCTCGTGGAAGGACCCCTCAGTGAACAACTCTACAGGAAAGTATAGAGGGAAAGGTGGTTCTGAAGAATGCGCTTTCAGAAGTGATGGTGATAATGAGGAACTGACAGCTGAAAGCCCAACATGGTCAGTATTTTCACAAAATAGTGAAAACTTTTGCCAGTTATGCATGGCCTCAGAATACATTTGAATATACTTGCACTTGTCACATAGCAACATAACTTTATTAAGTCATAGACACAGCTTAAAAATCAGGAAATTGTATGACATACATAACAATCATTTTACAAACAAATGAAAAATATTTCTTAACAAAGAAACCAAAACAACAGAAAAACCTGAACATTGGTGTAACCTTTTTTAAATTATGAAAATTCTTTGCTACTCAACATGTATCCAGAATCCAGCAGGATCATTAGCACACTGAGAGCATGATACATATGCTAAATAGCAGAACGACCTTCAGTTCACTGAATGAGAACCTTTGTTTAGCCATGGTAGTTGATAACAGGTGACCTATAAAAGGTTTAAGAAGCTATGTTCTATGTGATATTTGTTTCAGCTAAAGAGATACCGTGGTGGTGGGCACCATTGGCCCCAGCTACCAGGGAGGCTGAGGCAGGAGAATCGCTTGGACCCAGGAGGTGGAGGTTACAGTGACCCAAGATCATGTCACTGCCCTCCAGCCTGGGTGACAAGAGCAAACTTCTGTATACTATTATGGCAATGAGGCTATTTTTAAAAATTTCAATGGAAAGCCACATGTTGCAGCCACACCCAGCTTTATTTTCTAATCCATGCAACATGACATTTGAAAACAATTGGAAGATTGTAAAGTTGGAGAAACATAATGATCTGTCCATGGAATAATAAAATGCTTTGATGTTTAAATGGAGGAAAAGTTTGTAGGAACCATAATAATTACCAAGGTGAAAGAATAACTTAAAATTGTGTGTATCTGTGTTCAAAATTATTAGACTTCATTCACCATTTCAACTTGGTTTGGGGAGGTTGCCCACTCCTGCTGCCTTCATCAGAATATGGTGCCTGGGTAGATACTGCCCTTTAGCCTTGACCTCAGATGAACACAATCCATAGGTTAGAGACAAGCTCTGCTCCCTGCAGCAAAACCACCCAGCTGAGCCCTGTCTTGAAGAGTCATGTTAATACTAAAATGATCATCCAGAAACACGATAAAACTTGATGTAATACACTGACTTTTAAGTAGTTGGTTATCAATCATCATTGTGCAAAAAAAGTGACCAATGTAATACTTACACATTCACCCATATAGGATGTATCTTATTATAATTAGTGGCAGAAGTATAAATATTTGGTAATGTATTTATAAAGCTACCAATGAGAAATTTAAAAAGAAATTTAAAAAATTATATATAAATAAAAAGTGTAAAATTTACCTTATTTATGGAAACTCCACATATATATATATAAACATTAATGTAGGTACATATATATATATTTATTTGATAAATAGTTGGGTGCGTGTAGTTCCATATGCATATATTCATGTCTAAATAAGGCCATTTACATATATATATGAGAAACATATGCATATTTACAAAATGTTTTAATAAATTAAATCTCTTAAGATAATTCTATTTATTCCTCATCAAAATAGTTGGTTTCTAGAACCAGATATAGTACCTGCTCTGGCTATAGGAATGTCCTTGAAATTTGATGTATTTCTAAAACACTCACCAAATTCATGTGTCACCTTAAAATATTTTTCTAACTTACTTGAGGTGCCAAAGAGTATGAATGGAGATGATTTTCCCTAATGTTAAAAATTATATCCTTGTCTCCTAGGTAAGTCCTCATTCTTTGTATGTCTACAATGATGCTATTCTGGACAGAGTTCTATCCATGGATGCTGGGCTGATGTCACATCATTCTCACAGTCAAGGATGGCCTGGAGAGTAAAAATCATAACAGTGAGCAAAGTGCAAGTGTTATATCCTTGTTCATTTTGCAGAGGGAGATCAGCCATTCAATGACATTGTCTATGGGTTTGAACAAATCATCAGACCTTAGAAAAAACAGAACAGAGGATTAGAGACAAAGTCATGGTGGAAGAGCCATGAGTAGACCTTTCAAAATGGGCCAAAAGTTGCCTAATCTATGGGGTAGAGAGCAAGTTGATCACGTAACTTGCTCAGGAAGAGCTTTTTGGGGTTGTGAAAATACTTTATATCTTGACTTTGGAGGTGGTTAGAAGGATTATTTATTTGCAAAAATTCATAAAAACTGTACATTTAAAAATCAATGTGATTTATTTTAACTATTATTATCCTCAATAAAGATAGTTAACTATATGTAGTCAGGGAGCTCAAGGTGCAACTGAGTAATGCTGTCCTCACATCTTCTATTCTTGCAGTGGACTGCAACTGTGTGAGCAAGAATGTCTGGGAGATTGCCTCAGACCTAAGAGTAAAGAGCTGTGTCTCTCTGGCAAGAGCCCAATTTTCTTTTTACTTTGATTTTGTCTTCTATTGGATGAGAATTTAAATAATTCTCATAGATTAGATCAAAGTAGCGGCTTTTTCATGTACACTTATTATTTATTGAAGCTAAAATTCCAAGCAAAATAAAAACTTATTCCAAAAGTGAAGAAAAGTTTTCACCTGTGAATTGCCACTACTCTTCAGCTTGGGAAACACAGCAAATCCTTGTCTCCAAATTAAAAGAAAAAAGGAAAATAAAACATTTAAATAAAACAATATAAATTTTTTTCTAAAATTAGTTAACTAAGCCTGTCATACCTTTCGTTTTATGACCATCACTCAGAAATTGCTATTATTAAAATTTACCTGAGTTTTAAGCATAAGAGCTGTAATGTGGCTTGCTACACCTGTTTATTAAATAGATAGAAATATACTGACATTCAATTTTATAGGCATACATAATTCAATATAGGGCTACATACATATGTAGCTATATACAGATATGCATTCATATATACATATATGTGCATTAACACACATATATGTACATTTACATATATACAGATATAGATATATTTAGATATCTATAAATACCTATATAGATAGATAGATATTTCAAATATGTATATATATATATGAACTACACATTACACATATATGTGCTTTTTATGCTTTTTATATCTGTGTTCATGTCAGATGCAGGAATTAATTTTTGTTTCTAATGCTTTTATTCGTTTTGGAAATGAAGTTTATTGTGACCACATATAATAATTCTGGAAGCATTTCCTTCTTTTTAATTCTCTTGAAGTTTGTGTAATTTTCACAAGGTTGGTTCCAGTAAACGAAACATAAGATGGAAATTTTCCTTATAGAAAAGTTTTCATTATAGAGTTCCTTTTAGTTTAGTGAAAATAGTTGCCATAATTTATTTCATTGTATTCTACTTTTATGTGTTTGCTATCCTGGGCTCTGTAATAATTTTCCCTTTTTAAATTATAGATTGTGTATTTTGCATCTTTTCTCTGTCTTTTTTATCCACCTTTCCTGCTTCATGAAGCAGCCATGGGGTTTAACTCCTTCCGGGTAATTTTTCTGAACTTTTACGCTCTGCTTCCCTTTTAAACGTAAGTTCCAATTCCAAACCATAACTTTGTAAGTGCATAAAACTGAAGGCTTTAAAGGGCACCCAAGTCATCACTTGAAGGTTTTGCTGCTTTGAAATTTATTTGGCCAGATACCTTAAATTAGGTCTCTCAGGTTCAAAGTTCCACAGATATTTAGGGCAGGGACAAAATGCTGCCAGTCTCTTTGCTAAAGCATAGCAAGAATCATGTTTATTCAAGTTCCCAATAAATTTCTCATCTCCATCTAAGACCACCTCATCCTGGACTTCATGGTCCATATCACTATCAGCATTTTGATCAGAGCCCCTCAACAAGTCTCTGGGAAGTTCTGAACTTTGCCACATCTTTCTGTCTTCTGAGTCCTCCAAACTGTTCCAACCTCTGCCCATTACCCAGTTCTAAAGTCGCTTCCACATTCTCAGGTATCTTATAGCAATCCCCCACTACCTTGATACCAATTTACTGTATTAGTTCATTTCCACGCTGCTATGAAGAAATACCTGACACAGAGTAATTTATAAAGAAAAGAGGTTTAATAGATTCACAGTATGACCCAGGAATTCCACTCTTCTCTATAGACCCAAGAGAACTGAAAACATATAGTCAAATAAAACTTGCACATGAATTCTTATAACAATGTTATTTATGATAGCCAAAAAGTGGAAACAACCCAAATGTCCATCAGTGCATACATGCAACAACGTGGATGAACCTTGAAAACATTAAGTTAAATGAAAGAAGCCAGTCACAAAAGGTCCCACAGTAAATTATTCCATCTCTATGAAATGCCCAGAATAGGCAAATCTATAGAAGAAGAAGGTAAATTAGTGGTTGTCAGGGGCTAGGAAGGAAGAGGATGGGAAATGGCTGCAAACAGCGTGAGGTGTTTTGGGTGGTGATGGAAACATTCTGCAGTGACATTGTGGTGATGGCTACACAACTCTATAGTAAAAGCCAACGAGTTGTTTACTTAAAGTGGGTGAACTTTATGCCATACAAATTATATCTCAATACAGATTTCTTTAAGTCTTCAAGAAGCCCTCTGGTAAAGAAATCAGCCTAACCCAGCCCTGAACTCATCTGACCACCAAAGCTTTTCCTCACATTGGCACCCTGAGAAACTGGTATTCTGAAGAACGCGCTTTAGGAAAAACTGCTTTAGACAACAGGAATTTGGTAAGAAGAACTTTGTTTCTGTGAACACATATTTGCATGTCAGGGTACATCCTTTTGTATTTTATTTATATTTAGTGTGTCTATGTCTTGTCTTCTTGGTAGCTTTACAAGAATTTCGAGGAGAGAAAGTATGATTTTGTCTCTTTGAATTCCTACTTCTCACCACCCATAATGTGGTGCACACATAAATATCTGTAAATATGCAGTTAGAACTTTGCATCACTAATGAGTTAATTAAACTATTCAACAAAGCCAAAAATACATATCATGGACCCTCGAGTGCCAGGCACAGTTTCGGGCACTGGGGATACAAAAATGAGGGAGCTTACGGTTTAGTCTGAGACCAGGCCAGGAGCCGCGCAGTAGAGGCACCTCTCCCTGGGGTGTCTGAAATCATTCCTGTGAACTCTAAATACCTGAGACAGGGCTCAGTCAATTTAAGAAGTTTACTTTGCCAAAGTTAAGGATGCTCCTGTGACACAGCCTCAGGAGGTCCTGACGACATGCACCCAAGGAGGTCAGGGTACAGCTTGCTTTTACACATTTGAGGGAGACACGAGCCATCAATCAATATGTGTCACATGTACATTGGTTTGGTCTGGTAGGGTGGGACAACTCAAAGTTGGGGCTTCCAGGTCAGAAGTAGATAAGAGACAAAAGGTTTCATTATTTTGCATACTCGATCAACCTTCCACTGAATACACAATTTAGTCTGGCTCAGTGAATCTGCATTTTTACATCAACAATAGGGCAGAGGAAGCAATTAGATATGCATTTGTCTCAGGTGAGCCTCAGAGAGATGACTTTGAACAGAATGGGAAGTAGGTTTGCCCTAAGCAGTTCCAAGCTTGACTTGTCCCTTTAGCTTAGTGACTTTGAGGTCCCAAGATTTAGTTTCCTTTCACATTCCCAAAGCACATTTGTCATGTAGTAGAAATTATTGAACACCTTAATGGAGGCACCGTGTTTGAGATTCACTCCCTTGCTATTGAAAAGCAGACACAACCAATTTCTTCTTCATTGTTGGAAAAGGTTGCTTTCCCTTTGGTTGGGCACCAGTGGAAGACTTGCACTGAACAGCTATTTTGGCCAAAACTATGTCTCTCAAAGGTGAGTCCCACTGGGGCAAATCCAGGTGCTCCTGGTCTGAGCAGCCTGTAGGAAGGACAGGCGCAGATAGAGCAAGGGATGCACCCTCCTCTACCGTCCACTCCGCATCCACCCTGTGGTATATCTAGGGTGGCACACAGAATGAATGGCACTGCCTAAATGACTTTTTCTTTATTTAAAAAATTTACTGCATTTGCTTAAGCATGTACGTGAGCTTGTCCTGTGACTCCCCAGTCCCGAAGCTCAGCTGAATATCTGAACACTGGGCTTTGAAAAAAAGAAAGTGACCCTGGAGACCAAAAGGACAGCTGGCTCATAGGAAAGCTGCTCATGGCAGGCAAAACTGGAGGGCAGAGAAACGCACTAACCTTGGTTGATACAGTTTAGATATTTGTTCCCTCCAAATCTCATATTGAAATGGGATCCCCAGTGTTGGAGGTGGGCCCTGGTGGGAGGTGTTTGGGTCATGGGGGAGGATCCCACATTTGGGCATGAAAGTACAAATGCCTGTTCCCATTTAGGGCTGCGGGTTTCCAGACTTGAGGGTGGGGGCGTTTGCTGGGGAACTGCCCTCTTCCACCCAGTATTTCCTTGACTCTTGTCTGTATCACCAAGATAACACACTACAAATATGGGAAGGAGCTTGGAAAGAACCATGGGAAGAAACTTGATGTGATCACAGCACCCCCAGTGAGGGCAGGCGCTCAGCAGGGCAGCTGTCTCTGAGTTAGCAGCATCAGGAAGCCTCCCCTGGAAGACACTGGCTGCAGGACGAGGCTGCCAGCCTCCACCAGGGACATCTGGAAGCCACTCTTGCTGGCTTCTGTGGAGGCCAAGGGCAGCCTTCTTGGCAGGCTGCCAGCTCTCTGGAGGCTCTTGGGGCCCATCCTACCCTCAGGGGACCTGGCAGGAAGGTCAGCTGACTGCTCCTGGGTCACTCACGGATGCCCCCTTTTTATGCCCCAAAATGAATCTGAAGAGAAGAAATCCTAGCCTCTGCCAAGCGCTGTCGCCCAGCATTGCAGCCTGAACACATCCAAGGGGCCTGATGAGCAGCACCTGGTCCCCCACTGGCTCAGACGCTTGAAGCTACTGAATTTACATGTAATTAAAGACTCGAGTGCAGACCGCATTTCAAAACAGACACTTGGTCAGAGATAGGAGGCCTTCCCCATCAGATGGTTTTGTTTTGCTTTCTCTCTGCATATGGGCCTTATAATTTGCCAAGGTAAGGTTACAGGGGCCACAGTTGTTTTGTTTGGAGATGAGAAAGCTCAAGAATGACCTAACTCTGTCTTCAAATATGCGGAGGCATTTATTACAAGGAGGGAATGGTTGGCTGTTTTCTTCTTGAACTGCAAGAAAAGGTGGCTCAGCTGAAATCCTGAAGACCTGCACACATGGCCGCCACACGCAGCCCTTCCCCAGAGCACCTTGCATGTAGGAAGCACTTCTTGCCCTAAAGCCTAGGACTGCCTGCCTTTGAGAAGGAAGCTTAGGCCTTGACCATGGTTGAGGAAGGAGGCCCCAGTATCTATTTTGGAGAAGTCTAGTAGGTTCTGCCTGGTGGCTGGCAGCCAGGACACTGACTTTATGGCAGAGGCTTCATTATTTTAAAAAATTAAGGATCCTCAGTGAGGGAGGCCTTATTCATGGCAGGGCCCTTTGTGTGGCTGATAGGTGGGGCATCAAAGCTCTGGCACAGACGTGGCTGAGCTGAACTCCTCTGAATCATAGAGGTGGGGAATATGGAAGCCTATAGCTATGAGAAAGTCCAGGAGGAGACAGGAGAAGCTTTTACCCGTCCAGAAGGAGGGGCAGCTGAAGGAAGGAGAGAGGGAAGAGGGTGGTCCAGTGCAGGCACAGAAGGTTCCAAACAGGCTGCACCTGCACTGGACCACCCTCTTCCCTCCTTCTTTCAGCTGCCCCTCCTTCTGGACAGGTAAAAGCACTTCCGTCTTTTCAGTGTCATGGAGGGAGCCCGAGAAGAGCAAACATTGACATCACCACCGCTGCCCACAGCAGTGACACCACGGGCACACTTTTAAAAGGGTCGTATCCTGGACCGGCACTTCCTCAACTCTCTCTGTCCTAAAGCCTCTGGAGAGCCCTTAAATTTGTGGTCCTTGAAGCTATTGTAAAGGTAAGATCTTTTTTCTCCCCAAGTCCTACTCATCCTGACTTTTCAAGTTTGTGGTGTCTCTGATAATCTCTGCTCCTGTTCTTTGAGACCATCCCCGTCACTCTCCACTCTCCCACGTGACACCTGTAAAGTCTCTTCCAGGGATCTGGGGCTGCATTCCAGGGTCTCTTTGCTCTGAGCTCTCTGAGGCCTCAGGCTGTCATAATAAATCAAATGGCAGGGATCTTCTCCAACATCATCCTTCTTCCTTCTGCTTTCCTACGAGGGTGGCAGGTTCAACGTGTCTGTAGAGGCCTCGCTGTGTGAGGGTCTGAAGGGAATTTCCAATTTGATGCAGGGGAAGGAAGGGAGAGAGAGACTAAAAATTGGTTGATGGCCACCATGTGCCAGGTGCTCCCAATACAGTCTCAAACTCATGACATCTCCCAGCCAATGGATTCACCCCCTTTACCAGTTCCACCTGGAGCTCCATCTCCCAGACAAGCAAAGGCCATGTTGGGGGGCTTTGGAGTCAGCTGCCTGCCATTTCATCTCAGGTGTTACCGTGGGAAAGTTGTTTAACCTCTTTGAGCCTCAGTTCCCTCACATGTAAAATGGACCTACGAGTTTCTCACACAGGGTTGCCCTGGGGCCAGGATTGCCAGATAAAATATAGGATGCCTGGTATAAAAGTTGCATGGGACAGACTTATACTAAATATGCTCCCCAAATTGTTATAGCTCTAAAATATTATGGCTCCAAATCAAATGTCTGAACTCTATGAGACAGAGCAAAAAGCACGAACACAAAGAAGTAACAGGGTCAAGAGAAAAGAGCATGCACTTGGAGGGCAGACATCCAGGAACACCATCTCTGCTCTGTGTCAAGCCAGGCTGTCACTTTAACTGATAATTAAATGCTTCTGTGCCTCGCTGACTCCTCTGTGCCATAGGGACCTAAAGAGAGGCCCTACCTCCCTCACACGGCACAGCTAAGTACTTTGAAAACATTAAAAGCATGAAAACAGTATGTTTTACTCTCTATCCGGGATGGGCCAGGAGCAGTGGCTCACACCTGTAATCCCAGCAGTTTGGGAGGCTGAGGCAGGCAGATCACTTGAGGTCAGGAGTTCACGACCAGCCTGGCCAATATGGCGAAACCCTGTTTCTACTAAAAATACAAAAATTAGCTGGATGTGGTGGCAGGCTCCTATAATTCCAGCTCCTCAGGAGGCTGAGGCAGGAGAATCGCTTGAACCTGGGAGGCAGAGGTTGCAGTGAGCTGAGTTCGCACCACTGCACTCCAGCCTGGGTGACAGAGAAAGTCTCCATCTCAAAATAAGTAAATACATAAATATAAATACACAGGATGTGTGCAGTGATATGCCAGGAAGTTCATAGAGTGTCAGTTTTCATCTCTCCCTCCTGCACCAAAAAGCAAACTCATCCATCTAAGAGCACTCAAGACTGAAGGAAACCTTTACAGAAAAATCTAGCCTGTTCCTTCTAATCAGCAGGACTGCACTGAAACCGTCATGGAGATTGGCATCCTTTTCTCTTTCTGAAGACCTCTGGGGAGGCAGATTCTACAAACAGCCTTGGCAGCTGATGTGCTAGCACAGTGTAGGATAACTTATAAATACAGTCAGAGCCAAGGAGGGCCTCCAGAATGCAGCCCAGCATGGTGTGCACTCGTGGAGCCCTGACATACAGCTAAGGAACATTCTGAAAACTCAAGCCATCCCTCTCATCACTCCTCTTCCTTTTAATTGCAATTGACCCTTCAGAAATCAAGTAAATTAAGGGGGAGGGGAAAGAAGAATTTGTGCTAGTAAGACAGATTCCGAAGAATGTAAAATGAAATAATACCAAACACACAGAAATAGAATACTTTAGGCAGAAAGAAAGGGATGAAGAGGTAGAGGGAAGCATTTTTCCTCCCAGTACATAGTAGGTCCTCAATAAACATTTGTTAAATGAATGCATTCTTAGGAAGGACAATCTGCTCATCCATATGAATGAGAAATGTTTTGCTGATACACTATTTGGAAGTGACTGTACTACAGCTGATTTAATGGTAAAGCCATCAAGTCTGCATTTCATCCTTCTACCTGGGTACTGGCTCCAAGAATCTGTTCTCTATCAACACATCAAGACCCTTGACTTAGAGAGCCTCATATACACAGCAGGAATAAAAGGAGAGGAGAAATAGAGAATGAAACTCAGCCTAACCTTCCTCATCTAGCCCTTTTCTAATTCATCCGGTACCTTTTCTAATTCTTCGCAAAGACACTGCGTAAGTTTTCAGAAGCTTTAGCTGGGCCACACCTCCAGGCTTCCAGGATTTGAAGAATTATGTCAATATAGAAACCAGTTTCTGGACAGCGAATAGCAAATCCAAAATCACTCTAAATTGGTGATTGTCAACCAGGATGGTTTTGCTCCTAGGGGACATTTGGCACCACCTAGAGACATATTTTTAAATGGTCACAACTAGCAGTTCTTATTGGCATTTAGTGGGTAGGGGCCAGGGATACTGCCAAAGTGCCTGTAATACACAGGACAGTGGCCCACAACAGAGAATTATCTCAATATCTCAGCAAGGAATTATGTCAACAAAGCCACAATTGAGAAGCACTGTGCTAGATTCAAATCTCTTCTACCGTGTCTTCTCAGACCAAAGTCTTACCCGTGACAACTTATAGTAACCTCTCTGCTTTGGTGTCCACACCTTAATCTACCAAGTCAACAGATATGTACCAAATGCCTATAGCTCTCTACCAGGCATGCAAGCAAGGAAAAAACAGCAACTTTCCTCAAAATAAAACCACAGAAGTTAGTCAGAAAAAAAAGCGCAAAACAGTGGGTACCTTCTCAAGGAAATAAACCAACAAAAAATCCAGACAGTAGCCAAGCACAGAAATGCATATAGTGTTTTCATCATTTCTGAGGAAATGAGTTAGAATATGGATGGCTCAGGCCTCCCGGGTTCAATCTGAAGTCTTTTTTTTTTTTTCTTTTCTTAAGGAAGCTAATAGACAAGAAATTGAGAAAGAATGAGTGGAGGCCGTTTGGTTTAGTATGTTCTCTGGAACACTGTTGCGTTTCCCCCGTAGAAAGAGTTTACAAATGGTAGTTCAGTTCCAGGTCAGCCCAGAAGAGCTTACTGGACAATAGTCCACCTGAGGTGCCAAAACCACAGGAGTCCGGGGATACACAAGCCCTGAGTTTTCTTGGAAGAAAGAAGGACAAAGGGATTATCTGTTTCTTTTCTCCTTAGACTCCCTAAGTCCCCTGCTCTACACCACCTCTCTCAGAGGTAAGAGTAATCCTAGAAAACCTTCAACTAGTTTTTTTGTTTTAATTTATAAGTAAAGTACATACAAATTAAAAATGTGCTCCTGGAAAAAAAAAAATCCCATCTCAGACCCATATCCTCAGGCTCTTTTCAAAGAGACAAAGTCACTGTTTATTACATTTCTTCCAGAAATACTCTCTGCATATACTCAAACGTATGCATGCATATATCACCTTTCAAATTATAGGCAGAAATGGAAGCATGCAGTCTGTTGTGTACTTTTTTTTCAACTATTTTAAGTTCAGAGGTACACGTGCGGAATGTGCAGGTTTGTTACATAGGTAAACGTGTGTCATAGTGGTTTGCTGTATAGATCAACCCATTACCTAGGTATTAAGCCCAGCATCTATTAGCTGTTTTTCCTGATGCTCTCCCTTCCCCCACCCCCGTGAAAGGCACCAGTGTGTGTTGTTTCCCGCCCATATGTCCTTGTGTTCTCATCGTTCAGCTCCCACTTATACATGAGAACATGAGGTATTTGGTTTTCTGTTCCTGAATTAGTTTGCTGTGGATAATGGCTTCCAGCTCCCACCACGTCCCTGCAAAGGTCATGATCTTGTTCCTTTTTATGGCTGCATAGTATTCCATGGGGCATATGTAACACATTTTCTTTATCCAGTCTATTATTGATGGGCATTTGGGTTGATTCCATGTCCTTGCTATTAGGAATAGTGCTGCAATGAACATACGCGTTCATGTATCTTTATAATAGAATGATTTATATTGCTTTGGGTATATACCTAGTAATGGAATTGCTGGGTTAAATGATATTTCTGCTTCTAGATCTTTGAGGAATGGCCATACTGTCTTCCATAATGGTTGAACTAATTTGCACTCCCACCAACACGTATAAAAGCATTCCTTTTTCATTGCAACCTCTCCAGCATCTGTTGTTTCTGGACGTTTTAATAATTGCCATTCTGACTTGGCATGAGATGGTATCTCACTGTGGTTTTTAATTTGCATTTCTCAAATGATCAGTGACGTTGAGCTTTTCTTCATATGTTCGTTGGCTGCATAAATGTCTTCTTTTGAGAAGTATCCATTCATGTCGTTTGCCCATTTTTAATATTTTTTTCCTTGTAAATTGGTTTAGGTTCCTTGTAGACCCTGGAAATTACACCTTCGTCAGGTGGAAAGATTGCAAAATTTTTTCCCCATTCTGTAGGTTGTCTGTTCACTCTGATGATAGTTTGTATTGCTGTGCAGAAGCTCTTAAGTTTAATTAGATCCCATTTGTCAGTTTTTGCTTTTGTTGCAATTGTTTTTGGTATTTTTGTCATGAAATCTTTGCCCATGCCTATGTCCTAAATGGAATTGCCTAGATTTTCTTCTAGGGTTTTCACAGTTTTGGGTTTTACATTTCAGTCTTTAATTCATCTGGAGTTGATTTTTGTATAAGGTGTAAGGAAGGGGGTTACAATTTCCCACATATAGCTAGCCAGTTCTCCCAGCACCATTTATTAAATAGGGAGTCCTTTCCCCATTGCTTGTTTTTGTCAGGATTGTTGAAGATCAGATGGTTGTAGGTGTGTGGTCTTATTTCTGAGTTCTCTATTTTGTTCCATTGGTCTATGTGTTTGTTTTTATACTAATACCATGCTGTTTTGGTCACTGTGGCTCTGTAGTATAGTTTGGAGCTGGGTAGCATGATGCCTCCAGCTTTGTTGCTTCTGTTAGGATTGTCTTCGCTATTCGGGCTATTTTGTTTTGTTTTGTTTTGTTTTTTGGTTCTGTATGAATTTTAAAATAGTCTTTTCTAATTCTTTGAAGAATGTCAATGGTAGTTTAATGGGAACAGCATTGAATCTATAAATTACTTTGTGCAGTATGGTCATTTTCATGATATTGATTCTTCTTATCTATGAGCATAAAATGTTTTTCCATTTGTTTGTTTCCTCTCTGATTTCCTTGAGCAGTGGTTTGTAGTTCTCCTTACGGAGGTCCTTCACTTCCCTTGTTATCTGTATTCCTAGGTATTTTATTCTTTTTGTGTCAATTGTGAATGGGACTTCATTTATGGTTTGGCTCTCTGCTTGCCTGTTGTTGGTATAAAGGAATGCTAGAGATTTTTGTGCATTGATTTTGTAAGTTGAGACTTTGCTGAAGTTGCTTATCAGCTTAAGAAGCTTTTGGGCTGAGATGATGGGGTTTTCTAAATATAGGACATGTCATCTGCAAACAGGGATAGTTTGCCTTCCTCTCTTCCTATTTGAATACTCTTTATTTCTTTCTCTTGCCTGATTGTCCTGGCCAGAATTTCCAATACTATGTTGAATAGGAGTGGTGAGAGAAGGCATCCTTGTCTTGGTACACTTTCTTTTTACCCATAAATCTACCTTACTTCTTTAACGGCTGCAGAATATCCCATGCTATGAATGTACCATTGGTATCAACATTAGGACAGTGACTAGGAATATTTTGAAAAACCAAAAGTTCATCTTTCTCCTCTTACTTACTACCTCTTGTCCCTACCCTTGTCCTCCATATAGAGCTGCCTTGAACCCTTCACCTTATCTCTCTTGACTGGTTTTACTCTATCCCCTTTCCCAAAGGAGTCATCCCCCAAAAGCATGGACTTTCTGACTCCAACCCAAAACTCACCTTCTTTCAGAGTGGCTGGCCTGACTTATTTTATTCCAAAAGAAAGTAATTTGATTCTAACTAATTATTATATGAATTACCACCAACTCCTTAACCCTCACATTTAGAAAGGAGATGTTAACTAAGTTGAACTCATCATTGGAATTCCAGAGAGCAACAACTGATTTAAAAAAAAAAACAAAAAAACAGAAGCTGTCAAGAGCATACAATTATGGGTTGGGATCAGCCATATTGGCTATTATCTCATGTCAGAAAATCTAGGCACAGAGAGCTTCCTCTAACTGATGATATTCTGGGCAATTTCTTCATTTCTTCTAGCTAAAAGTCCAATTACTTTTCAAAAGCTCTAAGGTTTTCCACAATACTCTTAGTAAGGGGCCTGGAAAGAGCAGGCCAGCTGTCTATAGGTATAGGCCATTCATAAATGGGTATCCGTAACATATGGACCCACCGTTCTGAGACTGGCCACGAGTCAATTGAGAAAGAGTATGCCATCACTTGCAGATGCCCACAGGAGAACTTGGACATACAGAAGAGGGATAACTGAGTTGAGACTGGAGTTGTGCAGAATATATGTGTGTGTGTGTGTGTGTGTGTGTGTGTGTATGTGTGTAACTACATAATATATTAATATACGTACAGACATAATTTTAAAAGAGCACAAATGGAAACACATACATAACACAAATGCAGTTACATTAAGAGTGGGGGCCAGAGGGTCCTTTTATCACCTACTGTCAGTGAAGGGATCCAAAATGGTCACAAGAGTCTTCTCCTGCCAGTTTCCAGGCCCTATCCTGACGGCAAACACCAGGACGGTGTCTTTAATCAGAGCTGGCCCAAGGCCCATCACCCTGTAATGTGAAAGCTGTCTACTTTAGCCAAACTTTTCGATCAGGACAGGTACTCTTCTTTTGAAAATCCAAGGCGGAGAGGAAAAACGGCTAGGTCTGAACCCTCAGGATGTGCCAGGGCAGTACAAGTGTGGATGGCATCAGATGGTAGGGGGCAGAGAGAGTACCAGGCCAGGGCGGAACTGCACTGAGGGCCATTAGGGCCTTTTGGGGGCCAGGTAAGTGGCCTCAGATGGTGACAGCTACATGGTCCTGGGTAAGTCTGTTCTGGTTGGTTTCATTTGGATCTGGAGGGTCCTACAGGGCAGCCCTGAAGAACATCAAACTGGAGGCACACAGAGTACCAGGCTCCAGGGTCTTTGCCATAAACATAAGAAGCAGGGAAAACAAGAGGCTGACTTTGACAAACTCTTGTGCACTCAAATGTAAAGGGCAGGAGAAGAAAACCAGGTCAGTGGGAGACAGTTGAACCCTGCCACCCCCGGTGGATGGATGATGCCTGTCACCTAAATAGGGCCTAGCTTGTGGGGTGAGGCCAGTCACCATGGTGGATGTGAATGGCCCATGTGCAATCTGGAGGCTACAGAGAGAGAGCCCTAGGCACAAGTTTCTCAAACAACAGAAGAAGAAATGACCTGGCATGTGAAGTCCGATGTATAGATGCCACTATCCAAGCACCTATTCTTACTGTAACCTTAAGCTATTATAAAAGCATCAGCCATCTTGCCTTTGAGTTCTTATATTTTGTATGCCTCATATACATTAATAAATCTGCCTGCCTCTCCTTGTATTCATCTGCCTTTTGTGGGTTGATTTTCAGCATCATTTCACAGGGTGAAGTGGAAGTTGGCTCTTGGCCCATGCAACACATCTATTCATAAAGAAATATAGATATATTTAATTACATATATGTATTTATACATATATAAACAACTATATGTACATATAAAACAAACATAAATCACAAACACAAACAAACACACTGATGTAAATGCATTTATGCAGGGGCCACTAGGCCCTCTTGCCACCTGCTGACAGGGAAGGGAAATGCGAAAGCTACAGGAGTCTTTCTCTGCCATATCCACGTGACCTTACAGTGATGGCAAACACTGGCCCAGCATGTTTTAACCAGACCCAGCCCAGGTGCCACCACCCTCCAGTGCGAAAGCTGTCCACATCCCTAGAATCTGGCAATCAGGATAGGTGCTCTCCTTCTGAAGACCTTAAGTAAGCACATGCGTGGAGTTCCGGTTCAAGTGGGTAGAGAAGAGGCTCTCCCCAGAGAGAAAGAAAGGTGAGGTCTGAGACTTCAGGACGTGCTGTGGGACAGTGTAAATATGGCTGAAGTAAGATGGCCAGATGCTGGAAGGACAGCGAGGCTGGGGAAGGCCTGCACTGAGGACCATTTATAACTTTCAGGAACCAGGAAAATGGCCTCAGACAATGAAGCCACCCAGTCCTGAGTAAGCCTGTTCTGGCCTTTTCATCTGGATCTACAGAACCCTACAGGGCAGGCCTAAGGAACACGTAAGTGTCAAGGAGCTGTTTGGGGAGCCAAGTCTATGAGGCTTCTTCCATCTGTATAAAACATATAGAAAACAGGGTTCTGGCCTTCTACACTCCAAAATAGGTGGCAGGTGAGGAAGAACAAGCCAGAGTAAGTCTTTTTCACACTGCCACCCAGGTGGACAGATAATGCCTGTCACCAAACTAAACCCTGGCTTGTGCTGTGATGTGGGGCTATTGTGGCAGATGTGAATGGTGCGTACACAAGCTGGGAAGCTACAGAGAGCCTTGAGGCCCCAAGCTGGGCATCTGGCCTTGGTCAGAAGCATTGCTAGCTTCTCAGCTGGGCTCTGCATTCAAAGGCTAGGCTGAGGAGTGTGTGGCCCTAGAAAAAGCCCTGTGTTTTCTGCTCTTAAAATCTCATGGAAGTAGAGACCAGATAGGACTTGAATGGAAGGCCACCCGATATTACCTGGTTCCATAGGCTTTTGTCATCCCCATTCTCCCCAGTACAGCCAGCCAACTCTCTCTGCTGTATCCTAGAGCACCAGGAGGCTAATAATCAGTGCTGGAGTGGGACACAGAGGATAAAACCAAGTCTCAGAGGTAAGTGGCTAGGCAGGCAGTGGCTCTTCTGCCTCATTCCCTCTGCATGAACATTGTGGGGAGGTGGTCTGGGTGATAGCCACCATTTGGAATCTCCCTCCTCCTCACTGAGGAATAGCAAGACCCTGACATCTGTGAGGACCCTACCAACATGGCCTCTGTGAGCAGTCACTCAGCAACCCACCACCTCTGCTCTGGATCTTTGGTACAAATTTTGATGATTTCTGGGGGTGCTGTAGGGCCATCACGTGCCTTCACAGTAAATGTGCAGGAACCAGGTTTTTTTTTGGCAGGAAGAGAAGTATTAATAGCAAGAACTCCTCAGCAGCAAAGCCTCATCAAGAAAGAATGAGTTGTGCTCAGGTGTTCCCTTCAAAAGTGCTTCCTCGCTGCTGCTTCTGCACCTCACTTGAGTGGCGAGAATCTTCTGTGAGGCAAGCCTCAGTCCTGTCTGCGTGGACACTCACCACCCAGCTGTCTCCATCAGAAAGTCTGGCCCAGGCCCTTTCCTGGGAACCAGAGACCCCTCTGCTCTTCTCCTCCAGACCCTGTGGAATAGCGGGGAAGAGGGGAAGGTGGAACATGAACTCTCTTCCTGCTCCTCCAGGATGCCAAGCCAGCTTCCGCTGCTTTTACCAACCTCACACTCCACCCCCTTCCTCTCCTTTATAAGCCCCTGGGGCCCTTCAAGAAACAAAACAAAACATTTTTTAAAATGTGCAGGTCCATTTTACTTCCACCCTGCCATGTCGCTTCCCTGAAGTAACACTGCATAAGTTCTTCCATCGGCTTGTTGGGGAGGAAGTTTCATCTGCTTGTGGAAAAGACAAGACAAACAAGGGATACCATTTAATATTTTAAAGACATACTATTTAAGGAAACCTATCATAAAGACACCGATTTACAAAGCCCACTATTTTGGTATAAATTTGTCAACCTAAAATAATCAAAGGACAAGAATCCCATTTTGAAGAGTTTATACCAGTGAAATGCTAGGAATGGCTTCTTAGCCTGTAAAGTGTAAGAGTGGAAGAAATAGTGCACTGAATTGAGTTCATCATCTCAGTTCGTCATTGGAAATCGCCTCTCATTTTTCTCTATTTTCCACCGTTTTTTACCTCACTTGAATTTTCTAATTTTTCCACATAGGTTTTTACTGTCATGTGCTTGATATATGGCCCTGGAGATGTCTTTGAAAGTTACATAATGCTGTGCTTTCTGTGCGCATCTTTTATTTTTATTTTTGAGACAGGATCATCTCACTTTGTCACCCAGGCTGGAATGCAGTGGCACAATCTCAGTTCACTGCAGCCTCAACTTCACAGGCTCAAGTGATCCTTTCACCTCAGCCCCCAAAAAGTAGCTGGGACTACAGGCAGGCGCCACCAGGCCTGGCTAATTTTTCTATTTTTAGTAGAGACGGGGTTTCACCATGCTGCCGAGGCTCATATTACACTCCTGGACTCAAGTGGTACACCCTCCTCGGCCTCTCGAAGTGCTGAGATTACAAGTGTGAGCCGCTGCACCCGGCCATGTGCGTATCTTTTAAATATACGTAAGTTATTTATGTCTAGATAGCCATCTGCTTCTTAGAATATGCTTAATGTATTTGCACATCATTTTAAGCCTACCAATGGTGCTTTGTGAGTATGTATTGTGCACATATGTACATAAATATATATTTCATGTGGAATATATAGTTCATATATGCATATTACATCATGAATTTGTTTATAATAGCTGTTCCATGTCTTATGCATGAAATCTCCAAGTAAAGGGCATCTAAATTCAGTACAATTAGAAGTAGAATAAACTGTTGCAAATAAGATCTTTGAAAATGTCCTCTGATAGACTTCTGTGGCTGCTTCTCAGGGGAATATACCCAGGATGTGATGGTCAGGACGTAAAGTATACACATAATAATTTTCCCTAAGTACTAAGAAAATAATCTCCAAAGGAGTCTGCATCCTTGAAGTAAAACATGAACATGCCCATATCCTCACATTGTCACTAATGTTTGGCGTAATCCAAATTTCTAAAGTTAATAAACAAATATAAAGTGTTATTTTGTGTCACTTATTAGGTCACTAATATTTCTGAGTTGCTGTTCACATATTTCTAACCCATTAAAGTTTCCTCTACTTTGAATTACCTCTTCATATTGTGTTCAGAGTCTGCATTTCCCAAGTTTTTTCTAGGTAATATAAGAGTACCTTAAAAAGGTATTATTACTGTTGTAGAAGGAGTATTATGTGTGTCAAAGGATCCTAGTTTCTTTTTAATATTTATTGAATATTAAATAATAAATATTTAATATTTATTAAATCCCATTTTCCCTTAGAACGCCACACAGTCAGCTGAGAACATTATCATTTACGTAAACACTACGTTTCTTAGCCTCCCTTGGAGGTCATTGCGACCATGGAACTAAATTTGGGAAAGTGAGATGAAGGCACGATTATTTGCCTGTGACTTCCAGGGTCTTTCCTTACAGGAGGGTATCTTTTGTCCTTTCTACTCCTCTTTCATTACTGCAGCTTGGATGCACTTACATTTCCTGGAGCTCCAGCAGCTCTATGTGACTATTAGTAAATGAGACATGCCCTAAGTAAAGCTGGGGGAGTGTGGAGTCCCAGTGGCTCATGAGGCACAGCTGCCACACCAAACCCGGATGGCCAAGCCTCTGTCTAATTTTGTGTGAGCAAGAAGTATACTAACTTGTTTAGGTGACTGCTATTTGGGAGCTCTTCTGCCACCTTCAATTGAGCCTCTTTTTTCACAAAATTATTGTTTATTCAATAAGAACACATTTATCTTGAAATACTTTGTTTTTTTTTAAACTTTTATTTTAAATTCAGGGGTACATGTGCAGGATGTGCAGGTTTGTTACATAGGTAAACGTGTCATAGGAGTTTTTTGTACATATTATTTCATCACCCAGGTATTAAACCTAGTATCCATTAGTTATTTTTCCTGATGCTCTCCCTCCTCACCCTCCATCCTCTGGTAGGCCCCAGTGTGCATTGTTCCTTTCTTTGCGTCCATATGTTCTCATCATTTAGCTCCCACTTATAAGTAAGAACATTTGGTATAATATTTGGATTTCTGTTCCTGCATTACTTTGCTAAGGATAGTGGCCTCCAGCTCCATCCATGTCCCTGCAAAGGTCGTGATCTTATTCTTACTTTTTATAACTGCATAGTGTTTCGTGGTGTATATATACCACATTTTCTTTATCCAGTCTATCACTGATGGGCATTTAGATTGATTCCACATCTGTGCTATTGTGAATAGTGCTGCAATGGACGTATGCATGCATGTGTCTTTATAATAGAATGATTTACATTCCTTTGGTTATATACCCAGTAGTAAGATTGCTTGGGTGAATGTTATTTATTTCTCTAGGTCTTTGAGGAATCATCACACTGTTTTCCACAATGGTTGAACTAATTTATATTCCCATCAACAGTATAAAAGTGCTCCTTTTTCTCCATAACCTTGCCAGCACCTGTTATTTTTGGACTTTTTAATAATCGCCATTCTGACTGGTGTGAGACTGCATGTATGTCTTCTTTTGAAAAGTGTCTTTTCATGTCCTTTGCCCACTTTTTAGTGGGGTTGTTTTGAATTTGTTTAAGTTTCTTTTTTATTTTACTTTATTTTATTTATTTTTTCTTTTCTTTTCTTTTCTTTTCTTTTTTGAGATAGAGTCTCACTCTTTTGCCCAGGCTGGAGTGCCGTGGTGCAGTCTCGGCTCACTGCAACCTCCGCCTCCTGGGTTCAAGCAATTCTTCTGCCTCAGCCTCCCGAGTAGCTGGGATTACAGGCATGCGCCACCACGCCCAGCTAATGTTTATATTTTGACTAGAGATGTGGTTTCATCATGTTGGCCAGGCTGGTCTTGAACTTCTGACCTCAGGTGATCCTCCTGCCTTGGCCTCCCACAGTGCTGTGATTACAGGTGTGAGCCACCATGCCCAGCCAAGTTTCTTACAGATGCTAGATATTAGACCTTTGTTAGATGCATAGTTTGCAAAACTTTTCTCTCATTCTTTAGGTTGTCCGTTTACTCTGCTGTTAGTTTCTTTTGCTGTGCAGAAGCTCTTTAGTTTAATTGGATCCCATTTGTCAATTTTGGCTTTCGTTGCAATTGCTTTTGGCATCTTTGTCATGAAATCTTTGCCCATGTCTATGTTCCGAGTGGTATTGCCTAGGCTTTCTTCTAGGATTTTTATAGTCTGGGGTTTTACATTTAGGTCTTTAATTCATCTTGAGCTGATTTTTATATAAGGTGTGGGGCTGGAGTCCAGTTTCAATTTGCACATATGGCTAGCCAGCTTTCCCAGCACCATTTATTAGAGAATCCTTTCTCCATTGCTTGTTTTTGTCGGGTTTGTGAAATATCAGATTGCTGTAGGGGTGTAGTCTTATTTCTGGGTTCTCTATTCTGTTCCATTGGTCTATGTGTCTTTTCTTGCACCAGTGCCATGCTGCTTTGGTTACTGTAGACCTGTAGTATAGTTTGAAGTTGAAGAGCATGATGCCTCCAGATTTTTCTTTTTGCTGAGAATTGCCTTGGCTCTTCAGGCTCTCTTTGGGTTCCACATGAATTTTAAAATATTTTTTTTTCTATTTCTGTGAAGAACTTCCATGGTAGTTTAATGGGAATAGCATTGGATCAATAAATTATTTTGGGCAGTATGGCCGTTTTCATAATATTGATTCTTCCTATACATGAGCATGGAATGTTTTTCCATTTGTATCCTCTCTGATTCCTTTGAGCAGTGGTTTGTTGTTCTCTTTGTAAAGGTCCTTCACTTCACTTGTAACCTGAATTACTAGGTACCTTATTCTTCTTGTAGCAATTGTGAGTGGGAGCTCACTCATGATCTGGCTCTCAGCTTGATTGTTGTTGGTGTATAGAAATGCTATAACAATTTTTGCACATTAATTTTGTAACTTGAGACTTTGCTGAAGTTGCTTATCAGCTTAAGAAACTTTGGGGGCTGGGCGCGGTGGCTCATGCCTGTAATCCCAGCACTTTGGGAGGCCGAGGTGGGTGGATCATGAGGTCAGGAGACCAAGACCATCCTGGCTAACATAGTGGCTAACCCCGTCTCTACTAAAAATAGAAAAAATTAGCCAGACGTCGTGGCACACACCTGTAGTAGCAGCTACTCAGGAGGCTGAGGCAGGAGAATCGCTTGAACCCGGGAGGCGGAGGTTGCAGTGAGCCAAGATTGTGCCACTGCACTCCAGCCTGAGCGACACAGCAAGACTCCATCCCAAAATAAATAAATAAATAGCTTTTGGGCTGAGATGATGGGGTCAAACAGGGATAGTCTGACTTCCTCTCTTCCTACTCAAATACATTTTATTTCTTTCTCTTGCCTAATTGCCCTGGCCACAACTTCCAATACTATATTGAATAGGAGTGGTGACAGAGGGCATCTTTGTGTCAGTTTTCAAGGGGAATGCTTCCAGCTTTGGCCCATTCAGTATGATATTGGCTGTGGGTTTGTCATATATGGCTCTGATTATTTTGAGGTACGTTCCTTCAATACATAGTTTATTGAGAGTTTTTAACATGAAGGTTGTTAAATTTTATCAAAGCCTTTTCTGCATCTATTGACATAATCCTGTGGCTTTTGTCTTTAGTTCTGTTTATGTGATGAATCACATTTATTGATTTGTGTATGTTGAACCAACCTTGCATCCCAGGGATGAAGCCTACTTGATCACGGTGGATAAGCTTTTTGATGTGCTGCTGGATTCGGTTTGCCAATATTTTATTGAGGATTTTTGCATCAATGTTCATCAAGCATATTGGCCTGAAGTTTTCTTTTTTTTGTTGTATCTGTGCCTGGTTTTTGGTATCAGGATGATGTTGGCCTCATACAATGTTAGGAAGGAGTCCCTCCTTTTCAATTGTTTTGGAATATTTTCAGCAGGAATGGTACCAGCTCTTCTTTGTACATTTGGTAGAATTGAGCTGTGAATCTGTGTGGTACTGGGCTTTTGTTTTTTTTTTTTTCTGGTTGGTAGGCTATTTATTATTGCCTCAATTTCAGAACTCATTATTGGTCTATTCAGGGATTCGATGATTCAATCTTGGAAGGGTGTATGTGTCCAGGAATTTATCCATTTCTTCTAGATTTTCTAGTTTATGTGCATAGAGATGTTTATAATATTCTCAGATGGTTGTATTTCTGTGGGGTCAGTGGTAATATCACCCTTATTATTTCTGATTGTGTTTATTTGAATCTTCTCTCTTTTCTTCCTTATTAGTCTAGCTAGTGGTCAATCTATTTTATTACTTTTTTTCAAGAAACCAGCTCCTCGATTCATTGATCTTTTGAATGTTTGAGTGTGTGTGTGTGTGTGTGTGTGTGTGTCCCTATCTTCTTCAGTTCAACTCTTATTTTGGTTGATTCCTGTCTTCTAGATTTGAGGTTTGTTTGCTCTTGGTTCTCCAGTTCTTTTAGTTGTGATGTTAGGTTGTTAACTTGAGATTTTTCTAGCTTTTGAATAAGGTCATTTAGAGGTATAATTTCCCTCTTAACATTGCCTCAACTGTGTCCCAGAGATTCTGGTACATTGTCTCTTTGTTCTCATCGGTTTCAAAGAACTTCTTGATTTCTGCCTTAATTTCATTATTTAGCCAGGAGTCATTCAGGAGCAGGCTGTTCAATTTCCATGTAGTTGTGGGACACTTCTGAGCTTCATGAGCTCTTGTAAAGTTGGTCTGGTGGTAACAAATTTTCTCAGCATTTGCTTGTCTGAAAAGGAGCTTATTTCTCCTTTGCTTATGAAGCTTAGTTTGGCTGGATATGAAACTCTGGCCTGGAGTTTATTTTCACACATTCACTCATCACTTCCCTGCGCAGGCGAAGGGGTTCCCCTTGGCTCTTTGTCGCTTCTGGGTGGGCTGTCACCCTGCCCGGCTTTTTTCCATTCTCCATGGGTGGAGCTGTTTTCCTGATCAGTTCCAATGTGAGTACTTGGATATTTCAGTTGAAGGTGCTGTGTTTACTCATCCCTCTCATTCTTTTCTGTGAGAGCCATGCACCATAGCTGCTTCTAGTTGGCCTTCTTGGCCCCCTTCTGGCTGAGCCTAATTCTGTGTAATAGAGGTTGTACATAGATATGCCCTAGAAACACAGATTATAGAGAAGGATCATACAATATGATCATACAATATGATCCTTACATATGCACATACACGTGTAATATGGCTTTGCATGTGTCATGCATCAGTCAAAATTATTCTGTTTTTTACTTCAGGGTATTTTGACTATAGTGTTTCATATGTGTTTCTATTTTTCTCTGTATCACCATTTTAGATCATTGAATGGACTGCTGGGCTAGACCTGGAAAATTCTTCTGCCAAGTGTACTATATGTCTAGGTTCATGTCACTGTGTGATATCGGTGTCCTTGTGACAACTGTAGGGGGATATAAGAGCAACAGTGAAATAAAGTCATCTCTCACAGCTGGCATGTATATTCCTATAAATTTATGTGAACAGGAAAATAGACACAAATTGGAACCATGGAATTCAAAAAACGGTCTCTTAAATGAAGTCACAGAAACTACTTGGAAATTTAATTTAAAATGTTGAACTCTGTCCTCAATTGTATGCACCTCTGCACAACAGGTCTATCTTGTGGAAGGGCAAGGTATTTCTTCTCACATTTTTTTTCCTTCTGTCTTCTAAAGAGCTTCATGTGAAAGCAGAAGACTCATGAGAAGACATCTAGAGACTAGCCCTAAAGTGCTTTTCTCCACAGGAATGTCACCCAGGCACTACATCCAGGAGTCTCAGGTGCCACTGGGTTCCCATCCTCAGTGACGCAGAGCTGGGAGAAGGCACGCAGCATTCAAATTTCCTTCAAGTCACTTGCTTAAGGTATACATTGAAGGTTCAAACTAAATTTGAAATCCTTTTTTTGTTGTTTTTTACAATTAGCACTTTTTTGTTATTTTTTTATATATTTTTTATTATACTTTAAGTTCTAGGGTACATGTGCACGACGTGCACGTTTGTTACATATGTATACATGTGCCATGTTGGTGTGCTGCACCCATTAACTCGTCATTTACATTAGGTATATCTCCTAATGCTATCCCTCCCCCATACCTCCAGCCCACAACAGGACCCAGTGTGTGATGTTCCCCACCCTGTGTCCAAGTGTTCTCATTGTTCAATTCCCACCTATGAGTGAGAACATGTGGTGTTTGGTTTTTTTTCCTTGTGATAGTTTGCTGAGAATGATGGTTTCCAGCTTCATGCATGTCCCTAAATAGGACATGAACTTATCATTCTTTATGGCTGCATAGTATTCCATGGTGTATATGTGCCACATCTTCTTAATCCAATCTATCATTGATGGACATTTGGGTTGGTTCCAAGTCTTTGCTATTGTGAATAGTGCCACAGTAAACATACGTGTGCATGTGTCTTTATAGCAGCATGATTTCTAATCCTTTGGGTATATACCCAGTAATGGGATGGCTGGGTCAAATGGTATTTCTAGTCCTAGATCCTTGAGGAATCACCACACTGTCTTCCACAATGGTTCAACTAGTTTACAGTCCCACCAACAGTGTAAAAGTGATCCTATTTCTCCACATCCTCTCCAACACCTGTTGTTTCCTGACTTTTTAATGATCGTCATTGTAACTGGTGTGAGATGGTATCTCATTGTCGTTTTGATTTGCATTTCTCTGATGGCCAGTGATGATGAGCATTTTTTCATGTGTCTGTTGGCTGCATAAATGTCTTCTTTTGAGAAGTGTCTGTTCATATCCTTTGCCCACTTTTTGATGGGGTTGTTTGTTTTTTTCTTGTAAATTTGTTTGAGCTCTTTGTAGATTCTGGATATTAGCCCTTTGTCAGATGAGTAGATTGCAAAAATTTTCTCCCATTTTGTAGGTTGCCTGTTGACTCTGATGGTAGTTTCTTTTGCTGTGCAGAAGCTCTTTAGTTTAATTAGATCCCATTTGTCAATTTTGGCTTTTGTTGCCATTGCTTTTGGTGTTTTAGACATGAAGTCTCTGCCCATGCCTATATACTGAATGATATTGCCTAAGTTTTCTTCGAGGGTTTTTATGGTTTTAGGTCTAACATTTAAGTCTTTAGTCCATCTTGAATTAATTTTTGTATAAGGTGTCAGGAAGGGATTCAGTTTCAGCTTTCTACATATGGCTAGCCAGTTTTCCCAGCACCATTTATTTAATAGGGAATCCTTTCCCCATTTCTTGTTCTTGTCAGGTTTGTCAAAGATCAGATGGTTGTACATGTGTGGTATTATTTCTGAGGGCTCTGTTCTGTTCCATTGGTCTATATCTCTGATGGGACGTATCTCAAAATAATAAGAGCTATTTATGACAAACCCACAGCCAATATCATACTGAATGGGCAAAAACTAGAAGCATTCCCTTTGAAAACTGGCATAAGACAGGGATGCCCTCTCTCGCCACTCCTATTCAACATAGTGTTGGAAGTTCTGGCCAGGGCAATCAGGCAGGAGAAAGAAATAAAGGGTATTCAATTAGGAAAAGAGGAAGTCAAATAGTCCCTGTTTGCAGATGACATGATTGTATATCTAGAAAACCCCATTGTCTCGGCCCAAAATCTCCTTAAGCTGATCAGCAACTTCAGCAAAGTCTCAGGATACAAAATCAATGTGCAAAAATCACAAGCATTCTTATACACCAATAACAGACAGAGAGCCAAATCATGAGTGAACTCCCATTCACAATTGCTTCAAAGAGAATAAAATACCTAGGAATCCAACTCACAAGAGACGTAAAGGACCTCTTCGAGGAGAACTACAAACCACTGCTCAATGAAATAAAAGAGGACACAAACAAATGGAAGAACATTCCATGCTCATGGATGGGAAGAATCAACATTGTGAAAATGGCCATACTGCCCAAGGTAATTTATAGATTCAATGCCATCCCCATCAAGCTACCAAAGACTTTCTTCACAGAATTGGGAAAAACTACTTTAAAGTTCATATGGAACCAAAAAAGAGCCCGCATTGCCAAGTCAATCCTAAGCCAAAAGAACAAACCTGGAGGCATCATGCTACCTGACTTCAAACTATACTACAAGGCTACAGTAACCAAAACAGCATGGTACTGGTACCAAAAGAGAGATAAATTGGAAATCTAACAGAAGCATTTAGAACTACATGTCAAGCCCAAGTCACTTTTAGATATTTGAGAATGTGTACAAACCATATGGGTGTACTTTCCCCAAAAGTGTGTTTTTTGCAGTAGTGGTTAGGAGTATTCTTTTGTGAGATGGTATTTTTCTTAAGCAACCACCATTTAGATTCTTAGTTCTCTTAACTTTTAGGTTAACAACTCAATACATCTTCCAAGTGTCCTCGTATACTTTTTCCGGTTTGACTATTAGTTTAGGTGGTGCCTATGGCCCATTTAAACTCAGAGACTCTGAGGCTCTGATGTGTATCCATCTGGTTAGAGTATGTATGAGTAAAGCCAAGGTCAGTCAATGACTTGACCTCACTACCTTTTCCAAAATTTCTAGTTCTAACATTGGCTAGCAATTTTGAATGCTTGTCAGACAAATACCTCAGAGTCCTTGCCCTGCTAATGCAGTCATTATTAAGAGTGAAAATTACATTGTGTTGCCTTATTTAATGATGTAATGCTGAATAAGCATTTATAGAGCACCTATTCTGGGAAAGATTAAAAATATACAAAGTGATAATAAATGGTCTCGTCTTAAGAAGCTTAAGAGGAAATATGACATATTAACAAGTTGCCATGAATTAAGGCATCATATAATAATACAATAAGAGAGTATAAACTATTTTAATAAACATGTTCTACAAAATGGAGCATTTGGATCCTGAAAGGGGGCTAGAATTTAAAAGTATGAGTTGAGAGAGAAAGCATTCCAGTCAGAGGTACCAGCAGAAAAAGTAGCTCTGAGACAGGCATTGGAATTATCAAATATATTTTTCTTCAAATTTTATGAAAGTATGCTTATCCATGAATGCTGAAGTGCTTATCTATGTCAACATTTTGTTAAAGAGTTACTCAAGCTCAGAAAATATAGGGAAATTTTATTTATATTTTCTCAGAAAATATATTTATTTAATTTAATTTATTTTCTCAGAAAATATATTTATTTCTATATTTTCTCAGAAAATATATTTATTTCTATATTTTCTCAGAAAATATATTTATTTCTATATTTTCTCAGAAAGTATATTTATTTCTATATTTTCTCAGAAAGTATATTTATTTCTATATTTTCTCAGAAAGTATATTTATTTCTATATTTTCTCAGAAAGTATATTTATTTCTATATTTTCTCAGAAAATATATTTATTTCTATATTTTCTCAGAAAATATATTTATTTCTATATTTTCTCAGAAAATATATTTATTTCTATATTTTCTCAGAAAATATATTTATTTCTATATTTTCTCAGAAAATATATTTATTTATATTTTCTCAGAAAATATAGAAAATATAGGGAATTTTTAGTTTATATTCTTTGATTTTACCATGAATCTGAATTTCTGTTATTTAATTGTTTAAATAGTTACTATAATTTTTGTGTTAAAGATAACACATTATAGAATATCTAATTTACTTATCACCTTCAGGAAAATCAAATAAGCATTTGTGAAGTGTCAACTATTTTCTCTGCAGTGGTGCTTTTCAAACTACCCAGAGTGAAAGACTTTTATTTTTTGTAAAATGTAAAATATTGTGGCAATGTCAGATTGCTATAAAAGGTTTTCAAATCTGTACTTCCAGGTACTTCAAAATTAGTTTGCAGATTAGTACCAGTGGTCTTAGTACAATTTGAGTAGCTACAGTAAGTAAGGAGTTCATACAAAAGAAATACAGCATATTGTCACCATCATTGGTATAAGAATGTTGTGGGGAGGACTAGGCTTACCTATGTAACCAGTGGAAAATGCAGCATATGGTACAATTACTAAAGATAAATATAGACATAAAGAAGAGCGATGATAAAACTGTTCTGGATCCCAGTTAAAATCTTTGGGGTTACTGCTTAACTCTCTGGACTCACAGCCCCGACCCACCATCCCCAATGTGCAGTTTCACTCATGGAAAAAAAGTGTCTAGACCAGCAGCTGAGGATGCATTTACTCTATGTTCAGCCCACTCAAAATACAGTTCTGTAATCAGAATACAAAAACAACCACCAACAACAACATCAGCCCAACTTTCTTTACTGTGTTTCATTTAATGCTGAAATCAGACAATGATTAGAACATGAAACTTTGTTTGAAAAAGTATATTCAATAAATTTTGTATTTAAAACAGAGCTCTTGACCTATAAAGTATAAAAAGTAATTACAATGAAATATTCTTCAGTAAATCTGACACTTTGGGATTCCAGGCAAAAGGATCGCTTGGGTGCCAAGAGTTCAAGACCAGCCTGGTCAACATAGTGAGATTCTATCTCTGAAAAAAAAAAAGAACAAAAAACAAAAGTTAAACAAATCAGTAAATCTGAGATGCACTGGTATAATTCACTGGCTTGCCCAGTTGGTACTCTCTTAGCCGTGGCTATTCCTGATGACTAACTGGCAGTAAAAGCCAGGAAATTATGGAGGTCTACTGAGGAGTCCCCTCTCGAAGTGAAGTTTTCCCATTATTTACACTTAAGAAAAAATTAATGTGAGATTGGATTTTAAACATCCCCATTAAAAACAGAGGAATGGAGGGAAGAAGGTGGGTGGGGAGGGAGAGAGAGAGCTGAATAAAACATTTACTTTATCATTTATCTTTTAAAGTCACATGGAATGCCAATTCCAAAATCACTTAATTTTTAGAACCACTGCAATCTAAACACTGTCATCAGAAACATGCCAAGTGTTGGTTCTCTGTGGTAGGTCTCCCATCTTACTTATATTTTCACTGTATTAAACTTTACCCTTGCATGGGTTTACCCTCCAGCCTCTGAGCCTTCATTAACTAGGACCCTATCTACCTGCATGTTTTGCTCTCCACTTTCTTTGCCATTCACTGGCCCCTTCTTTAGTGTTTGGTCTTCAGGTCGCCACTTTCCCTTTTAGCTAATTCCATTACTCTGATTTTCTCTGTTCCTTTAGCTACCCTATCCTAGAACAACTCTCCCAGGGATGAAAATGGGGACTTCAGAATTGAGAAATAAAAGGGAAGATGTTATGACAACCTTCCTATCTTATTTTTTGGTAAATCCACTCTTTCCCTGTCTCTATCTCTCTCTCACACACACACACACACACACTCACACACACACAGAAATTTACAGGGTAAGAGAGATTAGGAAGATAATTTTGGTGGTAGAGTCAAGAAGAGGTTGAAGAGGTGCTAATATTAAAAGAGAGATTTGAATAAAATGTTTTTAGAATTCATAGGCATTATGATATTCTATTGTAAAATGCTATTGGTTAAAATTATCTTTGTATGGGCAAACTGAGTCTCTGTCTCCAGCTGTCTGTGAACAAGCTATTCAGTTCACTAAACCTCAGCACCTCATCTGTGGAATGAGCACCATAGTAGCTCCTGTCATAAAGGTTAAATGATTTTGTAAAGGACAGATTACAAAGCATATATAAAGTATTTGATTTTTTGTTATTAAAATACTTATAATGTCTGTAATATTTTTGAAGTAAAGAGGTATAATGATTTATACTTCTGTTTATTCTAGAAACTGATTCTTAGTTGAGCTCGGAGGTTTTTCAACTTTTCTTTCAAATATTGAGATAAATAACATTGATCTATCTATTTATCTATCTATCTATTTTGAGATAGGATCCTACTTTGTCACCCAGGCTGAAGTGCAGTGGCCTTTGTCTTCCAGGCTCAGGTAGGATCCTCCTACCTCATCCTCCCAAATATCTGGGACTACCAGTGTGTGACACCACCCCCAGCTAATGTTTTTGATTTTTTTGTAGAGATGAGGTCTCACTATGCTGACAAAGCTGGTTTTGAACTCAAGTAGTCCTCGTGTCTTGGCCTCCCAAAATGCTGAGATTACAGGCATAAGCCACTGTGCCTGTACTTTTATTTTATGTAGATCACCATCCCTTACTGAGTATCACATAACTGTTATTATAAATCTTGAATAAGAGATTACATGTTTTGGCCAGGCACGGTGGCTCATGCCTGTAATCCCAGCAATTTTGGAGGCCAAGGTGGGCAGATCACCTGAGGTCAGGAATTCGAGACCAGCCTGGCCAAAATGGTGAAACCCCATCTCTACTCAAAATACAAAAAAAAAAAAAAAAAAAAAAAAAAAAAAAATTAGCCAGGTATGGTGGCACATGCCTGTAGTCCCAGCTACTGGGGAGGCTGAGGCAGAAGAATTGCTTGAACTCAGAAGGCAGAAGTTGCAGTGAGCTAAGACCATCCCACTGCACTCCAGCCTGGGCAAATGAGTGAGAATCCATCTTAAAAAAAAAAAAAGACTACATATTTCATACAGTATTCCAAAACCAAAAACAACACTATGCTTTGCTTTTCGTTACCATGAATCTATAAGTTATTAAGCTTTCAGTACTGCAAATATTGTCACATATTAACAGTTTGACTTGAAAATACGTGTAATTTCTACTAAAAATAGAAAAGAAAGGCCTTGTCTTTAGAAGCTTCCAAGGAACATTATAACAGAAGTTATATTTTCCACAATTTGGGTTCAATTAATCTTATATATTGCAATTGACTTAAATAAAATTTTAATTTTTGAACACTTTAAGGTTTACAGAAACATCGTGAAAATAGTATAATATTCCTGGTAAGTACCCAAACTCTGCTTTCTCTATTACTAAAATTTTATATTAGTGTGGTGCATTCATTACAATTAAGGCATCAATATTGTCATATTATTATTATCTAAAGACCATACTTGTTCAGAATTCCTCAGTTTTTATTTAGTTTCCATTTTCTGTTCTAGTGTACATCCTAGAATCTTATATTACATTTAGTCATTGTGAGACAGACTCCAGGTCAGTAAGTGCTGAAACAGGGGATGTTAAAAAAGAACCAACATAGATTACAAAAGGAAGACTCAAAGCTTCCAGAATGATTTTCTTTCTATCTAAAATCATTTTCTATCTTTCATCCTATCAGCACTCATAAATTACACACACTCATAACCTGCCACAATTTACTGGCAGATTGTGAAGCGGGAGCAGGCATGTCACACAGTGAAAGCAGGAACAAGAGAGTGAGGGGGGAGATACCACACACTTTTAAACAACCAGATCTTGTGAGAGCTCACCTGCTATCATGAGGAGTACCAAGGAGATAGTACTAAACCATTCATGAGAAATCCACCCTCCTAATCCAGTCACCTCCCTCCAGACCCCACCTACCACACTGGGGATTACAGTTCAACATGAGATTTGGGTGGGGACACAGATCCAAACTATATCACAGGGGTTTCCCTATGTTGCTTAGGCTGGTCTCAAACTCCTGGCCTCAAGTGATCTTCCTGCCTCAACCTTCCAACGTGCTGGAATTAGAGGTATCAGCCACCATGCCCAGCCAGAAATTTCTTTCTCAAGGGGCTTTTCATCTCACTGGAAATTTTAGTTTAGGGATCTCCCAACTTACAAAGGGTTTGTGTTCCAAAATTTTGTTTCTAAGTCAGGTAGGCTCACTTTCCTACAGAAAATGAGAAGAAGCCAGTCCCAAAGCAAGCAATAAAAGCCTGTTGCCTCACAAGTGAACTATGATGTTGCTAAATCCATCAGGAGTAGTTTTACTTTTGCTCTTTGTTGAATGGGCTACTGTGGGCCTGTGGGGGCACCTAACCACCATTTATCTTATTTCTTTGAAGCAGGTCATGCTGTCACGTGTGGTCAAAAGGGAATTAGTGATGATAATGGAGCTTTCTCTGCCTCTCTCCCTCTTGACTGCCAAGGTCCAGGGAAGTTCACATCTCAGTGGTCACGGGCTGGCCAAGTAGATCCCCACCAGTTGCTGGATAATGCCTGTGAACTACTGGCTAGCATCTATTCTGAAAACCTAGCTTCTGGTTTGCTTGTTTATTCACCAGTATCTCACATAATTTTCTTATGACCATCTGGCACCTAATATAGATCCCAAAAGAGTTTAAGAGGATTTACCCTTTAGGCAAAAAATACTGGCAGTGTTTATAATCCCCTCAAAAAGAGAGAGGGAGAAAAAAAGAAAGAAGAAATGTTTTTAAAGGAAGAGATAGCACCATGTAACTATAAATAACTCTCTATATCAGACTGAAAATAAATTTTTGTTTTTTCTTTATTTTGGCTCATTTGGTAAGCTAACAAACTGGAAGAAAAGAACCAGTTTTAACTAAACAACTCTAAAAGATTTCAGAATTTGAAAACTTAGAGTTATGAATAGATTTGATTCACTTAGCCCCAAAACTATCAAAAGAAGTATATAAAATATTAATAGTCACCAAAACCATTGAGCTATAGAATTCCAGATATTGAAATTCTAAGGAAATGTTGTTTTAGAATCAAATCATGTACTAGGCTGAAATTAAATCAAATACCATTACTGAGTATTGTTATTAGGATAAACATCTTTCCATACTTTGGTGAAATTGGAAATACTCTTGCAGAAGTGTTTTCATCTCTCACCCAGAAAAAGTAAATAATGACCTTCTTCCTTCTTCCACTTAATGTAATATCCTACATTTACATATATTGTGTCATCCCTTGTTTTGTGATTATTTGCTTACAGATTTTCTCTAGGTGCTCTCTAAGCAGAGAGAACAGGGTACTGGTTAAGATTGTAGATCTAGGGGATCACTGATCTAGGTCCTATTCCAAATTTGATTCCTCACCTGCTAAGCTTGCAAGTGCAACTTATTTAAATTCTCTGAAGGTTAAATGTTTCATCTAAATAGGGATAATAATAAACACCTATAGCATAGAGTTGTTTGAGATTAAATGAGATAATACATGTAAAATTATGTGCCTGGCATACAGCAAGATTGTTGTTGTTGTTGATGATGATGATGATGATGATAATATTTTTCTATCCCCAGTGCACAACTGCTTGAACCTATTAGATAATCAATACATGTTTCTTGAACTGAGATCAATTTCCCCATGTTGTCTGACTGATGAAGCCCTACATTGAAGCCCTACATTTTCTTCTAGAGGAGATGACATTTGAGCAAGATCTTAAAGAAAATCAGATGCCTTCACCTGACCACTGCTTGGTGATCCCATGGCACTTTGTACATCTCTCCATTAGCTCTCATCTCACCAGCCCATCATTATTGTATGTGCTGCCTTCTGAAGCTTGCAGCTGGCTACATCAGGTAGAATAAAATCATCCTTTCATAAAATAGTGACCTCCTTTTTTATTTGCATTTCCAAAGCCAAGCACGTGGTAGGTAGACAACAAATGCTTGCTCCTGGGCTGCGCTAAAGGCATCTATAACCACTAAGCCCAAAGAGTGTGGTGTCCCTTCAAAAGGAAGGAGCCAGTGTTTATATCACTTTTTCTTGACCTTCACGGCTGCACTCAAAGCCCACCTCCAGCATGAGGCACTATCCAGTCCAATCCACAGTGATCACTCCCTTTCTGAGTCCTTCTAGGAAATCAGACACAGTCATTTGAGGTGTGTGTTAGTAATCTTTCCTCAGATGCCCTGTGAGCTCTTTTGCACAGTACCAAGGCATGTAATAGGCAGGAAACGTATTTAATTGCTTGGCTTAGTTCTAGTTTTCAATGTGTACTTCTCCAGAATTATCCAATTAACCCTAACTTGAGAAGATAGGCAAACTGGATTTGCACACACTGGAGTCAATTCCTGATATCCCCGGGGGTGTGAATGAACAGAGGTCTTCTTGCTGGCTTCTGTAACAGTATCTCTCTTTGGCCAGCACCCAATTTTTGGAACCATTATGAGCACACAAAAACAGCATTTTACACAAATCAAGAAATAGCTCCCAACCATGTCTTTGTGGCATTGTTAAACAACAGTAAATTGTACTTTGAGTTCTATTTCATCTAATTAAATGAAATGAGAAGTGGGCTCAATTCCCCCAGAAAGAGACTGGAGGGAACCACAATCTTTCCTGTGATTAGATACACCACTAAGGAAATCTGACCCTGAGCAACTGAAAGCTGCCTATTCTCATTAAGAAGAGCTACAGACTGACCCTTTTCAAAGACTAGTAACTGGACACATTTCTTTCACAAATTATCTTCTTTTCCCTTCTTCATACCAGGAATTCTCAGGGATTATAATCCTCATCAATATAACAAGCCTCCAAAGTCATATTTTTTAACTTTGTGAAATGCCCTCCCACCTAACTACCCCATTTGACACCTGCAACCATCCTCTAGAGAGGCAGACAAGATCGACCGTCTCACTTTACAGAAGTGCAAAGAGTAGCTGGCCTAATGCCACAGCCAATGAACAGATGAAGGAGGCCTACAACCACCTAGTCTTCCCTACTTCTCCTCACTCCTCCCCTCTGACCTCCTTATGTCACCACTGACCAATGGATCACTGTGTGGCCGTTCAGCATCTTCCTATGCTGTGTCAGGCAAGAGAAATTCTGGAAAGAGAGCATCTCATGTTTATTAAGGAGACTGGGTGTCCTTGTAGAAAGTCCTGCCATGCACAACCCCGGTCTTAACTGATGTGTTTCACCATACTGAAGGCAAGTTGCCATCTAACATAGTTGAAGGGGAGCCAGTTGTGGTGATCTTTGTTCCTGCTGAAATATGGAAAGAAAATGAGGAAATGAGCTCATTTTCAAAGAAAATGAACATTCTTTCACATGAAAGAAATAGGAGCAAAGTGACAGGAGAGAAACAAAGCTTAGGGTTGGTGTGAGATACACAGACAGGGTGTTAGCCCCACAAACAGTGCTGCTGGGCCAAGTTAACTCCCTGTTTTTCCCTATATATGTGGTGTGGAAAAGCTATTTATAAAATGTGTTTAAATATTTAGGACCAAATAAATCAACATTGTTAGGAAACATTGACTCTGACCAGAACTCATTTCCTCACCCTAGTCCAATGTGAATAACAAAATGAAGAATATCAGGATGATTCGAGACCAGGAATACTACAGATGTCCAACACTTCCACCTGGAATCCCCAAAGAGGCCCGCTTTTAGCCTCCACACTGGTTGGTGACCTGACATGAGAGAAATGACAGAAATCTCAGAAGACTGGCCTCATGAATAATCTTCAGTTTCAATGTAACAAAGCAAGCCTTCTAGAAATTACCTGCCTCTGCAGTTCACTCTGCTGCTTCAGATGAAAATTTTCAGGTCTGTCTGCCACTGTAGTGAAGCACTGCTTTGGGTAGTGTCTGTGGAGAAACTTTTTAAAGGACATAGTTGAAATATTGTGCTACAAACCAATTCTTGAACACCACTCATTTTGTCCTACCTCTCTGTGACCGTGAAAGACGGCTGTGCTCTTGGCAAAGGTCATCTCTCTGTCATGAGTCTGGATCTCCTTTTCTTCTCCTGATTATCTGTCACTCAGTTATCCCCACTCTCTTCCACAACTTTAACTTCAGCTTCTCTATTCTAAGAGACTCTTCTCGCAGGCTCAAGGCTCTCCTACCCTCCATCATTCCTCCCTCTACCCCACACAGCCAGCATGTGTCCAGCTAGTCTATCCTTCAGCCAAACTTCCTTAGAAAGAGGCCTTACCTCACTGTCCCTACCCATCTACTCTCTGACTCACTTCTTAACTCCATGACTGGGTTCTGGTTTCTTTCCCTTGCCTGTTGTGACTTCCTATGGACACAGCCAAAAACCATCACATAGTCCTGTTGTATGGCATCCCCACCATCTTGAAATGTCCTCTCCCTCAGTTCCTATGTGTTACCACACACGCCTGCCTTGGCTTCTCCCTCTAGTTGTTCCTTCTCTGTCTTCTGTGGGCTTCTTATTGTCTGCTCACTCCTTCTTCAGTGTCCTCTCATGGGCTTCCTTCCCTTCTCAGCTGATGCCATCACCTGGGGAATCACAGTTACTCAGCAGCACTGGGGCCTCTCTATCTCTATGCTGGTCATGCCTATGTGTGAGCTGCAGACCCAGTGGAATTTCCATTTGTGCATCCCATGCCCAGCCCACCCTCCACCAGCCTCGAATGCAGCTGTTCAGCCCTACCCCAGTCCTCAGAAAAGTTCCTCTCCCTGGATCCCCTTTTTCCTTCATGAGTGCCCGGTTGCCCAAGTCAAAAACCTGGGAGTGATATAAACTCCCCACACATCCAGTCAGTCACTCATCAACTCTATTGATTCTGTCTGCTAAATATATCTCAATTGTATTAACTTAAACATATGCATAATACATCTTCTTCTTCACTGCATTTTTGTGGGCTGCACTTACCTTTCAGGTAACAACAACACTGGCCCCTCTTGCCCTTCTAGTCAGAAGTGCCAAAATGATGAGAGCTAGCCATGACAAACCCACAGCCAACATTACACTGAATGTGCAAAACTGGAAGGGCATCCAAACAGAGGAGGGAAGAGAGGAATAGACAGGAAGTCAAACTGTCTCTGTTTACAGATGACATGTTTCTATATCTAGAAAGCCCCATAGTCTTGGCCCCAAAGCTTCTTCTGCTGATAAACTTTAGCAAAGTCTTAGCATACAAAATCAATGTGCAAAAATTACTAGCAGTCCTATACATCAAGTCAAGCAGAGAGTCAAATGAAGAACACAATCCCATTCATAATTGCTACACACAGAAAAAATAAGATACCTAGGAATACAGCTAACCAGGGAGGTGAAAGATCTCTAGGAGATCTCTAGAAGAATTACAAAACACTGCTCAAAGAAATCAGAGAAGACACAAACAAATGGAAAAACATGTCATGCTCATGGATAGGAAGAATTAATGTCATTAAAATGGCTATACTGCCCAAAGTAATTTACAGATGCAAGTTATCCCTATTAAATTACCAACGGCATTCCTCACAGAACTAGAGCAAACTATTTCAAAATTCATATGGAACCAAAAAAAAGAGCCCTAATAGCCAAGCAATCCTCAGCAAAAAGAACGAAGCTGGAGGCATCATGTTACCCAACTTCAAACCATACTACAGGGCTACAGTAACCAAAACAGCATGATACTGATACAAAAACAGCTCATCATTTTGAGCTATGTTTCTTCAATACCCAGATTTTTTAGAGTTTTTAATATGGAGAGGCATTGAATTTTATTGAAAGCCTTTTCTGCTTATATTGAGATAACCACATGGTTTTTATCTTTAGTTTTGTTTATGTGATGAATCAGATTAATTGATATGTGTATGTTGAGGCAACCTTGCATCCTGGGGATGAAGCATACTTGATCATGATGGATTAACTTTTTGATGTGCTGCTGGATTTGGTTTGCCAGTATTTTGTTGAGGATTTTTGCATTGATGTTCATCGAGGGTATTGGCCTGAAGAGTGTGTGTGTGTGTGTGTGTGTGTGTGTGTGTGTGTGTGTGTGTGTGTGTGTCTGCCAGATTTTGGTATCAAGATGATGTTGGCCTCATAGAATGAGTTGGGGAGGAGTTCCTCCTCCTCAATATTTTCAAATAGTTCCTGTAAAAATGGTACCAGCTCTTCTTTGTATTTCTAGTAGAATATGACTGGGAATCCATCATGTTCTGGGCTTTTTTTGGTTGGTAGGTTATTTATTACTGATTCAATTTCGGAGCTTGTTATTGGTCTGTTTACAGCAAATCAATTTCTTCCTGGCTCAGTTGTGGGAGGGTGTATTTCTCCATGAATTTATCCATCTCTTTGAAGTTTTCTAGTTTGTATGCATAGAAGTGTTTGCAGTAGTTTCTGATGGCTGTTTCTATTTCTGTGGGGTCAGTGGTAACATTCCCTTTGTCATTTCTAATTGTGTTTCTTTCAATCATCCTCTGTATTAGTCTGCTAGCAGACTTTCTTATTAATATTTTCAAGAAACCTACCCGGAATTCATAGATCTTTTGAATTTCTTTTTTTCATGTCTCGGTTTCTTTCAGTTCAGCTCAGATTTTCAGTTATTTCTTGTCTTCCTCTAGCTTTGGGGTTTTGTCTTGCTTCTCTAGTTCTTTCAGTTGTGATGTTAGGTTATTAATTTGAGTTCTTCCTAACTTTTTGATGTGGGATTTAGTGCTATAAATTTCCCTCCTAACATTGTCTTAGCTGTGTCCAGAGGCTCTAGTATGTTGTAACTTTGTTCTCATTATTTTCAAAGAGCTTCTTGATTTCTGCCTTAATTTCATTATTTATTAAAAAGTCATTCAGGAGCATGTTGATTGATTTCCATGTAATTGCATGATTTTCAGCAATTTTCTTAGTCTTCTATTTTTACTGCACTGTGATCTCAGTATGTATTTGGTATGATTTCAGTTGTTTTGCATTTGCTGAGGATTGCTTTATGTCCAATTATGTGGTTGATTTTAGAGTATGTGGCATATGATGATGTGAGGAATGCATATTCTGTTGTTTTTGAGTGCAGAGTTCTGTAAAGGTCTATCAGATCCATTTGATCCAATGTTGAGTTCAGGTCCTGAATATCTTTGTTCATTTTTTTGCCTCAATCATCTGTCTAATACTGTCATTGGAGTGTGGAAATCTCCCACTATTACTGTGAAACATACTTTGTAGGTCTCTAAGAACTTTACTTATGAATCTGGGTGCTCCTGCATTGGATGAATATATATTTAGGATAGTTAGGTCTTCTCGTTGAATTGAAGCCTTTGCCATTATGTAATATCCTTCTTTGTCTTTTCTATTTTATTTTAAGTTCCAGGATACATGTACAGGATGTGCAGGTTTGTTACATAGTTAAACATGTGCCATGGTGGTTTGCTGCACCTATCAACCTATCACCTAGGTATTAAGCCCCACGTGCATTAGCTATTTATCGTGATGCTCTCCTTCCCCCTACCTTCCCAACAGGCTCCGGTGTGTGTTCTGCCCCTCCCTGTGTCCATGTGTTCTCATTGTTCGGTTCCCACTTATGAGAACATGTGGTGTTTGGTTTCCTGTTCCTGTGTTAATTAGCTGAAGTTTATGGCTTCCAGCTTCATCCATGTCCCTGCAAAAGACATGATCTCATTCCTTTTTATGGCTGCATAGTATTCCATGGTGTATATGTATCACATTTTCTTTATCCAGTCTATCATTGATGGACATTTGGGCTGATTCCATGTCTTTGCTATTGTGAATAGTGCTGCAATAAACATAAGTGTGCATGTATCTTTAAAACAGAATGATTTATATTTCTTTGGATATAAACCTAGTAATGGGATTGCTGGGTCAAATGGTATTTCTGCTTCTAGATCCTCCAGGAATTGCCACACTGTCTTCCACAATGGTTGAACTAGTTTACATTCCCACCAACAGTGTAAAAGTGTTCCTGTTTCTCCACAGCCTCTCTAGCATCTGTTGTTTCTTGACTTTTTAATAATTGCCATTCTGACTGGCATGAGATGGTATCTCATTGTGGTTTTGATTTGCATTTCTCTAATAAACACTAGTGTTGAGCTTTTTTTTTCATATGTTTGTCGGACGCATAAATGTCTTCTTTTCAGAATGTCTGTTCGTGACCTTTGCCCATGTTTTGATGGGGTTGTTATTTTCTTGTAAATTTGTTTAAGTTCCTTGTAGATTCTGGATATTAGACCTTTGTCAGATTGGTAGATTGCAAAAATATTCTCCCATTCTGTAGGTTGCTTGTTCACTCTGATGATAGTTTCTTTCCCTGTGCAGAAGTGCTTACGTTTAATTAGATCCCATTTATCAATTTTTGCTTTTGTTGCAATTGCTATTGATGATTTCATCGTAAAATCTTTGCTCATGCCTATGTCCTGAATGGAACTTCCTAGATTTTCTTCTAGGGTTTTTTACAGTTCGGGGTTTCACATTTAAGTTTTTAATCCATCTTGAGTTAATTTTTGCATAAGATGTAAGGATGAGGTCCAGTTTCAGTTTTCTGCATATGGCTAGTCAGTTTTCCCAGCACCATTTAAATAGGGAATCCTGGCCAAGTGCAGTGGCTCATGTCTATAATCTCAGCACTTTGGGAGGCTGATGCAGGTGGATCTTGAGGTCAAGAGATCAAGACCATCCTGGCCAACATGGTGAAACCCCGTCTCTTCTAAAAATACAAAAACTAGCTGGGCGTGGTGGCTCGAACCTGTAGTCCCAGCTACTCAGGAGGCTGAGGCAGGAGAATCACTTGAATCCGGGAGGCAGAGGTTGCAGTGAGCTGAGATCATGCCGCTGCACTCCAGCCTGGTGACAGAGTGAGACTTTGTCTCAAAATAAATAAATAAATAAATAAATAGGTATTCCTTCCCCCATTGCTTGTTTTTGTCAGGTTTGTCAAAGATCAGATGGTTGTAGATGTGTGGTCTTATTTCTGAGATCTCTATTCTGCTCCATTGGTCTGTGTGTCTGTTTTGGTAACAGTACCATGCTGTTTTGATTAGTGTGGCCTTGTAGTATAGTTTGAAGTCATATAGCATGATGCCTCCAGCTTTGTTCTTTTGGCTTAGGATTGTCTCGACTATTCAGTCTCTTTTTTGGTTGCATATGAAACTTAAAGTAGTTTTTTTTTTAATTATGTGAAGAATGTCAATGGTAGTTTGATGTGAATAGCACTGAATCTATAAATTACCTTGGGCAGTATGGCCATTTTCATGAGATTGATTCTTCCCACCCATGAGCATGGAATATTTTTCCATTTGTTTGTGTCCTCTCTTATTTCCTTGAGCAGTGGCTTGTAGTTCTCCTTGAAGAGGTTCTTCACACCCATCGTTAGCTGTATTCCTAGGTATTTTATTCTCTTTGTAACAATTGTGAATGGGAGTTCATTCATGATTTGGCTCTCTTGCCTATTGTTGGTGTATAGGAATTGAAGAATATTGTCTATTGCTGGTGTATAAGAATGCTTGTGATTTTTGCACATTGATTTTGTATCTTCAGACTTTGCTGAACTTGCTTATCAGCTTCAGGAGTTTTTGGGCTGTGACGATGTGGTTTTCTAGATATAGAATCACGTTTTCTGCAAACACAGACAATTTGATTTTATCTCTTGCTATTTGAACATGTTTTATTTCTTTCTTTTTTTTTGAAGGGTTTTTCATGTCTCTGTCTCCTTCAGTTCCACTTTGATCTTAGTCATTTTTTTTTTTCTCTTCTGCTAACTTTTGGATTTGTTTGCTCTTGCTTCTCTAGTTCTTTTAGTTGTGATGTTAGGGTGTCAATTTGAGATATGTCTAGCTTTATGATGTGGGCATTTAGTGCTATAAATTTACCTCTTAACACTGCTTTAGTTGCCTCCCAGAGATTCTGGTACATTGTCTCTTTGTTCTCATTGGTTTCAAAGAGCTTCTTGATTTCTGCCTTAATTTTATTATTTACCCAGAAGTCACTCAGGAGCACGTTGTTCAATATCCATGTAGTTGTGTGGTTTTGAGTGAGTTTCTTAATCTTGAGTTCTAATTTGATTGCACTGTGGTCTGAGAGATTGTTATGATTTCAGTTATTTTGCATTTGCTGAGGAGTGTTTTAATTCTAATTTTGTGATCAATTTTAGAGTGTCATATGCCACTAAGAATAATATATAGTCTGTTGTTTCGTGTTGGAGAGTTCTGTAGATATCTATGAGATTCACTTGATCCAGAGCTGTGTTCAAGTCCTTTCTGGTCAATTTTCTGCCTAGATGATCCAATATTGACAATGGGGTGTTAATGTCTCCCACTATTGTTGTGTGGTAGCCTGAGTCTCTTTGTAGGTCTCTAAGAACTTGTTTTGTGAATCTGGGTTCTCCTGTATTGGGTGCATACATATTTAGGATAGTTAGCTCTTCTTGTTGAATTGATTCCTTTATCATTGTGATGTTCTTCTTTGTCTTTTTTTATCTTTGTTGATTCAAAGTCTGTTTTGTCAGAAACTAAGATTGCAACCCCTGCTTTTTTCTGCTTTCCATTTGCTTGGTAAATTTTCCTCCATCGCTTTGAGCCTATGTGTGTCTTTGCACATGAGATAGGAACCCTGAATACAGCACACCTGAATCTTGACTCTTTATATCCAATTTGCTGGTCTGTGTCTTTTAATTGGTACATTTAGCCCATTGACACTTAAGGTTAATATGGTTATGTGTGAATTTGATCCTGTCACCATGATGCTTGCTGGTTATTTTGCTCACTAGTTGATGCAGTTTCTTCATAGTGTCATTGGTCTTTGTACTTCAGTACATTTTTGCAGTGGCTGGTACCAGTTTTTCCTTTCCATCTTTAGCACTTCCTTCAGGAGGTCTTGCAAGGCAGGCCTGGTGGTGATAAATTCCCTCAGCATTTGCTTGTCTGAAAAGGATTTCTCCTTCACTTATGAAGGTTAGTTTGGCCAGATATGAAATTCTAGGTTAGAAATTCTTTTCTCTAAGAATGTTGACCATTGGACCCAACTGTCTCCTGGCTTGTGGGGTTTCTGCTGAGAGGCCCACTCTTAGTCAGATGGGCTTCCCGTTGTAGGTGACCTGCCCTTTGTCTCTGTCTGCCTTTAACATTTTTTCCTTCATTTTGATCTTGGAGAATCTGATGACTATGTGTCTTGAGGGTTGATCTTCTTGTGGAGTATCTTACTGGGGTTCTCTGGATTTCCTGAATTTGAATGTTGGCCTGTCTTGCTAGGTTGGGGAAGTTCTTCTGGATGATATCTTGAAGTGTGTTTTCCCAACGTGGCTCCATTCTCCTTGTCTCTTTCAGGTAGTCCAATCAGTCATAGGTTTGGTCTTTTACATAGTTCCACAGTTCTTTGAGGTTTTGTTCATTCCTTTTCATTCTTTTTTCTCTAATCTTCTCTGCCTGCCTTATTTTGGCAAGACAGTCTTCAAGCTCTGATATTCTTTTTTCTGCTTGATCAATTCAGCTGTTGATACTTGTGTTTGCATCACAAAGTTCCCCTTATGTGCTTTACAGCTGGCTCTGGTCATTTATGTTCCTCTCTAAACTGGTTATTCTAGTTAGCATCTTCTGTAATCTTTTAACATGGTTCTTAGCTTCTTTGCTGACAGAAGTAGGGTTCAGAAGGTGGGTAATAACAAATTTCACAGAGCTAAATGAGCATGTTCTAACCCAATGCATTGATTTCTCCACCTCCCTTTCAGGGATGCCAGTGATTTGTAGAATTGGCCTCTATATATAACCCCATACTTATTGGAGGTTTTCTTCCTTCCGTTTTATTCTTTTTTATTTTTGTCTGTCTTATTTTAGAGAACCAATCTTTAAGTTCTGGGATTCGTTCCAATATGTTGGGTTAGAGCGTACTCCTTTAGCTCAGTGAAGTTTGCTACTACCCACCTTCTGAAGCCTACTTCTGTCAATTCATCCATCTCAACCTCCACCCAGGACTGTGCCCTTGCTGTAGAGGTGTTGTGATCATTTGGAGTAAACAAGTCACTCTGGCCTTTTGAGTTGTTAGGGGTTTTTCATTCCTTTCTCATCTTCATGAGTTTGTCTCATTTTGATCTTTGAGGCTGCTGACCTTTAGATGAGGTTTTCGTGGGGACTTTTTGGTTGATGTTGTTGTTGCTTTCTGTTTTTCTTTCGACAGTCAGGTACCTCTTCTGTAGGGCTGCTGTGGTTTGCTGGGGATTCACTTCAAGCCCTATTTATCTGGGTCCCTCCCACACCTGAAGATGTCACCAGAGGGTGCTGGAGAACAGCAAAGATGGGACCCCACTCCTTCCTCTGGGATCTCTGTCCTTGAGGGGCACCCACCTGATGCCAGTAGAAATGCTCCTGTATAAGGTGTCTGGTGACCCACTGGGGTGTTTCACCCAGTTGAGGGGCACAGGATCCAGGACTTGCTTAATGAAGCACTTTGATTGTCCCTTTGGGAAGGGGGTATGCTGTGCCGGGGAAAATCCCACTCATCTGGGCTGCCTGGAATCCTCAGAGTGAGCAGGGGGAAAGAACAAGTCTTCCGGTTTGTGGAGACAACAGCCAGCCACCCCTCCCACTAGGGACTCAGACCTAGAGAGATCAGAGTTCTCTCCCTAATTCCCTGGCTTGAGTTGCTGGAGTTCCTGCAGGGAGGCCCCACCCAGTGAGGAGGGATGGGTCAGGGTCAGCCTAAAGAGGCAGTCTGGCCATGATCTGCCACAGCCAGTATGCTGCGCTGTGGGGAATACCTCTTGGGACCAAGCCGTCCAGTCTTCCTGGCATCAGCAAAGGAAAAACAGCAGCCTGGATCTGTAGAAATGGCTGCCGCCCTTCCTCCCCAGGAGTTCAGTGTCTTAGGCAGCTAGCAGCCACAGTGATGGCTGCTGTCCCTTCTTAGGGAGCTCAGTTTCCTCAGGCAGCAGGCAGCTGCAGTGATGATGACTGCCCCTCTCTTGGGAAGCTCAGTTGTCTTAGGCAGCCAGCAACCACAGTGATGATTGCTCCCCCTCCCCCAGGGAACTCAGAGGGTTTAGGCAGCAGGCAGCCACAGTGATGATGACCACCCCTCCCCAACTTGGGAACTCGGTAGTTTTAGGCAGACTCCAGCTGAGTGGCTGTTGAGAATCTGCATGGCTCTGTGGTTGGCACCCAAGGCCCTCGTGGTGTGGTCTCATGAGTGGGATCTTCTGATCTGTGGATTGCAAAGATCCATGGAAAAAGCAGTTTCCCAGGCTGGGTAGCATGCTCACTCACTGCCTCCCTTGGCTGGCTGAGGGTGAGGGCTCCCCTTGCCCCATGTGGCTCCCAGGTGGGCCAATCCACCAGCCCATCTTTCCTTGTTCTCTATGGGTCACGGCAACCACCTAGTCAGTCCTGATCATAGAACCTGGATATGTCAGTTGCTGCTGCAGGATTTGCACACTCTTTTAGTTCTTCTCAGTGGGAGCCTCAAACTGCAGCTGCTTCTAGTCGGCTATCTTGCCCCTGCCCCCTTGTCCTTTTGAAAAATTATTGTTCATTTGAAATCTGTTTTGTCTGAAATTAGGATTGCAACCTCTGCTTTTTTTCTGTTTTCTATTTGTCTGGTAGATTTTTCTCCATCCTTTTAGTTTGAGACGATGAGTGTCATTATGTGTGAGATGGGTCTCTTGAAGACGACATACCATTGGGTCTCGCTTTTTTTTTTTTTAAATCTAGCTTGCCACTCTGTGCCTTTTAAGTGGGGCATTTGCCCATTTACATTCAAGGCTAGTATCGATTTGTGTAGATTTGATCTTGTCATTGTGCTGTTGGCTGGTTATTATGTTGGCTTTTTTGTGTGGTTGCTTTATAGTGTCACCGGTCTGTGTGTTTAAGTATGTTTTTGCATTAGCGTGTAGTGGTCTTTCCTTTCTATATTTAGTCCTCCTTTCTAAAATCTCTTGTAAGGCAGATGTGGTGGTAATGAATTACCTCAGAATTTGCTTGTCTGTAAATGATCTCATTTCTCCTTCATTTAGAAAGCTTAGTTTAGCTGTATATGAAATTCTTGGTTGAAGATTTTCTTTAATAATGTTAAATATAGTCCCCCAATCCCTTCTGGCTTGTAGGATTTCAGCTGAGAGATCTGCTGTTAGCCTAATGGGGTTCCCTTTGTAGATGGCCTGCCCTTTCTCTCTGGCTGCCTTTAACATATTTTCCCTCATTTCGACCTTGGAAAACCTGATGTTTATGTGTCTTGAGGATGGTCTTGTGTAGAATCTTGTAGGAGTTCTTTGTATCTCCTGAATTTGACTGTTGGCCTTTCTAGCAAGGTTAGGGAAGCTTTCAAAGATGATATCCTGAACTACGTTTTCCAAGTTGTTTGATTTCTCCACCTCCCTTTCAGAGATGCCAGTGATTTGTAGAATTGGCCTCTTTATATAATCCCATCCTCCTTGAAGGTTTTGTTCATTCTTTTTTATTTTTGTCCATCTTATTTTAGAGAACCAATCTTCAAGTTCTGAGATTCGTTCCTCAGATTTTTTTTTCTGCTGTTAATACTTGTGATTGCATTGTGGAATTCTTGTATTGTGTTCTTCGGCGCTTTCAGATCGGTTAGGTTCTTTTTTATTATACCAGCTACTTTATCCTTCAGCTCCTGTAACACTTTACTGTTATTCTTATTTTCCTCGGATTGGGTTTTGCCATTCTCCTGAGTCTTGATGATTTTTTTTCCTATCCATATTCTGAATTATATTTATGTAATTCCAGACAGTTCATCCAGGTTAAGAACTCTTGTTGGAGAACTGGTGTGGTTGTTAGAAGGACATATGACACAGAGGCCATTTGAGTTACTGGAGTTCTTGCATTGGTTTCTTCTCATTTCCACCTATGGGTTTTCCTTTAATTGCAGTGTAGATTGAGTACAGTCCGTAGACTTATTTTCGGATGTTTTCACCAGGCTGAGGCTTTGTGCAGGGTCTTTATTTGAAGCTGACTTCTCATTTCTGGTTTCAGAGGGGAGTATATTAGTAAGGTATTTTTGATGCTGAAGCTTTGGGATGTGATCCAGTAGGTGGCACTTGGGCTTACTGGTCAGTTGGTAGACTCTTGCTTGGTCATGTGGCTCCCCTATGTTTCCTTACAGTTGCAGCCATGTTCCCTCTCAATGATCTGAAAATGTGCTTCTCTCCCCCTTGAGTGCTGGCTGTAGGTCATGGCTTGGCACTCCTAGGCTGCCCACTGCAGCTCTGGGGCAATCTCAGTGTTTATATTTCTTTCCTAACTTTGAGGCAGAAGAGGAAGGGACATTAGTAGTGGTTGTAGCCAAGGGTCTTTTGTTTGTCTCCTCAGAGTTCCACCACCCCTGGAGAATACAGCAACTGTTTACTGCAATCAGCAATCAGGATGGAGAATTCGTGCTGTGGGGGCCAATCCAGGGGTTCCCTGTCATGAGCAGTGGGGAGTGTGTAGAACCCATGAGAGATGGGCTTTGGTCAATTAAAGCTTGTTGAAGGTGTAGATAAGGGTGTTAGCTCCTTCATCAGTCTGAGGGTAGCAAGGACAGTTCCACTGCAGAAGCAGTGGCAGAGAGGCTTTCAGTTGCCCCTGGAGGCTCTCTCCAGGGAGTGGCTGAGTTGCTACTGGCTCAACAGTTCTGGTAGGGGGGGTTAGGTAGAGGTCCAGGCCTGCAAGACTTGCCTAGTGAGAAGATATAGGAATGGGAACCCAGGTAACAGTCTGGCCACTTTTCCATAGGGCTGCTGCAGTATGCCCAGGGCCCGCTCCAGTCTCTAGTAGCCTCAGATTTTCCAGTACCTGGAGTTATCATCAGTGAAGCCTGTGAAACAGCAAAGATGGCAGCCTACCGCTCCCTTTGGAAGCTTTGCCCTAGGGAGGTATGAATGAACTTGTTGCTGGCCCAAACACACCTGTAGGAGGTGGCTGGAGACCCCAGTTTGGAGGTTTTGCCCAGTGAGGAGGAATGGCATTGGGAAAGTGCTTAAAAACGCAGTCTGGCCTCATTTTTATAGAGCAGCTGTGGTATGCTGAGGGTCCACATCACCCCCTGGTCTCCTTGGACACTCCAAAGACTGAAGGTTGAAGTGGCTAAGTTGCAAAAACAGCAAAGATGGTGGCCTGCCCCTCCATCAGGGAGCTCCAGCCCAGAAAAAATTGAAATCACTGTCAGCAGGAGAACACCAGTGGGGGTGGTTGGAGGCCCCAGTTGGGAAGTCCCAAACAGTGAGGAGGAATGAATCCGGGACCTACTTAAAGAAGCAGTCTGGCTATGCTTTTGTACAGCAGCTGTGCTGTGCTGGGGGGCCATATCCGCCCTAAGTCAGCTGGGACTCCTTAAAGCCCAAAGGCTGGAATGGCTAAGTTGCCAAAACATCAAATATGGCGGCCCACGCCTCCCTCAGGGCACTCCATCTCAGGGAGAATTCAAATCTCTGTCAGCCTGAGAATACCAGAGTGGGTAGCTAGAGGCCCTGGTTGGGAGGTCCTGCCCAGTGAGGAGGAATGGGATTGGGGACCTTCTTAAAGCAGTAGTCCGGCCATATTTTGGTAGAGTAGCACTGTGCTGTGCTAATGGATCCCTCTGTCCCTGGTCCGCTGAGACTCTCCAAATCCCGAAGGCTGGAGCAGCTAAGTTGCCCAAACAGCAAAGATGGTGGCCTACCCCTTCTCTCAGGAGCTCTGTCTCAGGGAGGCTCAACAGTGTTGCTGGTGGCTGGCTGGAATTCCAAGCCAGTGGCTCTTATCCTGTGAGGTGCTGTGGAAGTGGGGCCTGCAGGCTGTTGCTGCTCAGCTCCCTGAATTCAGCCTCTTCCCTAGGGATATGTATGAGGGTCTCACCTCCCACTTTGCCACAGTTGCAGCTACTTTTGCAGGAAAGCCCAGGTACCTAAGGCTCCCAGGTCTCCATGTGTGCCTGAGTGGCTGCTGTGCCAAGATTCCACGTAGCTCTGTCAGACTGAAGGCCCTGGTAAAGTGGGTTCATGAGAACTCCCGACCCAAGGATTGCAAAGATCCATGGAAAAAGCATGGGTTTCCAGGGTCACACATTCACTCACTGCTTCCCTGGGTGAGAGAGCTCCCCCTGGCTCTGTGGTACTCCCAGGTGGGCTGTCGTTTTGCCTTTCTTTTCTTCATTCTCCCTGGGTCAAGTTGTTTCCTTGGTTAGTCCCAATGTGAGTACCTGGATGTTTCAGTTGAAGGTGCAGTATTGACTCTCCCCTTGTGTTCCTCTCTGTGAGAGCCAAACACACTAGCTGCTTCAACTCGGCCACCTTGGCCAGCCCACTGCCCCCTCACTGCTATATTTTTACATATAACATTTACAACTCTATAAAGTACTTCATTGTACTCATTTTACAGGCGAAGATAGTTTAGACACACAAAGACTGAATAAGATCTAAGTCCTTTCCTTGTAAGATGCAAAATCTGGAATTGACAATGTACATAACTGCTACGTGTCTCAAACCTAAGATGTAATTAGGCATTTCTAAAGCTCACACTTTTTAAATGTTTAAATATTTTGTTAGAGTTTTAAAGAATGATTTAGTTAAAAAATACGATTATGGGGGTGTGTGGCCAAGATGACTGACTAGAAGAAGCTAGGGTGCACGGCTCTCATGGAGAGGAATGAAAAGGGCAAGTCAATACAGCACCTTCAACTGAAACAACCAGGTACTCGCATTACTCACATAATCAAGGAAACAACTCCAGCCAGCCACCAGCAACAGTGTTTTACCTACCTGAGACTGACTTCCTAGGGGACAGGGCAGGCCACCATCTTTGTTGTTTGGGTAACTTAGCCATTCCAGCCTGTTGGGCTTTTGAGAACCCAAACCAACTGAGGGCAGAAGGGATCCCCCACGCAGCACAGCTGCTCTACCAAAATGTGGCCAGACTGCCTCTTTAAGTGGATCCCCAATCCATTCCTCCTCGCTGGGCGGGACCTCCCAACTGGGGCCTGCAGCTACTCCTGCAGGTGCTCTCAGGCTGACGGAGATTTGAATTCTCCCTGGGATGAGTTCCCTGGGGGAGAAGGGGGCCGCCATCTTTGCTGTTTGGGTGACTCAGTTATTCCAGTCTGTGGGCTTTGGAGAGTCCAAAGTGACTAGGGTGGAGGGGATCCCCAGAACAGCACAACTGCTCTATCAAATCATGGCAAGATTCTTTAAGTAGATCCCCGATCCGTTCCTCACTGGGTGAGACCTCCCAAGTGGGGCTTCCACCCCTTAGTTCTAGAGCTGACAGAGATTTACATTCTCCCTTGGATAGAGTTGTCAAGGTCCTACCAATTAAGAAGAAATGGGTCAGGAACCTGCTAAAAGAATCTGCCTGACCAAGATTTTGTAGAGTAGCTGTGTTGTGCTGGGAGATCCCTTCTGCCCCGGTAGGTATGGATTCCACAAAACCCTCAGGCTGGAGTGGCTAAGTTGCACAAACAGCAAAGATGGCAGCTCATCTTTGGCCATTTCATCCCAAGAATTCAAATATCTTTGGGCCCGAGAACACCAGCAGGAGTGACTGGAGGTCCCAGTGCGGTGATCCCTCACCAGGCAGGACTTTGAGACCGCCATGCCAGGGATAATTGAAATCTCTGGCAGCCTGAGGACACTGGAGGAGGGGGTGGGGTGGTGGCTGGGGGCCCGAGTTGAAAGGAACTTCACTGGGCAGGAACTGGAGACCTCCATGCCAGGGAGAACTCGAATCTCTGTCAGCATGAGAACACAGGTAGGGGTGGCCGGAGGGCCCAGTTAGGAGAACCCTCACTGGGTGGGACCTCAAGAACTCCATGCTAGGGAAAATTCAAATCTCTGTCAGCCCCAGGACACTGGCGGGGGTGGCTGGAGGCCCCATATGGGAGGTCCCTCACTGGGTCAGACACCGAGACCTCCGTGCCAGAGAGAATTCACATCTCTGTCAGCCCCAGAACACTACCGGGGTGGTTGCAGGCCCTAGTTGGGAGGTCCTCACTGGGCGGGACCCCGAGACCTCCATGCCAGGGAGAATTCAAATCTCTGTCAGCCCCAGAACACTGGCAGGGGTGGCCAGAGACCCCAGTTGGGAGGTCGCTCACTGGGCCAGACCCCGAGACCTCCATGCCAGGGAGAATTCAAATCTCTGTCAGTCCCAGAATAAAGGCGGGGGTGGCCGGAGGCCCCGGTTGGGAGGTCCCTCACTGGGCGATACCCCAAGACCTCCATGCCAGGGAGAACTCAAATCTCTGTCAGCCTGGGAACACCAGTGGGGGTGGCTGGACACCGCAGCTAAAAGGACCCTCATTGGGTGGGACCTTGTGAATTACATGCCAGGGAGAATTCAAATCTCTGTCAGCCTGCCTTGTGAATTACATGCCAGGGAGAATTCAAATCTCTCTCAGCATGAGAACACCAGTGGGGTTGGCTGGAGGCCCCGCTTGGGAGGTCCCTCACTGGGCAGGACCTCAAGACCTCCACACTAGGGAGAATTCAAATCTCTGTCAGCCCCAGAACACTGGCGGGGGTGGCTGCAGGCCCCCGTTGGGAGGTCCCTCACTGGGCAGGACCCCGATACCTCGATGCCAGGGAGAATTGAAATCTCTGTCAGCCCCAGAATATTGGCGGGGGTGGGGGGAGTTGGCTGGAGGCCTGAGTTGGAAGGACCCTCACTGGGCAGGAACCGGAGACCTCCATGCCAGGAAGAATTCAAATCTCTTTCAGCATGAGAACACAGGTGTGAGTGGCCAGAGGTCTCAGTTAGGAGAACCCTAACTGGGTGGGACCTCACAAACTCCATGCCTGGGAGAATTCAAATCTCTGTCAGCCCCAGAACACCAGCGAGGGTGGCTGCAGGCCCCGGTTGGGGGGGTTCCTCACTGGGCAAGACCCCGAGACCTCCATGCCAGGGAGAACTCAAATCACTGTCAGCCTGAGAACACCAGTGGGATTGGCTGGAGACCCCAGCTAAAAGGACACTCATTGGGCGGGACCTTGAGAACTACGTGCCAGGGAGAATTCAGATCTCTGTCAGCCCGAGAACACCGGTGGGGGTGGCTGGAGGCCACGGTTGAGAGGTCCCTCACTGGGCAGGACCTCAAGACCTCCATGCCAGGGAGAATTCAAATTTCTGTCAGCCCCAAAACACTGGCAGGGTGGCTGGAGGCCGAAGTCCTTCACTGGGCCAGACGCTGAGACCTCCATACCAGGGAGAATTCAAATCTCTGTCATCCCAAGAACACCGGTGGGGGTGGCTGGAGACCCAATTGGGAGGTCACTCACTTGGCAGGACCTGAAGACCTCCATGCCAGGGAGAATTC